>NC_000007.14:45088726-45391757 GCF_000001405.40 Homo sapiens | reverse complement strand
CCCTCATCCCTGGCCTGCCTCAGTGCTCCCCAACACTGCTCCTGCAGAAGCAGCAGTGCCCCTTGGGGAGCAGGGGCACCACCGTCCAAGCCCCTGGAGGCCTGCCTGGAGGCGGAGGAGGCAGCCTGCCTCTGGCCGCTTTGAGCTCTGTTTGTGGTGGGTTGGGGATTCTTGAGAAGGAGGACCTTTCCCTAACTCTCCCACGGAAAACCCTCTTCTTCCTTCTTTGTCAACCCTCCAGTAGCCGCCTTTATGCCCGTACGGGTTTCCTATTTCAGCGGTAGGGGCAGTTTTTTGTTTTCATTTTTTGAAGGCCACTAGAAGGAGCCTGGCCCAACCCTTTTAGAGGGGTGATTGGGACATCTCTTCCACCTCCCCACTTTTTCCTCAAGATGAGACAAGCAGGGCTGACTTGAGAAGGACCTTTATTTCTCAGCCTTCCCTTGGGGAAATGAGGAAGCCCTGTCTCCATTTTGCGGTGCTAGTAGAAGAGCTAGTTCACTCTTACTCATGACAGATGCCTTCCAAGACCCCCGGTGGATGCCTGAAACCACGAATAGTACCAAACCCTATATACACTGTTTTTTCCTATACAATAAAGTGTGGGTACAGCATGGATATGCTAGACAAAGGGGTTATTCATGTCCTGGGCAGAATGGAGTGAGGCCGCCTGAGATTTCATCATGCTACTCAGAACAGTATTCGATATAAAACTTATAAATGGTTTATTTCTGGGATTTTCCATTCAGTATTTTCAGACCATGGTTGACCATGGGTAACTGAAACCACAGAAAGTGGAACCTTGGATATGGAGGAACTACTGTATAGAGAGGAAGGAGATTGTTGTTGGAATAAGGAATTGACTGCAATTGGGCATGAGAGATGTTTTTGGGCTGATGTAAATTTCTAAAATTAGATCGTGGCGATGGTTTCAAAGCTCTGTAAACTTACTAAGAATCATTGAATTTTACGGTTGGTAAAGTTTATGGTATGTAAATTAGACTTCAATAAATTTGTTTTTAAAAAGCCTCTGTGACCAATTTATCAAGCAGATTGAACATTCCTCAACTGCTTTGTTTTCCTGCAAACACAGCCTCAAACATCCTCTTCTCTTCACTGCCTTCCCCAGGTCCCCACAACATAATAGCTAAGGGAGATTCCGTGGCTGGAAGAGTCTCGGTTGGAAATTAGGACTCACTCTCTCACATTGAAAGCCTGATCTCATACAAATCAAAACCAACCCAATATCCAATTGCAGGTCTCCTTGTTCCTTCTGCACCGTCCTGAACTCTGTCACAGGCTCCTGCTCTGGGGAAGAAGGCCTGGTTTCTCGGGCCACCTCCCTCCACCTCCTTCCCATCTTCCTCAATGGCTTCCAGGTCTGTTTTCCTCCTCAACATGTTGGGAGGAAAAGGAGCCAAGCTCTCTGCTGTTATAAGAGGGGTTGTTGCCCAAGCCACTCCAAGAGGCTTCAGATGCCATGCAGAGGAACCATAACCGGGGAACCTGCAGGAGGGGAGACCAGGACTTTACTCTCCAGGATGGGGTTGAATCACGCTGGCAGAGTCATTGGGGGAACTCAACCTAAGATACTGCTTATCTCTTGGAAAACTCTGAAGGCAAGAGGCAGCTTAGAACAACCCATGATGCCTGGTGAAGAAGGGGCTAATCTGGAAAGAAACAAGAGGTATTACCTAAGAACATGGGTCTGTGAACTATGGCCCCATGGGCCAAATCCGGCCCACACCTGTTTTTATATGACTCACAAGCTAGTATTATTTTTTATATTTTTAAACAGATTGGTGAAAATTAAAAGAATACTCTTTCATGACACATGAAAACAATATGAAATTCAGATTTAAGTCCCCATAAAGTTTCATTAGAACACATTTGCCCCATTTGTTTACACTGTTTTGCAGAAAAGGTTGGCCAATCAGTTTAGAACACTGATGGCTATGGGCTGTCTGGTTACTCAGGTGTTGGGCGCATTCGGCACCGGCTCAGGCAGGCCAAGTAGCACACTGGAGGCAGGCACTGGCTCACTCCCTGGCCATGTCTACCTCCAGAGTCATGAAGTCATTTTGAAGACTTCATTACTTATACCCTGTGATATTATTCCTAATGCCTCTGGCCTCTCCAGTCATCCTAGGAAGAGTGTTATCTGTTTTCCAACATGTGGTCTTCCTGATGTCTGATCAAAATTCCCTTGGCTTTTGTAACCCATCATCTTGGCTGATTCCACAAAGCAGAGATTACATATTAACTTATCCTGTAGGACCGCTGTTAGTCCAAGTCCAATGGGACTCATTGTGGTTCTGCTTACAGGATCCATTTGGACAGGACACTTTTTTTTTTCCATGCAAACAGGTGTTTATCCTCATGACATATGACAGGAAACAGCTGTGCATTTTATAACAATTTGCTCTTAAGAAAATTGCGTTTTGCAACTATACCAGATGATAGTTTGACTCCTACTGTGTTGTTGGCCCTGTGTGAGGTTCCTACCCTGAGGGGCCCCTGGTCTGACGGAGGAGAAGAGGCATGAACAAAAATAATTAAAACACAAGCCCAAAGATCAGCGTCCTCATGCTTAACACAGGGTGTGGCTCAGAGAGTGAGTTTTTTTAAATATAGATCAATTTGTGCAGAATTGACCTTTAAAAATGTGTTTTCCAGTCCAAGATCATATTACACCTCTACATTTATTTCAGTACTTTTCAGTGATTTCCTGCCTATTTCTAGTGATTTTTTTGTAATTTTTCTCATAACAGTATAGAACATCTTCTAGATGTGTTACTTTATCCTTGAGTCATTCATATTTTTAGTGTAAATAGATTTTTTCATGTTTACAAATGAATAAAAAATTTATTTCACAACAGGTATGTTGCTAGTATATAGAAACAGTTAATTCTGTATATTGATTTTAATTCCAGCAATATCACTAAGCACTATTATTAGTTGTCACTCTTCATTTAAGACTGCTTCGTATCTTCTACATACACACTCCTATCATGTATGAATACTAAAAGTTTTTTAAAATTTATTTCCAGTCCTTATAACATTTATTTGCTTGCTTGTTTATTCATTTGTTTGTCTACTTATTTTTGGCTTTGCTGTTCTATACTGGCTGGGGACCTTGGAGCCAAGAGCAGCACCTCGGTCCTTTAGATGAATTGACATGTGGGCTGGGAGGAGGTGTAGACGGGGAGATAGAAGAAGGATGGTGTGCAGCTAGGAGCTCTGGGGTCCACCTGAGGCCCCATACAGGCCCAGGGATCCCCCAAAGTAAATACAGACCAGGCTGGGCCAGTCTATGCATTAACTTTGTATGTGGGTTATTTCTTCAGATCATTTTCATTTCAGTAGGAACAAGTACTTTGGCCTCATTTAATTATTGTGGTACACAAAACATTAAACATGACAAGGCTTCTGAACCAGGCATCCACCATGGAAAGAGTGCAACCCCTGCTGATACTGGTGAAGCCCAGGAGCTGCCAGGGTGACCGTGGTGGGCAGAGCAACCTGGGGCCCGAAGGACCCATGGAAAGTCCAGCTCCTTGTCAGAGATGTCAGCTCATTCTTGAGTCCTACACCCACAAGGTACAACAAATCATTCCCACTCTGTCATCCGCACAGTGGAGATGAGGATGAGTGTCTAACAGGGCTGAAGTCCACGTCCTTGTCTCATTGCCAGGGTTAAAGCAGGAGCACAGTGTATCAGGGGTGTGACTGTCATCCTGACTCATGGCAGGAGGTGGGGGTGCTGGGATGTATTGGTGTCCAGGCAGGGAGGGGTGCTTGCCAAGCCCAGTGTCATCTGGGCAGGGGCCTCAGGATGCCCTCAGGAGCATCCAGGTGTCTGTATGTAGCAAGCAGAGTTGGGTGGGGGAAGGTCACTAGAGGTCTCGGCCAAGACAGGGGTTGCTCCCCGGGGGAGTGGGACTCAGCATTCCTCCTCATCCGCACATCTCAGGTGCCTGATACCTGCTCGGGACATAGAGGCCAGAGTTCATAGACAAAGACAGCTTCCATTTGTCATTTGTTGCTCTTTGGGATAAGGCAGGGGACCAGGTTGGAAGGCTCCATCCTGACACCTGTAACACCCTCTGGACCAGCCAAGCATCAGCAAATCTGGAACCCACAAAGGCCCCCTCACCCCACGCCCTCTCACCTGCAGACAGAGCCTCAAGACAGGGCCCCTCAGCTGCTCTCTGCCCCAGAGGCCTGTGGTCCCTCCTGCTGCTCCCTAAAACAAGTCCTAGAACAGAAATCCCACCACCCTTGGCCACGCCAAGGCCAGGTCATCCCCTTGGGTGGGTAGGACAGTCCCTGTTGTGCCCATTTTGCAGATGGGCCACTGCAGCTCCATCCTGGGGCTGGACTCCAGGCCTCTTCTCCCATGGTCAGGGGCTCTGGGGGCAGAAGCAGGGGCAGCAGGTGCTTCCGTGGGAGAGGGGGGCTATAAAAATGGTGAGAAGCAGCATCAGCTCACTGTGGGATGGGCGGTGGTGGATTAGAGCTCGTGGAGCACATCTGGCCCCTGATAATTTTTATCTAACCAGCAGTGATATTATCATTATTACTGTTGCTATTATTTTTGAAGATCCTCTGAGGGGTCTTCCAGGCCTCTCCCCACTCACCCCGGGCAGCTGCCGACCCCCTCCCAGGTAGGCCAGAAGGACAAAAACCCAGAGCTGTGAGAGGGTCCTGCTTGCCCTCCTGCAGCCACATGAAGCCCCACAGCCTATAGGAGCAGGTCTTTTCCTACAGGTTAGACCTAGAATGAACATGTTTTATTTTTTGAAAGCACAGACTATTTCCACAGTGGACATTCTGGTCTCACTGAGAAGAGTTGCAACTACTTCTGGGCTGTGAGACCACCTAGACAGTCTCAAATTCTCCTGGATCCCAGAAATTGGTCCCTATCTGCATATAAAAACCTAAGCAATGAGGAGGACCCTGGGCTTCTGCTACATAGCCAGAGAATGTGCCTTCACCAATTTTTCCAACAAGAAAAACAGGGTTCCAGGGTCCCCACAATAGCCAGCTCAGGCCTCCACATCTGGGTTTGAGGGAACTGCTCCGTGCCAGGTGCAGCACAGGCTCCAGGTGCCAGGATGGAATCGGCAGACGTTCTGAAGTTAGCTGAGCAGATAGATATGTACACAGACCCCTAACAGGCTGAGCAGGCAGGTAACGCAGCATCAGGGCTCAGAGTAGGTGGGGGTGAGTATGAAGGAGGGGCACCAGGTGAAGGGGCACATCTTAGTTCATTTGTGCTACTCCAGCAAAATACCACAGACTGAGTCATTTATAATGAGCATAAATTTATTTGGCTCACAGTTCTGGGGGCTGGAAAGTCCAATACCAAGGTGTCTGCATCTGGCAAAGGCCTTCTCTCTATGTCATCCCATGGCTGAAGGTGAGAGGGTGAGAGAACTGAACTCACTTTTATAACGCACCCACTCTCACAATCCCACTCCTGCTGTAACCTTAATCCATTATAAAACCTGATCACCTCTCACTAGGCCCCACCTCCCAGCACTGCCACGTGAGGGATGAACATATGAGGCTTTGGGGAACTCATTCAAACCATAGCAGGCAGGATGAGCAGTTGTGGCCTCGCAGGTTCCCCTCTTCAATTGCACCACAGGAAGGCAGTGAGCTGCATCCAGCTGGCTCAATCATCACTGGGCCCTTACAACTCTCTATTCCTTTCTGCTCACAAACCACACAAGGCATCACCTGCGCAGAATGTAGTACAGCTCAGTGCAAATGTCCACACTGCTTCAGATACCAGGTAAACTAACAATTAAAAGCAACAAAAGGAAGGTTTGGAGATGGTCACACCCAGGGGACCCTCATGTCCACAGGCCTGAGTGTGTTCAGATGTCCCTCCCAGCTCAACCTTCCACCTTCCCATTCCCTACATACTTTACATCTCCTCATTTTCTCTCCCCTCCCCAGCCAGCCAGCTACTTCTGACCCCTGTGTCCCCTGCAGGAGCCAGAAATGCTGGGCCCCTATGCCATTCTCCTGGCTTCCCTTTGCCTGGCTGCCTTCCTTCTGCCGTCTTCCATCTCCCTCTGCCTGCCCCAGGGAACATATACATCCCAACCACACCCTCCCCCGAGGCTCAAGCCCTGAGAACTGCCCTGATGAGCCATTAAGACCCCACATGCTTGTGGGACACTTGCTGCTTGATGGATACAGGACAGTATCACAGGAGGGGACACCCCCTTTTCACCATGTGCCAGCCATGCAAGCCTGCCATGTGTCCCTGCCCTACCCCGGACCTCAGTTTCTGTAGTTGCAGAAGACAGTTCAGCAGGCCGAGTGCAGAGATCCCTTGTTGTGCTAAAATCCATGGATTATATTTCACAGAGACAGGCTTGAGCTGTGGGTCAGGAGCCCTGCATCACCTCCGGGCTCGTGCTGAAGGATCAGGGCCTCAGGACCAGGCTTCCTTGTGTGTTAGCTGAGGTACTGGCTCATGATATGCTTTGTGCACAGACATCTCAGATATTCCTTAAGTGGGTGTCACTAACATTTCATCACTAAGAAAGACTGGAAAAATGTAAACTGGGTCACTTGATTTTAAACTAAGTGGTATGGTGGTTTAAGGATCCCCCCATCCTCACACACACACAAACAGCTTTTTCAAGCTACTGAGTGCTACTAAAATCATGACTCAGGGTTTGAGAAACATGACTGTTTGAATTATAATCAATTTATGCTTCAAAATACAATCCTTGCAGTGTATTTGTTTTGTACACAATTTCATCAGTGAAAACAAATGTAGGCACACATTTTTGTAAAGGAGCAGTATTTGTTGAAAAACAGGAGTCAGCAAACTTGAATGGAGAAAAATAGCCAGTCAGGTCCATTATTTTCTGACTGGACAGATCAGCAGCCCCTGCGAAGTGCATGGCCAGTGGTTGGCCAGAGTTCTTACCTGGCTCCCTTCTGCCCAGCTGGGTGTCCGTTCACATCCTGGGCTCAGTATTCTCCTGTGACCTCATGGAGCTGTGTGAAGCTGGCCACTCAGTGCTTAAGTCCTGCAGAAAGATATGCAATGGGATGAGTCACAAAGGAGAGAAGCTTGGAGGAGTGTGGCCCTGCCTAAGGAAAGGAAGGAGAGAGGGAGGGAGGGAGTAAGAAAGGGAGGGATGGAAGAGTTTCCTGGACCATGTGGGTAACTATAAAATACTCTTCCATTAAGTACCGTTCATTCAAAAAGTGGATGGCGATTTCTCAAAAAATTAAAAATAGAACTAACATATGATCTAGCAATTCCACTACTAGGTATATATCCAAAGGAAATAAAATCAGTCTGTTAAAGAGATATCTGCACTCCAATGTTCATTGCAACATTAGCCATGTTCACAATAGCCAAGATATGGATTCGACTTAAGGTCCATTAAAGAATGGATAAAGAAAATCTGGTGTATATATACACAATGGAATGCTCCTCAGCCTTAAAGGAGAAGGAAATCTGGCTGGACACAGCAGCTCACACCTGTAATCTCAGCACTTTGGGAGGCCGAGGGCAGGAGGACACTTGAAGCCAAGAGTTCAATACCAGCCTGGGCAACATAGCAAGACCCCATCTGTAAGAAAAAAACTAAAAATTAATGGGCATGGTGACATGTGCCTGTGATCCCAGCAGGAAGGACTTGAGCCCAGGAGTTCTCTTGAGGATTGCTTGAGCCCAGAAGTTCAAGGCTGCAGTAAGCTGTGATCACACCACTGCACTCCAGCCTGGGTGACAGAGTGAAACCCTGTCTCAAAATTAAAAAAAAAAAAGAAAGAAAAGAAAAGAAGTAAATTCTGCCATTTGCAACAATATGGATGAAGTTGGAGGACATTGTGCTAAGTAAAATAAGCCAGGCACAGAAAGACATATATATATGTCAAAACATCACATGTATACCTTAAATATACACAATTTTTATTCATCAATTTACCTCAATAAAGCTGAGTGTGAGGGAAGAGGAGCTGCAAACTTTCTAAATCCAGTTGTTAACCATATGACGTATGACATACTGGGCTGGGATGGTTCATCTCTGAAATCTTCTCACATTGAGAAAATGGTGGTTTATTCTTTACATCCTCATAGACCCAGTTCTGAATACCACATGGATCTGGACTCCAATTTTTTTGGTATTCTAGTGATTTCTGGAACAAAGAAATATGAGCTGAGCACCTCTCTTTTAAAGTTATGCTTTTGGGGGAGAAGCCAAGATGGCCGGATAGGAACAGCTCCAGTCTACAGCTCCCAGTGTGAGTGACGCAGAAGATGGGTGATTTCTGCATTTCCATCTGAGGTACCGGGTTCATCTCACTAGGGAGTGCCAGACAGTGGGCGCAGGTCAGTGGGTGCGTGCACTGTGTGCGAGCTGAAGCAGGGCAAGGCATTGCCTCACTCAGGAAGCTCAAGGGGTCAGGGAGTTCCCTTTCCTAGTCAAAGAAAGTGGTGACAGACAGCACCTGGAAAATCGGGTCACTCCCACCCGAATACTGCGCTTTTCTGACGGGCTTAAAAAACAGCACACCAGGAGATTATATCCCGCACATGGCTCGGAGGGTCCTACGCCCAGGGAGTCTCGCTGATTGCTAGCACAGCAGTCTGAGATCAAACGGCAAGGCAGCAGCAAGCCTGGGGGAGGGGCGCCCGCCATTGCCCAGGATTGCTTAGGTAAACGAAGCAGCCAGGAAGCTCGAACTGGGTGGAGCCCACCACAGCTCAAGGAGGCCTGCCTGCCTCTTTAGGCTCCACCTCTAGGGGCAGGGCACAGACAAACAAAAAGACAGCAGTAACCTCTGCAGACTTAAATGTCCCTGTCTGACAGCTTTGAAGAGAGCAGTGGTTCTCCCAGCATGCAGCTGGAGATCTGAGAACATGCAGACTGCCTCCTCAAGTGGGTCCCTGACCCCTGACCCCCGAGCAGCCTAACTGGGAGGCACCCCCCAGCAGGGGCAGACTGACACCTCACACGGCCGGGTACTCCAACAGACCTGCAGCTGAGAGTCCTGTCTGTTAGAAGGAAAACTAACAAACGGAAAGGACATCCACACCAAAAACCCAACTGTACATCACCATCATCAAAGACCAAAAGTAGATAAAACCACAAAGATGGGGAAAAAACAGAACAGAAAAAATGGAAACTCTAAAAAGCAGAGCGACTCTCCTCCTCCAAAGGAACTCAGTTCCTCACCAGCAACGGAACAAAGCTGGACGCAGAATGACTTTGACAAGCTGAGAGAAGAAGGCTTCAGACGATCAAATTACTCTGAGCTACGGGAGGACATTCAAACCAAAGGCAAAGAAGTTGAAAACTTTGAAAAAGATTTAGAAGAATGTATAACCAGAATAACCAATACAGAGAAGTGCTTAAAGGAGCTGATGGAGCTGAAAACCAAGGCTCCAGAACTATGTGAAGAATGCAGAAGCCTCAGGAGCCAATGCGATCAACTGGAAGAAAGGGTATCAGTGATGGAAGATGAAATGAATGAAATGAAGCAAGAAGGGAAGTTTAGAGAAAAAAGAATAAAAAGAAACGAGCAAAGCCTCCAAGAAATATGGGACTATGTGAAAAGACCAAATCTACATCTGATTGGTGTACCTGAAAGTGACAGGGAGAATGGAACCAAGTTGGAAAACACTCTGCAGGATATTATCCAGGAGAACTTCCCCAATCTAGCAAGGCAGGCCAAAACTCAGATTCAGGAAATACAGAGAATGCCACAAAGATACTCCTTGAGAAGAGCAACACCAAGACACATAATTGTCAGATTCACCAAAGTTGAAATGAGGGAAAAAATGTTAAGGGCAGCCAGAGAGAAAGGTCGGGTTACCATCAAAGGGAAGCCCATCAGACTAACAGCAGATCTCTCAGCAGAAACTCTACAAGCCAGAAGAGAGTGGGGGCCAATATTCAACATTCTTAAAGAAAAGAATTTTCAACCCAGAATTTCATATCCAGCCAAACTAAGCTTCATAAGTGAAGGAGAAATAAAATACTTTACAGACAAGCAAATGCTGAGAGATTTTGTCACCACCAGGCCTGCCCTAAAAGAGCTCCTGAAGGAAGTGCTAAACATGGAAAGGAACAACCGGTACCAGCCACTGCAAAATCATGCCAAAATGTAAAGACCATTGAGACTAGGAAGAAACTGCATCAACTAACGAGCAAAATAACCAGCTAACATCATAATGACAGGATCAAATTCACACATAACAATATTAACTTTAAATGTAAATGGACTAAATGCTCCAGTTAAAAGACACAGACTGGCAAATTGGATAAAGAATCAAGACTCATCAGTGTGCTGTATTCAGGACACCCATCTCACGTGCAGAGACACACATAGGCTCAAAATAAAAGGATGGAGGAAGATCTACCAAGAAAATGGAAAACAAAAAAAGGCAGGGGTTGCAATCCTAGTCTCTGATAAAACAGACTTTAAACCAACAAAGATCAAAAGAGACAAAGAAGGCCATTACTTAATGGTAAAGGGATCAATTCAACAAGAAGAGCTAACTATCATAAATATATATGCAACCAATACAGGAGCACCCAGATTCATAAAGCAAGTTCTGAGTGACCTACAAAGAGGCTTAGACTCCCACACATTAATAATGGGAGACTTTAACACCCCACTGTCAACATTAGACAGATCAATGAGACAGAAAGTCAACAAGGATACCCAGGAATTGATCTCAGCTCTGCACCAAGCAGACCTAATAGACATCTACAGAACTCTCCACCCCAAATCAACAGAATATACATTTTTTTCAGCACCACACCTCACCTATTCCAAAATTGACCACATACTTGGAAGTAAAGCTCTCCTCAGCAAATGTAAAAGAAGAGAAATTACAACAAACTATCCCTCAGACCACAGTGCAATCAAACTAGAACTCAGGATTAAGAATCTCACTCAAAACCGCTCAACTACATGGAAACTGAACAACCTTCTCCTGAATGACTACTGGGTACATAACGAAATGAAGGCAGAAATAAAGATGTTCTTTGAAACCAATGAGAACAAAGACACAACATACCAGAATCTCTGGGACACATTCAAAGTAGTGTGTAGAGGGAAATTTATAGCACTAAATGCCCACAAGAGAAAGCAGGAAAGATCCAAAATTGACACCCTAACATCACAATTAAAAGAACTAGAAAAGCAAGAGCAAACACATTCAAAAGCTAGCAGAAAGCAAGAAATAATTAAAATCAGAGCAGAACTGAAGGAAATAGAGACACAAAAAACCCTTCAAAAAATTAATGAATCCAGGAGCTGGTTTTTTGAAAGGATCAACAAAATTGATAGACTGCTAGCAAGACTAATAAAGAAAAAAAGAGAGAAGAATCAAATAGACACAATAAAAAATGATAAATGGGATATCACCACCGATCCCACAGAAATACAAACTACCATCAGAGAATACTACAAACACCTCTATGCAAATAAACTAGAAAATCTAGAAGAAATGGATAAATTCCTTGACACATACACTCTCCCAAGACTAAACCAGGAAGAAGTTGAATCTCTGAATAGACCAATAACAGGAGCTGAAATTGTGGCAATAATCAATAGCTTACCAATGAAAAAGAGTCCAGGACCAGATGGATTCACAGCCAAATTCTACCAGAGGTACAAGAAGGAACTGGTACCATTCCTTCTGAAACTATTCCAATCAGTAGAAAAAGAGGGAATCCTCCCTAACTCATTTTATGAGGCCAGCATCATCCTGATACCAAAGCCGGGCAGAGACACAACCAAAAAAGAGAATTTTAGACCAATATCCCTGATGAACATCGATGCAAAAATCCTCAATAAAATACTGGCAAACTGAATCCAGCAGCACATCAAAAAGCTTATCCACCATGATGAAGTGGGCTTCATCCCTGGGATGCAAGGCTGGTTCAATATACACAAATCAATAAATGTAATCCAGTATATAAACAGAACCAAAGACAAAAACCACATGATTATCTCAATAGATGCAGAAAAGGCCTTTGACAAAATTCAACAATGCTTCATGCTAAAGACTCTCAATAAATTAGGTATTGATGGGACGTATCTCAAAATAATAAGAGCTATCTATGACAAACCCACAGCCAATATCATACTGAATGGGCAAAAACTGGAAGCATTCCCTTTGAAAACTGGCACAAGACAGGGATGCCCTCTCTCACCACTCCTATTCAACATAGTGTTGGAAGTTCTGGCCAGGGCAATTAGGCAGGAGAAAGAAATAAAGGGTATTCAATTAGGAAAATAGGAAGTTAAATTGTCCCTGTTTGCAGATGACATGATTGTATATCTAGAAAACCCCATTGTCTCAGCCCAAAATCTCCTTAAGCTGATAAGCAACTTCAGCAAAGTCTCAGGATACAAAATCAATGTACAAAAATCACAAGCATTCTTATACACCACCAACAAACAAACAGAGAGCCAAATCATGAGTGAACTCCCATTCACAATTGCTTCAAAGAGAATAAAATACCTAGGAATCCAACTTACAAGGGATGTGAAGGACCTCTTCAAGGAGAACTACAAACCACTGCTCAAGGAAATAAAAAAGGATACAAACAAATGGAAGAACATTCCATGCTCATGGGTAGGAAGAATCAATATCGTGAAAATGGCCATACTGCCCAAGGTAATTTATAGATTCAATGCCATCCCCATCAAGCTACCAATGACTTTCTTCACAGAATTGGAAAAAACTACTTTAAAGTTCATATGGAACCAAAAAAGAGCCCGCATCGCCAAGTCAATCCTAAGCCAAAAGAACAAAGCTGGAGGCATCACACTACCTGACTTCAAACTATACTACAAGGCTACAGTAACCAAAACAGCATGGTACTGGTACGAAAACAGAGATATAGACCAATGGAACAGAACAGAGCCCTCAGAAATAACGCCGCATATCTACAACTATCTGATCTTTGACAAACCTGAGAAAAACAAGCAATGGGGAAAGGATTCCCTATTTAATAAACGGTGCTGGGAAAACTGGCTAGCCATATGTAGAAAGCTGAAACTGGATCCCTTCCTTACACCTTATACAAAAATCAATTCAAGGTGGATTAAAGACTTAAACGTTAGACCTAAAACCATAAAAAACCCTAGAAGAAAACCTAGGCATTACCATTCAGGACATAGGCATGGGCAAGGACTTCATGTCTAAAACACCAAAAGCAATGGCAACAAAAGCCAAAATTGACAAATGGGATCTAATTAAACTAAAGAGCTTCTGCACGGCAAAAGAAACTACCATCAGAGTGAACAGGCAACCTACAAAATGGGAGAAAATTGTCGCAACCTACTCATCTGACAAAGGGCTAATATCCAGAATCTACAATGAACTCAAACAAATTTACAAGAAAAAAACAAACAACCCCATCAAAAAGTGGGCGAAGGACATGAACAGACACTTCTCAAAAGAAGACAAAAAACACATGAAAAAATGCTCACCATCACTGGCCATCAGAGAAATGCAAATCAAAACCACAATGAGATACCATCTCACACCAGTTAGAATGGCAATCATTAAAAAGGAAACAACAGGTGCTGGAGAGGATGTGGAGAAATAGGAACACTTTTACATTACTGGTGGGACTGTAAACTAGTTCGACCATTGTGGAAGTCAGTGTGGCAATTCCTCAGGGATCTAGAACTAGAAATACCATTTGACCCAGCCATTCCATTACTGGGTATATACCCAAAGGACTATAAATCATGCTGCTATAAAGACACATGCACACGTATGTTTATTGCAGCATTATTCACAATAGCAAAGACTTGGACCCAACCCAAATGTCCAACAATGATAGACTGGATTAAGAAAATGTGGCACATATACACCATGGAATACTATGCAGCCATAAAAAATGATGAGTTCATGTCCTTTGCAGGGACATGGATGAAATTGGAAATCATCATTCTCAGTAAACTATCACAAGAATAAAAAACCAAACACCGCATATTCTCACTCATAGGTGGGAACTGAACAATGAGAACACATGGACACAGGAAGGGGAACATCACACTCTGGGGACTGTTGTGGGGTGGGGCGAGGGGGGAGGGATAGCATTGGGAGATATACCTAATGCTAGATGACAAGTTAGTGGGTGCAGCGCACCAGCATGGCACAGGTATACATATGTAACTAACCTGCACATTGTGCACATGTACCCTAAAACTTAAAGTAAAATAATAATAATAATAAAAAGAACTAAAAACAAAAATAAATAAATAAATAAATAAATAAATAAAGTTATGCTTTTATAAACTAGACTGGACATTACAGCTTTCTATTATGTGAAATTCATGTGCCTAATGGTGTTTTTTTTTTATTTTTAACGGAGTACAGCCACCTTTTTTCAGTTGGGGATTGTGGATGAATCAAATATTCGCAGTATTTTATCTTATTTCCTCTAATGATGTTTTAGTTATATGTTTTTGGTTTTGGGTTAATTTTTAGTGATTGCTTTAGATACTAAAACATGCATCTTTACCTTATCACAGTATGTTCCCCAAGTATTGTATTAGTTCACAAACTATTTAAGAACTTTAAGACAATATATTTCTAATTACTATCTTCCCTTTGTTTCCATGGATAACTTATGATCACTTCTTATTATTTTTCTTTTAATTAGCCAAAGTGTTTACATATATATGTAAGATTTATTATATAAAGATATTCTATATTTACTACTTATTAATTCTTTCTGGGGTCCTTCATTCCATCTTATAGAACCATGGATATGGCAGTACTCCTTAAGTCTTTAGGCTTTCTTTTTAACATTTTTAGCAATGGGTTTTGCCATAGATGAACTTTTCATCTTTTGTCTGTCTAGAGAAGTCTTTTTTAGCCTTCATTTCTGAATGATAGTTTCACTGATACAGAATTCTAAGTGGTCAGCATTTTAAACAAGTCATTTCATTGTCATCTGGAACTAATTTTTTGTTTTGTTTTTTGTTTTTTGCTTTTTGTTTTTTGTTTTTTGTTTTGAGACAGAGTCTTGCTCTGTCACCCAAGCTGGAGTGCAGTGGTGCAATCTCAGCTCACTGCAACCTCTGCCTCCTAGATTCAAGTGATTCTTCTCCCTCAGCCTCCCAAGTAGCTGGGATTACAGGCACCCGCCACCATGCCTGGCTAATTTTTGTATTTTTAGTAGAGACAGGTTTCACCATGTTGGCCAGGCTGGTCTCAAACTCCTGACCTCAGGTGATCCACCTGCCTCAGCCTCCCAAAGTGCTAGGATTACATGCCACCATGCCCAGCCTGGCATTAATTGTTTCTGATGAGAAGTCTGCTATTATTTTTATTAGATCCTATGTGTGTGACATTTCATTTTTCTCTAACTGCTTTCAAACTTTTCTCTTTATATTTTTCTTTATGTTGGTTTTTGACAGTTTGACTGTGTTTAACATTAAGCTTCTGTGTGCTTATTCTTTTAACAGTTCTTTGATCTGTGGTTTATTATCTTTCATTAAGTCTGGAAAATTCTCATCATTATCTTTTAAACTATTCTGCTGCCCCATTCTCTCTATCCATCGTCCCTTGGTGACTCCAATAAATTATATGTTAAGTTCAATCATTTTATTGTGTTCTGCTGATCATGGATATTCTCTTTTGTTTTGTTCATTTTTTTTTAAATTTTATTATTATTATACTTTAAGTTTTAGGGTACATGTGCACAACGTGCAGGTTTGTTACATATGTATACATGTGCCATTCTTTATATTCCCTTTGTGTTTCAGTTTGGATACTATCTATTTACCAACATTCAAGTTCACTGATTCTTTACTGTATTATGTCCAGTCTGCCCACATGCAATAAGCCTCTTAAAGGGACTTCTTTATCCAATATTGTTTTCTCTCTTCTAGTATTTCTATTTGATTCTTTCTGTAGTTTCTGTCACTTTGATGAAATTCATTTGTTGATGCCTGTTGTTCATCTTTTCCAGTATCTCCTTTAACATATTAGCCATTGTAATGTTAAATGTGTATAGTAATGTTAAATCTGATATTAATATTCCAGCACCAGCTCCATCTCTGGGTCTGGCCTCTTTGATTGTTTTGTCTCTTTATAAGTCTTATTGTCTTGATTTCATAGGACTTGTAAACTTTTATTGTGTGTAAAAGATAGTAAACACTGAGATAAATACTATTTGTGCTTGAAAATGGGCATACCTCCTTTGTCATGCTATTAGTATAAGGGGTTAAATCCATGCAGTCTGTAGTTGAGCTGGATTCAAATTTTCTTGTTTGTACCGTCATTTTCAGCAAAATGCAGCCTTCAAATTCCTATCACGGTGAATGGCCACTGATGTAATTTGGCTCTGTGTTCCCACCCAAATCTCATCTTGTAGCTCCCATAATTCCCACATGTTGTGGGAGGGACCTGGTGGGAGATGATTGAATCATGAGGGTGGGTCTTTCTCATGCTGCTTTCATAATAATGAATGAGTCTCACAAGATCTGATGGTTTTAAAAAATGGGAGTTTCTCTGCACAAGCTCTTTTTGCCTGCTGCCATCCACATAAGATGTGACTTGCTCCTCCTAACCTTCCACCATGACTATGAGGCTTCCCCAGTCACATGGAGCTGTGAGTTCTCCATTAAACCTCTTTTCTTTGTGAACTGCCCAGTCTTGGGTATGTCTTTATCAGCAGCATGAAAACAAACTAATACAGTAAATTGGTACCAGTAGAATGAGGCATTACTGAAAAGATACCCAAAAATGTGGAAGCGACTTAGGAACTGGGTAACAGGCGAGGTTGGAACAGTTTGGAAGTCTCAGAAGACAGGATAATGTGGGAAAGTTTGGGACTTCCTAGAGACTTGTTGAATGGCTTTGACAAAAATGTTGATAGTTATATGAACAATAAGGTCCAGGCTGAGGTGGTCTCAGATGGAGATGAGGAACTTGTTGGGAACTGGAGTAAAGGTGACTCTTATTATGTTTTGACAAAGAGACTGGCAGCATTTTGCCCCTGCCCTAGAGACTTGTGGAACTTTGAACTTGAGAGAGATAATTTAGGGTATCTGGTGGAAGAAATTTCTAAGTAGCAAAGCTTCAGAGTGTTACTTAGGTGCTGTTAAAGACATCAGTTTTAAAAGAAGAGCATAAAAGTTTGGAAAATTTGCAGTCTGACAATGCAATAGAAAAGAAAATCCCATTTTCCAAGGAGAAATTCAAGCCAGCTGCAGAAATTTGCATGAGTAACAAGAAGCCAAATGTTAATCACCAAAACAATGGGGAAAATGTCTCCGGGGCATGTCAGAGGGCTTCATGGTAGCCCCTTCCATCACAGACCTAGGAGAAAAAAGTGGTTCTGTGGGCTGGTCCCATGGTCCCTGTGCTGTGTGCGGCCTAGGACTTGGTGCCCTTCATCCCAGCCATTCCAGCTGTTGCTGAAAGAGGCCAATGTAGAGCTTAGGCCATGGCTTCAGAGGGTGCAAGCCTCAAGCCTTGGCAGCTTTCATGTGGTATTAAGCCTGCAAGTGCACAGAAGTCAAGAACTGAGGTTTGGGAACCTCCGCCTAGATTTCAGAAGATGTATGGAAACATCTGGATGCCCAGGCACAAGTTTACTGCAGAGGCAGAGCCCTCGTGGAGAACTTCTGCTACGGCAGTGTGGAAGGGAAATGTGGAGTCAGAGCCCCCACACAGAGTCCATACTGGGGCATGGCCTAGTGGAGCTGTGAGAAGAGGGCCACCATCCTCCAGACCACAGAATGATAGATCCACTGACAGCTTGCACCATGCAGCTGGAAAAGCTGCAGACACTCAACACCAGCCCGTGAAGGCAGCTGGGAGGGATGTGTACCCTGCAAAGCCACAGGGGTGGGGCTGCCCGAGACCATGGGAACCCACCTCTTGCATTAGCATGACCTGGATGTGAGACATGGAGTCAAAGGAGATCATTTTGGAGCTTTAAGATTTGACGGCCTCACCGGATTTCAGACTTGCATGGGGCCTGTAGCCCCTTTGTTTTGGCCAATTTCTCCCACTTGGAATGGCTGTATTTACCCAATGCCTGTACCCCCACTGTATTTAGGAATTAACTAACTTGCTTTTGATTTTGCAGGATCATAGGCAGAAGCAACTTGCCCTGTCTCAGATGAGACTTTGGACTGTGGACTTTTGAGTTAATGCTGAAATGAGTTGTGACTTTGGGGGACTGTTGGGAAGGCATGATTGGTTTTGAAATGTGAAGATATGAGATCTGGGAGGGGCCTGGGGCAGAATGATATGGTTTGGCTCTGTGTCCCCACCCAAACCTCATCTTGTAGCTCCCATAATTCCCGCATGCTGTGGGAGGGACCCAGTGGGAGATGATTGAATCATGGGGATGGGTCTTTCCTGTGCTGTTCTCATAATAGTGCATGGCTCTCACAAGATCTGATGGTTTTAAAAAATGGGAGTTTCTCTGCACAAGCTCTTTTTGCCTGCCACCATCCATGTAAGATGTGACTTGCTCCTCCTTGCCTTCTGCCATGATTGTGAGGCTTCCCCAGCCACGTGGAGCTATGAGTTCTCCATTAAACTCTTTCCTTTTTAAATTGCCTGGTCTCAGGTATGTCTTTATCAGCAGTGTGAAAAGGGACTAATAGAGCCACTAACTATTCTGTGTGAAGCCTGGGGTGTCTAAAGATCCCCAGTGTCCTTGCTCCACTTCAGCTTCTGTAGTCCTACATCTGCCCTAGGAGCCACAGACCTGAAACTAGGAGCCACACACCTACAACTGGGAGCTGCACACCTATACCTAGGAGGTACCTACTTCTCTACCTAGCAGCCAGACACCTGTGCTAGGAGAGTCACACCTGCCCTAGGAGCTGCACATCCTGCACCTAGGAGGGGAACTCCTACACCTATAAGCTGCACAACTACCATAGAAGCCACACACTTGCACCTAGGAAGAGACCCTTATCAGTTTTTTTCCTCTCACAGAGGTCCTGCTGTTGTTTCTACTCAGTGCATAGCTTGTGGTGGGGGCAGTGTGAGGGTTTCTGGATCCTAAGCCTCTGGGTATATATGTCTCAGTATTCCTCATGGCAAAAAAATAAAAATAAAAATAAATTATCTCTTCCTCAGGACAGGGCCTACAGAGCAGATAGGGCTCGCACCTCCTACTAGTAGTATCTAAATGCTATCTTGTTTCAGAACAGAATGCTGGCATATACAGATTTCCTGCCTCTCTGCCAGGGACAGATTTTTTTTTTTTTTTTTTTTTTTGTAGAGACAGGGTCTTGCTTTGTTGCCCAGGGTGGTGTTGAACTTGTGGGCTCAAATGATCCTCCTGTCTCAGCCTCCCAAAGTGCTAGGATTACAGACATAAGCCACAATGCCCAACTAAGAGACATTTTTTCCAAGTGTCAGTGCAGTGTCTGGGACAGTCAACTTCTGCCTGGCATCAGTGCAAAGATAGGTTTCCTACTTCACCCCCAGCAATGTCCAGACTTTTTCTGGTGCCAGAGAAGGGTCAAGGGCATGGAATTACTAAAGGGAATTCTTTAAGCTGAAACAACAGGCTGCGAATTAACAACATATGGAAGCACAAAACTCAATGGTATAACTAATAGAGAGTCATATTCAGAATACTATAGAACTGTAATGGACTAGTGTGTAAAGCAATTTCATCTCTAGTACTATGGTTAAAAGACGAAACTTTTAAAATAAAACTAAAATAAATTGTCAAGGATACAAATTATTTTTTTTAAATGTTAATTTTGATGGCAAAAACATAAAATGTATGTTATCACCTATTGGCTGATAAAAGTATAGAGTTATTGTATGCAATCAAAGTTAATTTATTATCAGCTTAAAATAGCCTAAGTACAAGATGTTTTATGCAAGCCTTATGGCAACCACAAAGCAAAAATCTACAGTAGATACACAAAACGTAAGTAGAAAGTATTCAAAGCATACCACTACAGAAAACCATCAAACCACAAAGGAAGACAAAAAGAGAGGAAGAAAGAAACAAAATATATGTAAAAAACTGGAAAGTAAATGGCAAAATGGCAATAGTTAAGTCCTTACCTATCAATAATTACTTTGGATATAAATGGATGAAATTCTCTAATAAAGACATACAGTGGCTGAATGGGTTTTTTTAAAAATACCCACAAGACCCAACTATATGCTGTCTACAAGAGGGTCACTTCATCTTTAAGGAAACACATAGACTTAAAGTGAAGGGATGGAAAAAGATACGTTATGCTAATAGAAATCAAAAGAGAACAAGAGTAGCTATAATTATATCAGACAAAATAGACTTTAAGTCAATAACTGTAAAAAGAGACCAAAAATATAATTATATAATGATAAAAGCGTCCATTTATCAAGAGGCTATAGCAATTACAATTATATCTATACCCAACAGAGCACCTAAACATATAAAGTAAATATTAAAGGATCTGAAGGGAGAAATAGCAACACAATAACAGTCAGGGACTTTAACACTCCACTTTCAACAATAGGCAGATCATCCATGACAGAAAATCAATAAAAAGAATCAAATGTGAATTACATTTTAGACCAAATGGACTGAACATACATACACTGAACCCTCCATCCAACAGCAACAGAATATACATTCTTCTCCAGGATAGATTACATTTTAGGCCAAAAAAACACAAGTCTGAACAAATGTAAGAGGACTGAAATAATATCAAGTATCCTTTAATATCACAATGATATGAAACTAGAAATCAATAACAAGAAAAATCTTGAAAAATTCACAAATACAAGGAAATTAAACAACATGCTCCTGAACAACCAATGGATCAAAGAAGAAATCAAAAGGAAAAATGAAAAATGTCTCAAGACAACAAAAATGGAAATACAACATACCAAAACTTACAGGATGCAGCAAAAGCTATTCTAAGAGGGAAATTTATAATTCCTAATATTAAAAAAAGAAGATCAATGGGGTAGAACTTAATGTAAAATTTTTTTCTATAAAATTCTTAATGATTAAAATAAATAAACACTCCCACAAAGAAGAATGATATCAAATAAACAATCTAATGTTACACCTCAAGGAACTAGAAAAAGAAGAACAAACTAAGCCCAAAGTTGGCAGAAGAAAGAAAATAATAAAGATCAGAGTAGAAATAAATAAGACAGAGACTAGAAAAAAAATAGAAAAAAATCAACAAAACTGAGTCTATTTTTCAAAAAGTTTTTAAAAACTTGACAACTCCTTAGCTAAATGAAGAAAAAAAGAGAGAAGACTCAAACAAATAGAATAAAAAATTAAGGTGGAGACATTACAACTGATACCACAGAAGTACAAAGTATTATAAGAAATTACTATGAATTATTATACATCAAAAAGTTAAATGACCTAGAAAAAATGGATAAATTTCTAGACACACATGACCAACCAAGATTGAATAATCAAGGAATCGAAAATCTTAATAGACTAATAAGTGAGTAAGGAGATTTAATTAGTAATAAAAACTCTTCCATCAAAGAAAATCCCAGGACCTGATGACTTCACTGCTAAATTTTACCAAACATTTAAAGAACTGATAACAATACTTCTCAAACTCTTCCAAAAAATTAAAGGGCAGAGAACACCTCCAAACTCTTTTTATGAGGCCAGCATTACCCTTATACTAAAGCCAAACAAGGACATTACAAGGGGAAAAAATACTATAGGTCAATATCCTGATGAACATGATGCAAAAATCTTCAGCAAAATACTAGCAAATCAGAGTCAACAATATATTAAAAGGATCATTCACCACGATCAAGTGGAATTTATCCCAGGGATGCAAAGATGGTTCAATGTATGCAATCTATGTGATATACCACATTAACAGAATGAAGGGCAAAAACCATACAAGCATCCCATTAGATGTAGAAAAAGCATTTGACAAAATTCATAACTTTTCGTGATGAAAACACTCAACAAACTAGATACAGAAGAAATGTACCTCAACACAATGAAGGCCATATATGATAAACTCACAGCTGACATCATACCCAACAGTGAAAAGTTGAAAGCATTTCCTCTAAGATCTGGAACAAGACAAGGATGCCAACTCTCATCCCTTCTGTTCAACACAGTACTGAAAGGCCTTGCCAGAGAAATTAAGCAACAGAAAGAAATAAAAGACATCCAAATAGGAAAGGAAGTAGTGAAATTGTTGCCGTTTGCTGATGACATAATCTTGTATATAGACAACCCTAAACACTCCACCAAAATATTGTTAGAACTAATAAATGAATACAGTAAGGTTGCAGGTTACAAAATCAACACTCAAAAATCAGCATTGTTTCTATTTACTAATAATAAAATAACAAAATGCGAATCAAGAAAACAATTTAATTACCAGTAGCTACACAAAAAGAACATGCTTAGGAGTAAATTTAACCAAAGAGATGAAAGATCTGTACACTGAAAACTATGAAACATTGATGAAAGAAATTGAAGATGACCCAAATAAATGGAAAGATATGTCATGTTTATGGATTGAAAGAATTAATATTGTGAATCACCATCCTACCCAAAGCAATCTACAGATTCAATGCAATCCCTATTAAAATTCTAATGTCATTTTTCACAGAAATAGAAAAAGCAATCCTAAAATTCATGTGGAACCACAAAAGACTCTAAATAGCCAAAGCAATCTTGAGCAAAAAAGACAAAGCTGGAGGCATCACACCACCTGACTTCAAACTATACTACAAAGCTCTAGTAATCAAAATAGCATGGTACTGGCATAAAAACAGACATTGATCAATAAAACAAAATAGCCCAGAAAAAAAGCCCATGTATTAAGAGTCAACTGATTTTCATCAAAGTTGCCAAGAATACACAATGAGAAAAAAGATAGTCACTTCAATAAAACGTGTTGGAAAAGTGGATATCCACATGCATAAGAATGAAATAGAACCCTTATCATAAACTATATAAAAAATTAACTCAAAATGAATTAAAGACTTAAACATAACATCTTAAATGTAAAACTACTAGAAGAAAACATAGGGAAAAAATTACACAACATTGGTCTAGACTATAATTTTTTAATTTTATCCCAAAAGTTTAGGCAACAAAAGCAAAAATAGACAAATAGAATTACATAAAACAAAAAATTTTGTACTCAGCAAAAAAAAATAAAAAATAAAAAAAACAATAAACAGAGTGAAAAAAACAACCCATGGATTGGGAGAAAATATTTGTAAGCCATACATATGATAAGGAATTAATATCCAAAAATATAAGGAATTCAAACAACTCAATATTAAGAAAACAAGTGACTCAACTAAAAAATGTACAAAGGACCTGAATAGACATTTCTCAAAAGAAGGCACAGAAACAGCCAGCAGATATATGAAAAAAATGCTCAGTATCACTAGCCATTAGGAAAATGCAAATTAAAACCACAATGAGATATCACTTCACACCTGTCAGAACTGCTATTAGCAAAAAGATGAAACATAAATGTTGGTGAGGTTGTGGGGAAAAAGAGAATCTTTGCACCCTGTTGGTAGGAATGTAAATTAGTATAGCCATTTTGGAAAAAAAAAATCTATGGAAACTCCTCAAAACTAAAAATAGAATTACCATAGGATCCAACAATTCCACTTCTGGGTATATATCCAAAGAAAAATGAAATTGATACATTGGAGGGATACCTGCACTTCCATGTTCATTGCAGCACTATTCACAATAGCCAAGACATGGAATTAACCTGTGTCCATCAGTGAATGAATGGATAAAGAAAATCTGGTGAATATACACAATAGAATACTAGTTAGCCTTTAAAAAGAAGAAGATTATGTCATTTGTGACAACGTGGATGAAACTGGACAGTATTCTAAGTGAATTAAGCCAGGTACAGAAAGACAAACATTGTATGTTCTCATATGTGGAATCTAAAACAATTGATCTCATAGAAGCAGAGAGTAGAAGGGTGATTACCAGAGGCTGGGGGTGGGTGGGAGAAATGGGGAGATATTGGTCAAAAGGTACAAAGTTTCAGTTAAGACAGGAGGAATAAGTGATAAGTATTTGAGGTGATGGATATGTTAGTTAGCTTGATTCAGTCACTCCACATTGTACACTGATTTCATAAAACCATTTGCACCCCATAAATACATACAGTTATAATTTACAAATATACAATAAATTTTTTTTAAGTGGAAAGATGTGCAATCCAGGGAAAAGACAGTTACAATAAAAACTGCTGACAAAATATATAAAGAATAACAACTTAATAAGGAAAATTTCAACCTTCAAAAGAAAAAAAAATGAGTCAAGGAAATAAATAGGCAATATACAAAAAAGCAATACTTAGAGTGAGCAAATAATCAAGAAAATTCCAGTTGAGACTGGGCAGGGGCCAGCACAGAGAATCTGATGATACCAAGCAATGGCACAAATATAAGAAAAACAGAACTCGCAGGATTGCTGTGGGAGTCTAACGTGCTACAACCTTTGGAGAGCATCTTGGCCATATTAGTGGTAAACATTCTGTGATCTAGCAATGTCACTAGGCAACACACTCCAACTCAGAGGATCGTGTGCACAAGCAGCCACACGATTGGGAGAAAAACGCACAGCAGAGGTGTTTTTCTGGCATGATTTATAGAAGTAAAATTTCTTAAACAAGTTAATTGCCCAACAATGGGAAAATAAACAAATAAATTATGTACTTTTAAATAATTATTCATTTTAAACAAATGAATATATTCTTTGCTTTTCTGCATTTGAAAATTTTGTTATGAACAAAATGAAACAAAGAAAATTACTGGGGCTCCTAGAATCCACAAACCTGGAAATTTAAACACATGAGTTTATTTGGTAGGCACAGACTGGCTGAAGCTGGCCTTTGGGATCACTGCAAATTCAGAGCAGCATAGGTATCATGCAGGAATCACAGGGCTTGTTGTCCTGCTGCTAACAACGGTGTTCTCCAGGCTGCCTCGCCAGGGCTGCAGAGAAGCCCAAACACCCACCACGCATGGCCATGCACAGCCTCATGCACATGTGTACACACACACACATATACACAGGCACACATAGCCTTATGCACACACACAGTTTCATGCACACAGCCTCATATACATGTGCACATATGCACATGCATATACATGCACAAATGTGTATGCACACAGCCTCATGCACACACATGCATGCACATGCACAAACATGTACATGCACATATGTACCCACAAAGACTCATGCATGAACACACACAAGCACCCTCACATCCACAGCCTTTTGTACAAACACTGCCTGTTCCCTGAGCACCAGCAAGGCACCCTTGGAATACTGCCTTTTTTAGAACTGACATCACCAGAGATGAAGATTTCTGATGGTGATAGGAGGAAGACTTGCCAGTGGCCAATCACCGGTAAGTAATCCCACCAGCTTTAGAGCTCCCCACTCTTAAATGGGAGGACAGCCTCCACGGGAAAGATCAGCAGGCAAAACAGAAAACTAGAGAAAGTAGAGCAATGCAGCAGATAGAAGGGATAGAATAGAACCTGGAAAAGAAACAGAACAAAAACAAAAGCCCTCTTTATTTTAGATATCTTTGTATCCAAAGAAATAAATGGGAAGGGTGTCCAAAAGAGGATAAGCAGGACAGGACTATGTTGGTGAGAAGCATAAAGCCATTAAAACGTTAATTCCCTTTTCCTTTGGTGTTCCAACTGCTGGGAATTTGTTCTAAGAAAATAATACCAAACTGTGAAAAATCCACATGCTTCATAGCTGATAATCATCAGCATTAAGGCTCAATTTAAATGGCAACAATAGAAGGTTGGTGAGGCAAATCATATCTCATTCACTATACAAATTATCATAGTAATTCAAAATGGCAATTTAGAGACCAAGTCACAATTAACGAATATACATCTGATGCAATGACAGAAAATTGCATATGTGCCATTTGCACACATGTGACATGTGTACACCCAGGGACAAAAGCTGGAAAGGTACCTGAGAGACAAACACATGGCAAAATCATATGCAAAGTTTTTTAAATGAGATGGTTGTCACGTTGCTGATTATTCAATAGACTAACCGTTTAAAATCTGAAATACCCTAGCGACTTTTTTTGTGTGAGTTTAGTGATAGGGTCCCCAGATGGAAGTGGCTGCTTCACAAGTTGCTAACTGACCATTGGCTTCTGGGGGACCAGAGTCACATCAACAAACTGTCTAAACCAGGCTATTCCTGGCACATTCCCTCATGAAGCTGAAGCTCCACAGATGGTTTTCCACACTGTGTTATATTTATTAACATTTAGTCCAGACTTAATTGACAATACTAAACGCTGGTTCTTTAAACATTCAGTTTCATTATTTGCAATGGTAATTTCAGTAAACAGTAGCTATTCCAAAGCTCTGTAGTGTGAAATTTAATTTTGTTGGTTAATTGATTGGAAGAATACAGCAACTTCATCCTGCTTAGAGATTGTGGCATTGGTGTGGCACTGAAATTAGGGATCTGTAAAATCACTCACAGTATAGCAAAGTCAAAACAATAGGCTAAATAAACTTATCAACTTTTAGACGTCAGGAAGTACCAAGTTTCTTGGAACAATGATATTACAGAATTAACACACTGCATATTCATTAGAGGATATTCTTGACGTGTGTGCATCTTTTAATAACAAATTCCTCACGCACTGTTTTGGGATCACTATACCCCTAAATTGTGTGCCTGGTCAGTATTTATCTATTAATATTAACACTGCTTTTGACAGAATATGAAGTTGGAGTGCTTTACCCTAGCAATGCTGAAAGGAAGAGCAGTTATTCCAAGAGTTCCCTTCCAGCCCAAATTAGTTACACTGTGTCAATAGTTTCTATTAGCTTTTATAAACCTTCCAGTTACAAATCATAACACAAAATACCCTCAAACATGGGCATTTTAAATGGTGTCTTCAAAAGATAATCGCCACCAACTGTTTGACCTCCACTCATAGGCCAAAAACATTGCCGATTATAATAATGAGATGCTATCTTTTTGACCTATGGAATTAGCAAGGATTAAAAGTGTGGATAATTCCAGTGTTAACACGGGATGAGAAAGCATCTGACACACTCTTCAAGAGGAGTAGAAATTGATCCATGTATGAAAGCAATTTGGTAGCAAGAGACATTGAGAAGGACTCAGGGGACCAAAGGGTGGCCAGAGAAGGACTAGCCCAGGCACACCCGACTGGAGCTTTGCAAGTGCTCATGGACTGACTAGGCTCGTCCACAGCCTCAATGCTGTGGGCAGAGGCCTCTGCCCAGGGCCCTTCTCTCAGGTACGCCATTACCCTTCCTCTCCAGGAAGCTCCCAGAACAAACTCCCTGGCACCTGTCACAACTATTCAGGGCTTTCACAGACCCCCTGCCTAGTAACCACTGAGATCCAAATGTGATTTTTCTGTGGCTTCGGAGAATGATAGTAAGAATTATAGGATGATGCAAAGGTGAACATTCCAAGGTTGGAGACCCCAGAGCTCCCAGGTCAGAGCCAGGAGGCAGCAGAGTGACCAACCCCTGACCACATAGGAGGTAAATGGTAGAGCCAGGGTAAGAGCCCAGGGGTCTCGAGTTTCCACATGCACCCCTCAAAGGTCTGGCCCTACCCCACTCCACTCAGGGGTGCAGTCTCCCAGCTGGGAGGACAGAATCCTAACTTTGATCACTCCCACCTGGCAGACACATTTACACTGACCAACCCTCTTACTGCCTTTGGGAACTTTTCACTTCCCCAACTCTGCTTGATCCCCGTTCCCTCCTCCTCCCTACCCCGCGCTCCCCCTTTAACGTGCCCAGTCGTCTCTGTGCAAATCAGAGTAAAGCTGGGCTCTGGCCCCTGCTGTCAGTAGTTACTGAAGAGAACCTGTTTCATCTCTCTGCCTAATGTCTGTCACTGTTTATCTCTGACAGCAGGAATGTCCATTGTCAGGTAACAGAGCTGGGTTTTCATGGTTTCCTCTTTCTGCCAGAGCTGCCAGAATGGAGAGAGCCCCATTGCAGAGCTTATGCACTGAGCTCTTCCGTGGTGTCTTCTGAAACACGTAGAGTGTGAGTAATCAGTGGACAGACAGGAAAGCAGGAACAACCCCAGCAACGGCAAATGCTGCGGCAGAGACCTCTCCAAATTGACCTGGCAGTTTTCAGAACCTAGGCCATGGTCTGCTCCAAGTAGGAGCTCATAGGGTGTTGCGTTCATTGAGGAGGAGAAAGAATTCAGCACCCAAAGTTAAGAGAAGGAGAGGAAAGAGAAGAACTATGGAAGGAATGGTACAGAATCGAGGGACGATGACTTCCCCAGGAGCACGGCATAAATCTTCCCAATCACCCTGGTGCTCCAACCCACCTGGGAAGCCAGGTGGGCATGGCTCATGTCTGTTTCTCTGGGTCGGATGTCACTCCTCTCAGGAAATCTTGAAAGTGATCCAGGTCCCAGGATCCTTTCATCCTGCCCTTTTTGAACTAAGCAACCCCAAACAGAGCTCAGAGGCCCTGTGCAGCGGGGAAGGCTCTTTGTCTAATTAACTTCCATTAGCACATAAGCCAGACTGGAGTCCCCAAAGACACACAGAACCAAGCAATGGAAGTTGTTTTTCCACCTTTGTGTTTTCAGGGGAGGCTCCTTCAGGAGGCAATTTGAGAGCATTTCAGTTTGAGATTCGTAGTTAAGACTAGAAGTAGGCATAGCACTTACATAAACTTTTATAACTTAAAATGGATTTGTCTGGGAAACTGAAGTTCTGAAGAGCCCTGTCTCAGCTTTCTCAACCCCTGCCTGCTTGAAACACCCACTGGAGACCACCTCTGCCCACCTCACACTTTATCGCTTATGAAAGGTCCACCATTCCTTAGTGACTAAACCCCATGGGAGCAGACATCACTCAGTTTTGCCCACCACTCTCTTTCCAATACCTGAAACACAGCCAGTAAATAGTCACTGAATATGTGAATGATGAATTGAATGAGTGAATGAATAAATAAATTTCTATCTGGAGGACTTTCTCACATCTAGGCAGTTCTGACCATTAAAAAAAATAATAATGTTTCTCTTGTCTGCAATCTCCTCCTTGCAGCATCTGCTTCTCTAGGCCACACCAAGCAAGTTGATTCTCACTTCCTCAGAGATTTGGAAATAGTTGTCTTGCCCTTCCCATCCCCACTCCCACCCCATAGAGGCTTTTCTTCTTCAGGTTAAATATCTACAGCTCTTTCCATGTTTTCCCACGATCCAGTTCAGCATCCTTGTTTTCCCTCTTGGAACTGGTCCCATCTGTCTATACCCTTC
The DNA here is from genome assembly GCF_000001405.40 of Homo sapiens. NCBI lineage: Eukaryota > Metazoa > Chordata > Mammalia > Primates > Hominidae > Homo > Homo sapiens. The sequence continues at coordinate 45,362,442 of NC_000007.14, read as the reverse complement.
TCTGCTCCCTGAAGCTGCTACCCAGAAATGTGTTCCATGCTCCAGCATGCCTGACGCACCAAGCCTGCCCAGATGCTTCACCACTGCCTCATCTCAGTATTGGCCCATGTTGAGTGTGTAGCCATAGACGCTTGCAACTCACTTACCTATTTATTTTACAAAAACAGCCTGTGTTCCATGAAGAAGGCTGTCCTACTAAGGTTCTGCATAAACAGCAGTGAGCAGGGTGCAGCAGAAGCCCAGGCAGGCAGTTCATCCAAGCCTGGGGATGGGGAGGGGCCTGCCCCACGAAAGCCCAAGTGTATCATCCCAACTTCTGATCCCATCATCACATCATCTTTCTTTCTATGGCAGCCATCCTCAAGTTCCTCTGTAACTCTCTTCTGGATCTTGTGAATGAAGAGTCTTTGCTCCCTAAATTCTGTCTTCCCTCACTCTGCCCATGATCAGCGTTCAGCTCAGCCCCCACCACCCCAGGTAGGCCTTGCCCAAATCCGTGGGATGTGAGCTCCACGCCCCACAGTGGCCCTGTGGGTGCTATCACTCCCTGTGTTTCTCGTCATTGGCCCCTTTGATGTACACAAACCTTGTCTCCAGAGACTGTAAGCATTTTATTTATTTATTTATTTTAGCTCCAGGGCCCCCTGTCAAGTAAAAAAAATCCTGCAAATGAGTCCAGTTCATCCACTTGTTCGTTCATTCATTCATTCAATGAATAAGGGCTGTGAGTCTGCTCTGGACCAAGCACATTCCTGATGCTGGTGACACGCAGTGAATAAGCAGGCTGGGCACTGCCCTCATGGAGTGACAAGAAACAGCCTGAAAACCAGGTCAATGTCAGCTCATGGGTGGTAGTAGATGGGGTCTGCTGAGGAAAACCCTGAATACTCTGTCGTAGAACAAGGAAGAGCTGGGCATCTCCTGAGCAGTTAGTGATGGTTTTATAGAAAGTGAATTATGTCCATGATTGCACCTCTTTTCACCTTGGCTACTGGGAAGCTTGGAAATAAGGTAGGTATTTTTAGTCTCGTTCCAGAAACTGCTGGGTTTTGCCTTTATTGCTTTGCCTTCTTTGGCTTCTACTTCTGCTTTTGCTGTCTTACATACAGATTCTAAGTATTTTATATTATCTCATCAGTAGCCTCAGCCATTCTTGGAACATGTCTGGGTCTAAACTCACTTTTACACAGACACATATTTTTACCAGGCATTCATAATTACATGCAGAACCTAATTTTTTAAAATTAACTCTCTTCTCCCCCAAAGAAGCTTTGATTCATTACTCCACTATAGCTTAGTCTACCCACCAATTAAGAGAAAAAGTAATCAAGGATTATAGCTTGCCTGCCTGCCTGTCAAGGAGGGTCTCAAAGCCTAATGAGTACAAGAACTGTAAGGCAGTTTCTCCCTGTGGCAGCAGGGAGGGCGTCTGCAGAGGTGGCTATCAGGTTAAGGATGCCCCTTCCTGGAGGGATGGCCCCAGGTGGTTGTGAGCCGAGGCTCCTGGGCCCCATCTCCAGGGTTAGAGCTTGACACCTCCACTTTCTAGCTGTCCAACTTCAGAGAAGCATCTTAACTGTTTACATGGTGTAGACAGGCCTGTGGTTGACCACCACACTGAGTACCATGCTCGGTGGGCTCTGTCCATGCTGTCGGGTTTGTGCACACACATCATTGCGATCCTCTTCTACAGGCTGCCGTTCAGATCAAGGGAGCACCATAGAAATGACAGTGGCTTCCGCATTGTCACCAGGACCCCTGCATGGCCTCCCCAGAACCACCACCTTTACACACTGAGACGATGGCATAACAGCGAGGACGAGAACAACCGCCCCTCAGAGAAGGATGAAATGTAGGATCTATGTATCTGGGAAATAGTAAATGCTATTATAAATGGTTTCCACATCCTGGGGATTTTCTAAACATTCGTACTGAGCTTCAGAGACAAGCACAAGAATAGTCTGCATCATCTAAATGACCAGTGCTTCCTTCAGCCCCGAAGAAAGTGCATGTTCGTTACATAAATATTGGGATGGGACAAAGCAGGTGACTTCATAGATTTATGAAATGGAGCCAAGAGCATCAAATTAATTTATGAACAGTGACTTCCAGGCATTGGTGCCTCTAATCAAACTCTCACTGCAAGTACATTTCATGTGGAAGACTGAGGCTCAGTGTGTTTTCTCTAAGGTCAAGCAGCAAGGCAGAGTGAGCGTGAATACTGCCTGCAACTTCTTTCCTGTATCTGGTGGGGCAGTCCCCTCAGCTTCTGATTCATTTGCTTTGACCAGCTAAGCCCCTGTCTCTCTGCAGATAAATAAAACTTAGAACATAAATGATTGGACCAATTATGGGCAGGGCACCAGCCCAGAGAATGCTTTCGTGGGCAGCTGCTCACGCCCTGCTCTGAGCCACAGTGAGCAGCCTCCACTTGCCATGCTTACACATTCTGGTGGTGATGGAGCCTGTGCCCTCTAAATGAGAGCAGCTGCTCCTCTGGCCACAGGGGAACTCTCTGCGTAACACTTCCTTGGAAAATTGATTCATTTTCAAATGCCGGCATGGGACTCTTCCTGAGGGCAGTGCCTGTAATTAGTCTGAGAAAGCAAACAGCTCTTTGGTCAGGGGGAAGTTTTTGAGTGACAGCTAGCTGTCACCCTGCAGTCCCAGCAACTAACTTTCCTCAGGCACTCATGTCCTGCCAATCACCCAAGCCAGGACCCTCCCAGGCCGCCCTGTCCTTGGCTCTGCATCTGTTGCCTCTGGTACCTGTTTTCATTCACAGACACCCCCCCACCACATCTGCAACCACTCCACCTGTTCTAGACCCTCTTCCTTCTCTCCTGAAAAATAGCATGCTGCTTAATCATATGTGTCAACTTGGCTAGGCCATGGTGCCCAGTTTGGTCCAACACTAGTCTAAATGTTGCTGCAAAGGTATTTTTTGGATGAGATTAACATTTAAATCAGTAGACTTTGAGTAAAGCTGATGACTCTGCATAATATGGTGGGCCTCATCCAATCAACTGAACACCTCCTCCCTTTGCTTGTCGACACCTCCCATTCCAACAATGAGAAAACTGCTCCCATCACCCACAGCCATTCATTTCATTGTTCATTTCCAGTGTATATGTTCAGTTATGTCAGACTTGTTAAACTGTGCCCTGATGAGAAGCAACTTTACTAACCAGGGCACAGTGCTTATGCACAGTTCCTACTGCCTTTTAGTCTTACAGACTCTATTAATTTCCAAAGTTACTTGGGCAACTTTTTAATCCTACCCTCTACAGTGAGGTTGTTTCATACATTTGTAACGGCTGGGTTCTGCTGTCACATTCAGCATTCCATGCTGGGATACCTGACTTTTTCAACGACATTTTAAAATGTGCATACATTAAAGCTCACTATGGGTTTTGACAAATGCATATGGCATCATATAAAATAGTTACACTGCCCTAAAAAATCCTCTGTGCTTCACCTATCTGATCTTTCTATTCCTACCGAAAGTTCTGGCAGCCAGTGATCTGTCCATCATCTCTCTCTCTCTCTCTCTTTTTTTTTTTTTTTTTTTTGCCTTTTCCAGATTGTTGTACAATTGGAATCATACAGTACATAGCCTTTTCAGATTGGCTTCTTTAATTTAGCAATATTCATTTAAGATCCATTTAAGTCTTTGCATAGTTTGCTAGTCCACTTTTTATTCACTAAATAGTATTCCATTGTATGGATATATCACGGTTTGTTCACACTATTGAAGGACATCTTGGTTGCTTTTAGGTTTTGAAGATTATGAATAAAGCTGTATAAACATTTGCATACAGGCTTTTTGTGGACATAAGTTTTCAAATTCATTGGGAAAATACCTAGGAGTATGATTGATGGATCACATGATGAGTCTATGTTTAGCTTTATAAGAAACTGCCAAACTGTCTTTCAAAGTGGCTGGACCATTTTGCGTGCTCGCCAGCAGTGGTTGTGTTCCTGTTCCACATCACTGTCAGCATTTAGTACTGTCAGGACTTTGGGTTTTTGCCATCCAAATAGGTTTGTACTGTCATTGTGATTTTAATTTGCATCTGCCTAATGACAAATGATGTTACGTATCTTTACATATGCTTATTTTCCATATGTGTATCATCTTTGGAGTGAAGTCTGCTCAGATCTTTTGCCTAATTTTTAATTAGGTGTTTCTCATTGTTGAATTTTAAGAATTCTTTGCATATTTTGAACACAAGTCCTTCATCAGATATGTGACTTACAAATATTTTCTCCAAGATTATATTTTGTCTTTTAATTCTCTTAACAGTGTATTTTACCAGGAAAATACTTTAATAAAGTTCAGATCTATTTTTTTCATTGATCTTGTTTCGGTGTTGTATCTAAAAACTCATCACAAAGTCCAAGGTCATGTAAATTTCTTCCTACATTTTCTTCTTATCATTTGCATTTTACCTTTATGTTACACTTTGAGTTAATTTTTGCAAAAGGAGAAAAACCTGTAGCAAGGATTTTTTTTTTTTTTGCATATGGACTTCCAATTTATCCAGCAAAATTTGTTTAAAAGCCTATTCCTTCTCCATTAAATTGCTTTTGCATCTTTGCCAAAGACGATTGACTATATTTGTGTAGATCCATATTTACTCTATTTTGTTACATTGCACTGTATTCTTTTGCCAAACCCACTGTCTTCCCTAATGTAGTTTTATAGTAAGTTTACTATAGGGAAATGTGGGTTCTCCAACTTTTTTCTTCTTCAGTATATTGTATTGAATATGCTATGTCCTTTGCCTTTCCATATCAGCTTTAGAATCAATTTGTCAATATCTGTTAATATCTACAACATATGCTCTAGAGTTTTTAATGAGAGCATATTAAATCTATAAGTTGAATTGGGAAGAAATGACATCTCAGCAACATGGTGTCCTTCAACCCAATGACACAGAATATCTCTCCATTTATTTACATCTTTGTTTATTTCTTTCATTAGCGTTTTGTACATTTCCACATATTTATCCAGTATATATTTTGTTAGATTTATACCTAAGTATTTCCTTTTCTGATGCTGTTGTAAATGATATTTTTAAATTTCAAATTCCAGTTGTTCATTGCTGATATATAGGAAAGCAATTGACTTTTATATATTGACCTTATAGTCTGAGACCTTACTATAACTGCTTATTAGTTCCAGAAGAGTTTTTGGTCAATTCTTTGGAACTTTCTCCACAGACAATCATGTTTCCTGTGAATAAATACATGTTTTTTGTTTTTTGTTTTTTCCAATCTTGGTACCTTTTATTTCTTTTTATTTTCTCATTGCACCAGCTAGAACTTCTAGTAAGATATTGAATAGCAGTGGTGGAGGGGATATTGCCTTTTTCTCAGTCTTAAGAGGAAAGCATTCATTTTCTCACCATTAAACATAAATGTTTGCTACAGTATTTTTCTAGATGTTATTTATCAAGCTGAGGAAGTCCCCCTCTATTCCTAGGTTCCTGAGTGTTTTTATCATGAATAGGTTTTGAATTTTGTCAAATGCTTTTTCTAAAACAATGTATATTATATTATAAAAAAAGTACCAATTCTACACAATCACCAGAAAACAGAAGCAGAGAGAACACTTTCTAACACATTCTATGAGGCCAATATTTATATGATAATATAACTCTTCTTCTTTAGCCTGTCGATGTAGAAATATATATCTGTAGTTTTCTCTTCTTTTACAATCTTTGTGTGGTTTTAGTATTAAGGTAATATTGGCCTCATAGAATGAGTTAGGAAGTATTCTCTCTGCTTCTATTTTTTGGTGATTGTGTAGAATTGGTACTTTTTTTCCCTTAAATCTGAGGTAGAATTCACCAGTGAAACCATCTGGGTCTGGTACTTTTTTTACTCCGAAGGTTATTTGTAATCAATTCAATGACTTTAAAAGAAACAGGTCTACTTGAGTTACTTATTTCTACTTGTAGAATTTTTTTAGTTTATATCTCTCAAGGCATTAGTCATTTCATCTGTTATTAAATTTGTTGGCATAGATTTGTTTGTAATATTCCTTCATTATATTTTCAAGTCCAAGGGATCAGTAGCAATGATCCCTCTTTAATTTCTGAGTTTAGTAATTTGTTACATTTCTCTTATTTCTTGGTTAGCCTGGCTAGAGATTTATCTATTTTATTGATCTTTCCAAAGAACAACTTTTGAATTTGTTGATTTCTCTTTATTGCTTTCTTATTTTTAGTTTCACCTATTTGTGCTATAATTGTGTTATTCCTTTTCTTCTACTTGTTTATGCATAACATTTTCTTCTTTCTCTAGTTTTTGAAGGTTAAAACTTAGATTATTGATTTTAGATCTTCTTTTCTAATATATGCATTTAGTGTTATAAATTTCTCTTCAACAACTGTTGTTGCTGCATTCCACAAATTTTATAAGTTGTATTTTCATTTGTATTTAACTAAGAATATTTTTCATTTATTTTGAGACCTCTCCTTTGACCCATCTCTTCACTAGACACATGTTAAACAAATATTTCCAAATATTTAGGAATTTTCCAGCTGTCTTTCTGTTACTGATTTCTAGTTTAATTCCACTGTGGTCTGAGAACATACTTTATTTAATATCTAATTTTTTTAATTTATTACAGTGTGTTTTGTGGCCTACCATATGGTCTATCTTGGTGAAGGTTCCATGTGAACTGAAAGAAATATTGCTATTGTTGGATTCAGTGTTCTGTAAATGTCAATTCGATAAATTTGATTGATAGTTCATGCCAACTATATCCTTCCTGTTTTTCTGAGTGCTTGATATATCAAAGAGGTGTTGAAGTTTCCAACTATGATAATGAATTTTTGCCTCTTTTCTCTTAATTCTATCCATTTTTGCCTCATAAATTTTGAAACTTTGTTAGGCTCATACATGTTTAGGATCATATGTCTCCATGGAGAATTGATCTCCTTTAACATTATGTAATTCCCTCCTTTATCCCTGATAATCTTCTTTATCCTGAAATCTATTTTGTCTTGTTAATATAGCTGCTCCAGCATTCTTTTGATTAGTTTTAGCATGGCATAGCTTCTCCATTCCTTTTCTTTTAACCTATCTCAGTCTTTACGTTTAAAGTAGATTTCTTGTAGAAAGCATAAAGTAGAAAGCATAAAGTCTTGAGCACTTTTTCCCACTTTTATTTTAGATTCAGTGGGTACTAATCACTTTTATTTTAGATTTAGGTTTGTTACTTCAGGTTTTTTTAAATCCAGTTTGCCAATCTCTGTCCTTTAATTAGTGTGTTTAGATACACCACTGACTTTTAAAGTGATTATTGATATAGCTGGATTAATATCTACCATGTTTGTAACTGTTTTCTATTTGCATTTCTTGAGCATTTTATATTACTGAATTTCATCTCTTCTCTTAGCATATCAACTGCAGTTTTTTTAAAAAAAATTGATTACTTTAGAGTTTGCAATGCACATTTTAAACTAATCTAAGACCAGTTTCAAATAACTCTACACCACTTCACACGTAGTACAGGTACTTTGTAATAGATTATTTCCAATTCCTCCCTCCTATCCCTTATGGAATTGCTATCATTCATTTCCCTTACCTATATGCTACAATCACCCAATACATTATTATCATTATTGAGTTAAACATAATTATCTCCACGTAAATTAAGAATAAGAAAACTAAAATATTTTTCTTCAGTTATGCCCTCTCCAACATCCTTTTCCTTATACGTCCAAGTTTCTGACCTACATCACTTTCCTACTGCCTTAAAAATTCTTAACATTTCTTGCAGGACAGGCCTGCTGGAGATGAATTCCCTCAGTTTTCATTTGTGAGAAAATGTTTCTATTTTTCTTCCACATTTGAAAGATAATTTCCTTGAATATAAATTCTGGGTTAGGGTTTTGTTTTGTTTTTTTCTGTCAACACTTTAAGGGAAGTACACTGTAATTTTTGTACTCATTCTTTTCTAGGAATGGGTGTTTTTCTTCTGACTGGTTTACTTCAAGATTTTCTCTTTGTCTTAGTTTTCTGTAGTTTGAATATGGTGTGTGTGGATGTATGTAGGTGTCTGTTATACTTATCCTGCTTGGCGCTCTTTGAATTTCCTATGTATGTGGTTTGGGGTCTGCAATTAACTTTTTTAACAAAAAAGTTCTCCTGTTATTACTTTAAGCATTTCTTCTGCTCTGTATCTCTTCCTCTCCTACTAGTATTCCAATTACGTGTATGCTACACTATTTGCAATTTCTCCACAGGATGTTCTGTTTTGGTTTTGCTTTATTTTGTTTTATTTCTTCATAATTTTTCCTCTTTGTGTTTTTAGAGTTTCTACTGACCTGTCTGTAAGCTCACTTATTATTTTCTTGGCTGTTCGCAGTCTATTGATGAACCCACCAAGGGCATTCTTCATTTATGGTGTTTTTAATTTCCATTTTCTCATTATCTTATTCCCCTTAGAATTTCTATCTCTCTGCTTACATTGTCCATCTCTTCTTGCATGTTGTCTGCTTTTTCCATTAGAGCCCATAACATATTAATAATAGTTATTTTAAATTCTCTGTTTTATAATTCCACCATGTGTTCCATATCTGAGTCTGGTTATGGTGATTGCTTTTTCTCTTCAGACTGCATTTTTGTCTTGCCTTTTGGCATGTCTTGCAATTTTGCATTGAAAGCTAGACATTTCGTATTAGGAATAGGAATTGGTAAATAGGCTCTTAGTGTAAAGATTTATGTTAATCTAGCTAGGAGCTGGACTGTGTTTAATGCTTGATATATCTACAGATGCCAGAGGATAAACCCATCTAGTGACATTATTTGTGTCTTCCCTCGTAACCTTGGGCTTCTCTATATGCTCTTCCTCAGAAAGAGTCTGTGTCTTACATCTCTTTCAGCCATAATTCTCTCTGACTTTACTGAAGGTCTGTTGGTGTGGTAGTAAGGTATAAGGAGAGAAAGCATTCTATAACCATAATTAAGTCTCAGCCAGTTAATAGGCCTGTGTGTCTCTTAGAGGTGACTTTCACAAATGCTTCTCCAGTGGTAGAGAATTTCCCCCTTCCTCCTCTTCCCTCCCCTGACTGCAGCATTCCCAACCTATTTCCTTAAAGTATTGAATTCTGATGACTATGTGTTCCCAATTGCTTAGACATGAAGGCTAGAAGAGGCTGGCATGAGAGAAAGGAAGCCCTTCCTCCAAGGGATCTTTCTCAGATTTTCACCATGAGAAGCTGGTGGGGTTCCTGGAAGTAGAACTCATGGAAGTGGGGAATTGCCAAAAGACTCAGGCTTCCAGGAATTTTTCATTCTCATGCTGGTCTATACTCAGCCTCCAGCAATTTATCAAAATTATCTTTTATGTGTTACCATCAGCTTAGGGCACCAGCTTCTTCTGCTACAGGTAACAGATCTCAACTCTCACCCCAAGATTTACCTGTCTCTCCAGATTTCAGGTGGCAATTTGTACTGCAGCCTCAATTCTCCAATGGATCCAAAGAGAAGTCATCAGCTTTCAGCTTGTCCAGGTTTGTCTTGTTGAAAGTATAGGAATGATGGCATCCAAGCTTTTCACATGTTGGAGTTGAAATACGAAGTTTCCCACAGTTTTCTTAGGTTGCATTTCCCTTTTGACTATAGATGTTGAACAGTTTTACACAAATTATCTACCATTTGTTTATCTTCTTTGATGAATTATGTATTCTGCCTTTTGCTTCTTTTTAAAATTGGTTTGTCTTCTTGTTATTAATTTGAGTGATGTTTCTATGTACAGTTGTGAACTGCATAATGACACTTCAGACAAAGCTGGACTGCATGCATATATAAGGGTAGTCTCATAAGATTATAATATTACATATTTGCCATACTTTTTCTCTGTTTAGATAGGTTTAGATATACAAATACTTACCATTGTGTTACAATTGCCTACAGTATTCAGTACAGTAACATGCTGTATAGGTTAGTAGCATAGAAGCAAGAGGCTATACCATATAGCCTAGGTGTGTAGTAGGATATACCATCTAGGTTTGTGTAAGTACACTCTATGAGGTTTACACAACAATAAATTCACCTAACAATGCATTTCTTAGAATGAATCCCCATCATTAAGCAACACATGACTATATATGTTTTGTAAACTTTTTTTTTTTTTTTTTTTTTGAGACGGAGTCTCGCTCTGTCGCCCAGGCTGGAGTGCAGTGGCGCGATCTCGGCTCACTGCAAGCTCCGCCTCCCGGGTTCACGCCATTCTCCTGCCTCAGCCTCCCGAGTAGCTGGGACTACAGGCGCCCGCTACCACGCCCGGCTAATTTTTTGTATTTTTAGTAGAGACGGGGTTTCACCGTGTTAGCCAGGATGGTCTCGATCTCCTGACCTCGTGATCCGCCCGCCTCGGCCTCCCAAAGTGCTGGGATTACAGGCGTGAGCCACCGCGCCCGGCCATGTTTTGTAAACATTTTATCCCAAATTATTACTTATCTTTCCCTTTTCTTAACAATGCCTTTTACTATGCAAAGCTTTTCAAAATGATGAAATCTAGTTTATCAAAAAAAGTCTTTTTAATTTAGTTATTTTTGTTTCTGAGATAAGAAATCTTTGTCTACCATCTACCACAAGGCTATAAAGATTTTCCTTCTATTTTTTATAAAATTTTTACAGCGTTAGCACTTTTGTTTAGGTCTAACATCCATTCGCAGTAAATTATTTTATATGGTATGAGGTAAGGTCAACATTCATATTTTTTCACATGAGTCTAAACATCATCTGTAAAATCAAGTGATTCCCCATTTTTTGTTCTCTCTGCAAGGATGTAGTAAAGACCATAAGCAATGTATGCATAACATGCTGTAGGCTGACAATAGTGGTAGCTGCTGTTTTTATTTGTCATTTGCTTCCTAGTGGGGAGCTTCTGTAAGAATCCCCTGATATTGGGGCGGGGGTGCCACAGCTTCAGAGCATGGAGATGTAGTGCTGAATCCCTGCTCTTCCCATAACTAGCAGTGTGACCTCAGAGAGGACATTTTACCTCTCAGTATCAGATTCCTAATCTGGAGAAAAGAAAATGATCTAAATAATTTATCTCTAAGGACTTCTGTTCCCAGGAAGATAGAATACTTTTCCCTATTCTGCCACTACATACAGCTAAAAGCCCTGGAGATGTATACATCCTAGGAAGATCCTAAAAGGTGGAAAGAAAAAACTATATTAGCTAGGAATCTTGGGACCCAAGGAATGACACAGCGGTGAGTTCTGCGTTTTATTTTTGCTTCTTCTATCTCAGAATAAGCATTGGAGATGACTCCAACTTGGAAACACTAATGAGGACACAAACATCCCAAGAAAGGCCTGCTGTCTCTAGCCAAGGGACTGGAAAAGGAACAGCCAGAAAGACAGAGAACTGCGGGGGAGAAAAATCTGTTCTGCTCCAGTCAATACCATAAAAAAAACTTGGGCCCAACACATACCTCAGTATCAACAAAGGCTGAATGGGCAGTTCAGACTTCCACCCTCACCAGGCTGTAATGAGGAGCCACAAGGACCCTCCCCAACGAATGGGTAAATACTTAGTTGTAAATCCAACAAAATGAACACAATTTCATGCTGAAAACTATAAAATGCTGATGAAAGAACTCAGGCAAGATCTAAATAAATGTAGATGTATACTTTGTTTTTGAATTGGAATACCAAGCATAGTAAATATGTCAATTCTCCCCAAATCTCTATCCTATTGCAAGACTTGTTATATAGCTATAGCAATCAAGACTGGGTGATACTGGGAGAGGAATAGAAATATAAATCAGTGCCATAGCATAGATCCAGAAATAGAGCCACAAAAGTACTGCCAACTAATGTTTTACGAAGGTACAAAGAAGAATTCAATGGAGAAAGGACAGTCATTTCAACAAATGGTGGTGCAGGATTGGACATTCATGGGGGAAAAAGTAAAAATCAACTAAGTCTCACACATTATGCAAAAACTAACTTAAAATAGATAATATATTTAAATAAAAAAATACGCTACAAAACTTTTATAGGAAAATATAGGGAAAATGTTTCAGCCTACAACTATATAACTTTTATAGGAAAATACAGGGAAAATATTTGGGCCTAGGATTGGGTAGAGCATTCTAAGACATAACAGTAAAAATACAATCCATAAAAGAAAAAATTGATTATTTGGATTCCTTCAAAATTAAAAACTTTTGCTGCATTAAAAAAAAAAAACCCTGTTGACAGAATGGAAAGACAAGCTATAAACTGAGAGAAAACACTTGCAAACCACATATTTGACAAAACACTCACATTTAGAATATATAAAGAAATCTCAAAATTCGACAGTAAAAAACAAACAATCTAATTATTAAATGGGCAAAAGACATGAAGAGACATTTTACCAAAAAGGGCATTTCTCAGCCAGTCTCAAAAAGTTACATGTTGTATGATTCCATGTATATAAATGATAAAATTATTGAGATGGAGAACAGATTCATGGTTACCAGGAATTGGGAGTAGTGGAAGAAGGGGGAGGGCATACAACTGTAAGGGAGTGGTGGGAGCTATTTGTGGTGATGGAACGGTTCTGAATCTTGATTGTAGTGATGTTTACATGAATCTACATGTGCAATAAAATGACATAGAACCACACACACATCGTACCGATGTCAATTTCCTAGTGTTGATATTGTACTATAATTCTGTTTTTCTTTAAGAGACAGTGTCTTGCTCTGTCGTCCAGGCTGGATTGCAGTGGTACAATCATAGGTCACTGTAATGACAAACACTTCTCACCTAAGCCTCCTGAGTAGATGGGACCACAGGTGCACACCACCACATCCTGCTGAACTCCAGGCTCTTACCTCCAACTTCCGACAGCTTCCTACTTGCATCTCTAGTTGGATGTCTTATAGGCAGGTCCACATCAACAGGCCAAATTATCCTCCTTCAAACCTCCTCCTCCACAGGTTCCCATTCCAATAAATGAGACTCTACCCAACACTCTGCATAATGTCAGGGAGGATCCTGACTCCTCTCCCTTGCGTACCCAGCATCCTTTCCATCAGCAGACCCACCTGCTCCACCTCAGAGCCTCTCCTGAGCTCATCTTTCCCACCTCAGCCATTGCCACCACCCTGGGCGGTTCAGCATCTGGACAGTGGCAGCTGCCTCCTGATCAGGAAGATAAACCATGTGAAGCAAGAGGGACCCCTGACCCATCCTCCTGGTGATCCTCCAGCCCTCCTCCAGCCCAGGCTCTTCTGCCCAGGTTCAACACACACACAGCAAAGTGTGTAAAGAGTGCTAATCTTCAGTGAGAAGCTTGCCACGCCGTGCTGCCCCCTCTCAAGTCTACAGTGGCCTCACCTCAGCCTCACAGCGGCCAGTCTAGCAACAGTGGCCCAGCCACCCCGCAGTCTCATGCTACCCACCTCCAGTGGGCTCTCGATGCTCTGCCTCCTGGCTCTTCCTAAGGACTCAAGCACATGGCTGCCTTGTGGCCGCTCACTCTGCACTTGCACTCACTCCCACTCCCTGGAATTCTTTTCCCCAGGTTGTCTCCCAACTTTTCCTTAACCTCGCTTTGGTCTCTGCTCACATCTCCTCTTCAGAGGGGTGCTGCCATTCCCTGACCACCCCTCTTATTGCCTGTCTTGCTTATGCCCTAATCATGGCCTTTACTGTCACTACTTAGCACTGTTTCAACGTTTGTGTGAATCTGTCCCCTGAGCATGCATTAACTCCCACCCTCTAGAATGATGCTCTCTGCAGATGTGCTGCGGCCGTGCTCCACTCAGTTATTCCCAACACCTGGAACCACTCTGGCACACAACAGGTGTTCCTCAATGTCAGTTGAATAAATATTCAACAAACTAATGAATTTACTTGAACGTGTAAAACCACAAAATGTAGTTCTGAACTTCGTGAGCAATAAGGCCATGCACAAAGCCCCTGTTCCAAGCAATTAAGGAATCTCACTGGGCAATCATCGTAAACAGCTCCCCTCCAGGCCCTGGAAAAAGTCCTATGCTTAGATCTGACAGCCCTGGTTCCGCTTCCAGGAGGAAGCCCTTTTCTACGGCCCACTCAGACTCCAGGGTTGACCTCTGGGGATCCCTTGGTGTTATTTATCTTTATCACCTCAAGGTGAGGGGGCCCAGTGACAATGACCTGGTCCAGCACTGCCCAGATTTTGTAGCCAGAACATGGAGATGCAGATTGAGGCAACAGGTAGCTTTAGAGGCAGCTGACATTGCACTTGTGGGGGTCAGGCTTATTGTTTTCTTGTCAGCCTCAGGCCTCAAACCTAGTTGGTTTCTAGTTTATTTGCTTCTAGTCAGTTTCCTGTGCTAGGAACGCAATTGAAGAACTACCCAGACAGAATTTTTAAACCTGGAAACACTTATCTTGAGCTTATTATCTCTGGGAGTGAGTCATCCCTCTCCTTCAGTTTAGTGGCTGTCCCCTCAGGCAATCTGAAGCACCAGGCTCAAAGGGAAGGCAGCACAACAGCCTGATCTTTGTCTCTGATCTCTGGATCAGAGCCTTGGCCTGAGACAGGACTGGGGCCCTGGGGCTTTCGCAGACCACTCCCACCAAGGGCTCTGGACCAGAACTACATTTTGTGGATTTACTTGTTCAAGTCAATTCATTAATTCGTTGATTTTCTGTGTTAGTTTTGCCGTCCATATTGACCCTAAGTCTGTATTTCTGTGCCTCAACTGAAAAATCTTTCCTCCTGTTTCAAACACATAGAAATGATAGAAAAAATATAAGCATGTAACGTTAACATGGAATTTGGGTGGGCGAAACCAGAGAATAAAGGCGGGGCTATCCCTTAACTTCATACTTTATGTTGCTTACGCATGCTAAAAATTAAGGGGGCCACTAAAAGAACAGAATCAGGAAGAAAATTCCAAACAAACAGAAGGGGGAAAATGAATAAAATAAGTGTGATTAATCCAATGGTGTCAGGAGGGAGGAATAAAGAAATAAGGAAAGAGACTACCAAAAATAATATGGTAAACTAAGTCCAAAAATATGAGTACTCACAACAGTGTAAATGCATTAAGCTTGCCTATTAGAAAGCAGAGACCATCTAACTGAATTAAACAAATAAAATTCAGTGCTTTCTATGTCCCTGTCATCTCAGCACTGGCTTCTGTTGGTCATTTTTTGCTGTGTGTGTCGAGATTGTTCTGGCTCTTTGTATGAGAGTCATATTGAATCGTAAACTATATGTTTTGAATTCTATCTTATGTAACTCTACGTTTTATTTAAATTCTATGGAGAACGTTAATTTTTTGTTTTAGCAGGCAATCTACTTAGTTAGGCTTGGGCATCAGTTACAACTGTTCTGTTGGCTGCAGGCCTGGGGGACGTTCAGTCTCAAAGCCCCAGCAGCGCCATTTATCTGTTCCGCGTCTGTTCCACTGGCCCAGTGGTTTGTCTTAGATGTGGACACCAGTCTGATAGTGCAGTTGTCACAATTTGGGTACGCTGACTAGGATCAGATCCATGCACGTGCAGCATAGGGATGGGCTCAGAAGTTCATAGGCAACATGATGGGTCACTCCCTGAGCTTCTCCCTCGCTGCCATCTTGCCAGCACTTTTCAGTTCCCTGAGGTCCTCATTCCTGCTGTCAGAAATCTGTGGTCTTCGTTGCGCTGCTCTGCTGGGTACCTTCATGACTGTGCCCTCATCTGAGCCCAAGCAACAGGAGGGGAAAGAGGAAAAAACAATGGGGTCCTTCTCATCCTCCTCAGACCACATCATCACTGTTTTGAGAGAAAGAGTCCTTTCCCTCAAAACTACAACCATGATGCTCTTTTTTCTTTCTTTTTTTTTTTTTTTTTTTTTTTGGCAGGAGTAGATGTAAGGGTTATTGACATAGGCAAAGGGCAAATGAGATGTCACATTTCCAAGAACAGATGGTACATGGCACAATGGATGGAGATGATGGGTAGAGCAAAGTGGTAGGCACACGTTAGTCTGATACAGCAGACAAGGGTGGTGAGAACACTAGGACACCATGGTGTTTGGTGAAAAACCTGGTGTGTCAACATCACAACCAAAGATGCATTTTTAAAAATATGTAATAGGTATGAACATTTTTAACTTGCCACTCCCTATGCATGGAGGAGGCAGATGCACCATGAGTAGATTTTTTTTAAGTGTTGTATATCTTCAAGTGCAGAGATTTCGGTGTATGAGGGTCTCACCCAGGGCACCCCATGTGCCCGTTTCCACTGCTCTAAAATGGAATAAGGTGGTGTCTAACTCTCAAGATTGCTGTGAAGATTAAATGAGTGAACTCTGGCAGAGCACCCAGAACAGGGCCAAGCACATCTCAGGTACTCAGGAGGCATCACCTTAAACATCTCAACACAGGTGGAGAAAATCAATCTATTTATACGTTTGGATGTCCTGTCATGAAACTGTTCTGCACACTATTCCTGAAGATGCTCTTCTTGAATACAGCAGAGTCAATGTGAAGAAGATCCTGACCAGTGATTTTCCCTGAGGCATCAGACAAGGCGGCTTGTCATGAAAATTCTCTGACTCTATTGTTGAGGGGCAAGAAAACGCAGAAAGGAGCCTAGGATTAAAGAAAACAGAAAACCTATAGAGAAACAAAAGCAGATGATAACAATTTTAAAAAAAAAGAAAGAAATACAGGATTTTTTTTAAGATAATAAACTGCTCTTCTTTCCATGAATTAGAGAACCTCACAGCATTTTCAGGAAACCATACTAAAATCAAATAACTGGGAGAAAGATGACAGCCGTTTTTAAAAAGAGGTTGTCGATGTCATCTTGTCACCCTTCAGCATGGCAGGCACTTATTTTCAGAGTGCTGAGCATCTGTTTTGAGTTTTAATTTTCTAATTAAAAAGAAAAAAGACATATATTGCCATCATGCTGAATATTCAAATTTGAAATAAAATGTGCACAAAATTAATATGTTAAAAAATCAATGTGCTTTTCTGTTCTGACTTTTCTGTCATTTATTTTCATACTTTAAAAATTCATATAAAAACGGAACAAAAATCCTCTAATTTTAAACACCCCCATTTTTTATCAATAGAATTGAGCAAATCTAGAATTACTTAATAACTTAAAAGAAATTGAAGGAATTAAAAATTAGCTAGCTAAATCACTCTTCGTTTTTCTAATTTTTGAACACAAAATACTTTAAAGAGATAGTACCCAAAGTTATTAAGTGGTAAAATAGTAACATCCCCTCAAAGGGATCAGAGTAAATATACTTTTATCCAAATGTTAAATTGTTCCAATATGCCCTGGCTGAGTTTTTAATCAAGAAAACATTTCCTCACACATGCCACAATACAAAGAGCAGACTATAAATATTCATAAAGAGAAAGCACTTATTAATTTGGGTCCCTTTTAAACCTCTTTAAGTTTATACTACCTTAATTCCCACCAATAAAAATCATCCTGAGGGATACATCATTTTCATTTATAAAACAAGAGTATAAAACTCCTCTGTAGCCAGGAAATCATTGGAGGTTGCAAAAAGTCATTTGATTTTAATTTATTAAGTAAAAATAGTAAGTTAAAAGAGCAAATATATGATAAAATTTGTTTTTATATACAAATACGTATATTTTTCCCTTTATTAAGTGAAACATGGAATATTAACATTGAATAATAGGTATGAATGATTTGATTAATTTAAGAAACTTTTTTAATTTTTGGAGATATTTTACTAAGATAAAGGGAAATTTTTTAATCAACTTTTTACAATTGAGTAGTGTTAGATTTACAAAAAATTGTGATGATAATACAGAGAATTCTCATATACCCTATAACCCAGTTTCCACTATTATATATTTATAATATTTGTATTATGTGTAACATAGTATGTATTATATTCCACATTTTATATTACTATGGTTCAACTAGTTAATCAATATTGACATGTTATTATGAACTGAAGTCCACGCTTTCTTTTGGACTTCCTTAGTTTTTATCCACTATCCTTTTTCTATACTTGGATCTCATTCAGGATCCCGTATTACATTTAGTTGTCAGGTGGCTTTAGGCTCCTCCTGGCTGTCACAGTTTCTTGGACTTTTCCTTGTTTCATGTGACCTTGAACGTTTTGAGAAGTATTGGTCAGGTATTTTGTAGAATTTCCCTAAGTTGGGGTTTGTCCGATGTTTTTCTCAGGATTACGCTGGCATTATAGGTTTTTTGAGGAAGACCACAGAGATAAAGTGGCATTCTTATCACGTCATATCAAAGGCACATGCTATCTACGTGACTTATTATTTACGACGTTGACCTTGGTCACCTGGCTGAGGCTGCGTTCAGATTTCTCCGCTGTCAAGTTCCTCTTTTCTCCCCCTTTTCCATAATGTGCTCTTTGGAAGGAAGTCACTAGGCACAGCACACACTTAAGGAGCGGGGATTCATGCTCCACTTCTGAGTCCAGACCAGCTGCATAAATTATTTGGAATTCTTCCAAATGAGAGATTTGTTTCTTTTCCCCGTATATTTATTTATTCAGTCATTTGTTTATGTCAGGATGAACTCAGATACTTATCTTATACTTTGGGTTATAATCCAGTATCATTTTATTTTGTTACTAAAATTGTCCCAGCTTTGGTCATAGGGAGCTCTTTCTTGTGGCAATTTTATCCATTTGGCATCATTACATCTTTTTCAAACGCTTCCTATTCAACCCTTCCCACTCATGAAACCTTGGTAACTGCTGCTAGAAGTCTCTATTCTTTTACCATCTCTATATTTTCTGCCTCTTCCAGAATGTCATAAAAATCAAATCAGAAAACATATAGCCTGTTCATGCTGGATTCTATCACGTAATATTCATTCAAGATGCATGCTGATCTTTGCATGGTTTGGTAGCTTGTTTGTTTTTATTGTTGAATAGTACGAAGTAGTCTGATTGTACCACAGTTCGTGTACCCGTTTACCTGCTGAAGGACATCGTGGTTGCTTCCAGTTTGGGGAAATTATGAATAACGCTGCTATAAATATTTGTGTGCAAAGTTTTTTGTGGGTATTCTTTTTCAAACCAGTTGAAAAAAGACTTAGAAGCACTGTTGCTGGATCATATGGTAAGACCATGGTTGGCATTATCAGAAACTTCAAAATTGTCTTCCAAAGTAGCTATACCATTCTGTGTTTCCACCAGCATTAAGAGTTTCTGTTGTTCTACTTTCTTACCAGAAATTGATATAATCAGGTTTTTTAAATGGTAGCCATTCTAATAAGTTTTTAGTCATATATCTAATGACAAATGATATGAAAACCTTTCCATATGCTTATTGACCATATACACATAGTTTTTAGTCAGTGTCTGTTCAGATCATTTGCCCATTTTTTAGTTGAGTGTCTTATTTTTGTGTTACTGAGTTTTAAGAATTCTTGGTATATTATGGATACAAGTCCTTTATCAGGAAGGCAATTTGAAATTTTTTCTCCCAGTCTGTTGCTTGTCCTTCATTTTCTTAACAATGTGGCTTATATTTTCATTCTCTTAACAATGTCTTTCACCGAGCAAAAGTTTTCTATTTTAAGAAAGCTCAATTATTAAAATTTTCCCCCAGGAATTGTGCTTATGGCATTATGTTTATAAAATTACCACCAAACTTCAGGTCATGCAGATTTTCTTATATGTTTTATTCTAGAATTTTTATGATTTTGTGTTTTACATTTAGATTTTTGGTCTCTTTTGAGTTCATTTTTGTGTAAGGTGTAAGGTCTGTGTCTTGGCTCTCTTTTGTGGGGAGTGGGCACATGGATGCTCAATTGTTCCAGCACCACCTGTTGAAAAGATGATCCTGTCTTCATTGAATTGCCTTTCTGCCTTTGTGAAAAAATCACTTCACTAGATTTGTATCACACTACAGACAACTTAAAATGGCTGGACTTAGGATTTATTTACTTTATGATGACGTGAAAGCTATACACGTTCAGTAGAAACCATACTTTCAGTTTCGAATTTTGATCTTTTCCTGGGCTAGCAATACACTGTGCCACACTCTCTTGTGATGCTGGGCAGCGACAGCAAACAACAGCTCCCAGTCAGCCATGCAGTCATGAGGGTAAACAAGTGACACTCTGCAGAGTCCTGTGTTTTTGAGTACTGATCATCAGAGTACTGATGATTTTGCCCTACTGTGGGCTAAAGTAAGTGTTCTGAACACGTTTATGGTAAACTAGGCTAGGCTAACCTATGATGTTGAATAAGTTAGGTGTATTCAATACATTTTCAACTTACAATATTTTCAACTTATGATGGGTTTATCAGGAAGTAACCCCATTGCAAGTCTGTATTGCTGTTCTCTATTCTCTTTCATTGATCAATGTGTCTATTTTTCCTCCAATACCAAATAGTATTGATTACTGTTACTTTATAATAAGTCTTAAAATTGAGTAAGATGAATATCTTCCAACTTTATTCTTCTTATTTACAATTACGGTGGAATTCTAGGTCTCTCGCCTCTCCACATAAATTTTAGAATCAGTTATTTGATATGTACAA
Source organism: Homo sapiens (assembly GCF_000001405.40). Classification (NCBI taxonomy): domain Eukaryota; kingdom Metazoa; phylum Chordata; class Mammalia; order Primates; family Hominidae; genus Homo; species Homo sapiens. The sequence continues at coordinate 45,341,912 of NC_000007.14, read as the reverse complement.
AAAAGGTTGCTGGGATTTTTAATGGGACTGTGTTGAATAGATAAATTGAACTTAAGGTTATCTATTTATCCTTGAGTGAATTTTGGTAGTTTGTGTCTTTCAAGAAATTGCTTTATGTCGTTTAGTTACCAAATACACGGGGACTGAGTTGTTCATCGTATTCCTTTATTACCCTTTTAAGACCCACAGGATCAGTAGTGCTGATACATATCGTTTTCATTCCTTATATTGACAACTTGTGTCTTCCCTCATTTTTTCTTGGTTAGCTTAGCTAGAGATTTGTCAATTTTATTGATCTTTGCAAAAAGCCAACTTTTGATTTTATTTATTGTTTTCCTGTTCTCAATTTTGTTTATTTATGGTCTAATAATTATAATTTCCTTTCTCCTGCTTGCTTTAGGTCTAATTTGCTCTTCTTACTCTAGTTTCCTAAGGTGGAAGTTTAGATTATTGATTTTGGATCTTTTTCATTTCCAATATATGCAGCTTAATGCTATAGATTTATACCAGTCACTTTAGTTGCACCCCACAAAATTCAAATTTCATTGAATTTTCCAGAAATCTCTTCCCCAAAAGAGATTCAGAAACATTTGCCAACTCATTTATAAGGGCAGCACTACGCTAATACCAAATGCCAAAACTAGATAAAAATATTACAAAAAAAATACATTTTAATTTATTTTGAGACTTCTGTTTTGACCCATGGGTTTTAAAGGTGTGTTGTCGAACTACCAAATATTTGGACATTTTTCAACTAGTTTTCTGTTATTCTAGTTCAGTTTGTCTGCAATCTGAAAATATACTTTGTATGATATCTATCCCTTGAAATATGTTAAGGTGTGTTTTATTGCCCAGAGTGGGATCTGTCTTGGTGAATGTTCCATGTGAGCTTGAGGAGAATATGTATTCTGCTGTTGTTGGATGAAGTCGTCTATAGATGTCAATTAGAACCAGTTGATCAATGATGCTGTTATGTTCCACAATGCCCGCACTGATTTTCTGTGTGCTTGCTATATCACCTACTGGTATAGAGATATTGAGGTCTCCAACTAAAATATGATTTCTCCTTTCAGTTCTATCACCTTTGTCTTATGTATTTTGATGCTGTGTTGTTAGGTGCATAAACATTTAGGTCTTCTTGGAGAATTGTCTTCCTGTTTGTGTAATGTCACTCTTTATCCCTGATGATATTCCTGTTCTGTAGTCTGCTTTGTCTGAAATTAATATAGGTAATCGAGCTTTCTTTTGATTACTTTTAGGATAGCATACCTATCTGAGTCTTAATATTCCAATTCAATAAAATCTGTCTTTTAACTGCTGTATTTACACCATTCACATTTCAAGTATTTTTTGGTATAGTTGGGCTAAAATATACAATCTTTATAATGGCTTTTTTCTCGTTTCTTTTTTTGTTTGTTTCTCTTCTTCTTCCCTTTTTTCTATCTTTTCTTGCTTCAATTGAATATTTTATATTATTCCACTTTATCTCTTCTTTGGCATATCATTTAAACTTCCATTTAAAACTTTTTAGTGGTTGCTGCAGGTGTTACGATGTGCATTTTTAAATAATTTACTTCCACCTCCAGTAACTTTACACCACATCTGGGATCTTTCTTCCATCTTTTGTGATACTGTGCTCATTCATTTCTCTTATCTATATGCTATGACCTTCCATTAGATTTTTCCTATTATTAATTTAAACGAAGTTATTTTATGTCCATTAAAAATAAGAAAACTAAAATATTTTATTTTACCTTTATTTATTCCTTTTCTGATGTTCTTCCTTTTTGGTATGGACCGAAGTTTCTGGCATATTATTTCTCTTTGGCCCAAAGTTCTTTTAACATTTCTTATAGGATAAGTCTACTGACATTGAGTCCTTCCAGGTCCAAGAAGGATATTTCTCATATCTTCACAATGAGAATCTGGTGAGGTTACTGAGCTAAAGCCCATGTACATGTGGATATCTCCATCTGTCTTAGACCCTTAGGGCTCCTTACTCACCAACTCTGTATTCAGCCTCCCAACTCTATGAAAATGACCATTTAAATGTTGCCACCAGATTATACATTTTGGGAGCTTCTGTTCCAAGTAAGCAATCTTTGATCTTGTATTTCTCTGGATGTACCTGTCTGTCTGGATTTTAAGGTGGTAGTTTATCCTGTTAACTCAGTTATATGATGGGTTCAAGAAAAGTCACAGATTTCAGTTTGTCCAACTTTTTCTTGTTGTAATTGTGGGAATGCTTATTTTCAAGCTCTGGTAATTATCTGTATTTAACTTTTTTTGTTTGTTTGTTTATTGTTCATTAATGGTGACTTATGTCTTTCAGAACTGAAAAACATTTTTTTGCATTATATCATTAATCATTTTTCACTCAACATAATGTTTTTGAGATTCATCTATGCTTTTGCATCTATCATTAATTTATTGCTTTTATGGATGAGTATTATTCCATTGTAATAAATGTGCCACAATTTGTTTATATACTCACCTGTTAATGGATGTGTGGTTGTTTCAGGTTTGGGCTATTAAAAATAAAACTGCTAAGAATATTTTTGTGCAAGGATTTGTATGATCATACAGTTTCATTGTGCCTTGGTAAAAACCTTAGAGTGAAATGGCAAGGTCATATGGTAGTTGTATGTTTAACTTTTTATGCAACTGGTAAACTGCTCCCCAGAGTGGTTGCAATATTTTACATTGATGTGGCAATGCATGAGAGTCCCAGTTTTTTCACATACTCATCATTAACTGGTATGTTCAGTCCTTTAACTACAGACATTCTAATAGGTGTTTACTGGTGTCTCATTTGGTTTTAATTTGCATTTCTTGAATGCATCTTTTCATGAGCTTATTTGACATTTACATATCTTTTTTTTTTTTTTTTTACTTTTTTTTTTTTTTTACTTTAAGTTCCGGGATACATGTGCTGAACGTGCAGGTTTGTTACATAGGCATACATGTGCCATGGTGGTTTGCTGCACCTATCAACCTGTCATCTAGGTTTTAAGCCCTGCATGCATTAGGTATTTGTCCTAATGCTCTCCCTCCCCTTGCCCCCCCGCCGCCCACAGCCCCCGGTGTGTGATGTTCCCCTCCCTGTGTCCACGTGTTCTCATTGTTCAACTCCCACTTATGAGTGAGAATATGCGGTGTTTGGTTTTCTGTTCCTGTGTTAGTTTGCTGAGCATGATGGTTTCCAGCTTCATCCATGTCCCTGCAAAGGACATGAATACATTCTTTTTTATGGCTGCAGAGTATTCCATGGTGTATATGTGCCATATTTTCCTTATCCAGTCTATCATTGATGGACATTTGGGTTGGTTCCAAGTCTTTGCTATTGTAAATAGTGCTGCAATAAACATATGTGTGCATATATCTTTATAGTAGAATGCTTTATAATCCTTTGGGTATATACCCAGTAATGGGATTTCTGGGTCAAATGATATTTCTGGTTCTAGACCCTTGAGGAATTGCCACACTGTCTTCCATAATGGTTGAACTAATTTACACTCCCACCAACAGTGTAAAAACATTCCTATTTCTCCACATCCTCGCCAGCATCTGTTGTTTCCAGACTTTTTAATGATTGCCATTCTAACTGGCATGAGATGATATCTCATTGTGGTTTTGATTTGTATTTCTCTAATGATCAACGATGATGAGCTTTTTATCAAATGTTTGTTGGCTGCGTAAATGTCTTCTTTTGAGAAGTGTCTCTTCATATCCTTTGCCCACTTTTTGATGGAGTTGTTTTTTTCTTGTAAATTTGTTTAAGTTCCTGGTAGTTTCTGGACATTAAACCTGTATCAGATGGATAGATTGAAAAAATTTTCTCCCATTCTGTAGGTTGCCTGTTCACTCTGATGACAGTTTCTTTTGCTGAGCAGAAGCTCTTTCGTTTAATTAGATCCTATTTGTCAATTTTGGCTTTTGTTGCAATGGCTTTTGGTGTTTTAGTCATGAAGTCTTTGCCCATGCGTATGTCCTGAATGGCATTGTCTAGGTCTTCTACTAGAGTTTTTTTGGTTTTAGGTTTTACATTTAAGTCTTTAATTCATCTTGAGTTGATTTTTGTATAATGTGTAAGGAAGGGGTCCAGTTTCTGTTTTCTGCATATGGTTACCCAGTTTTTCCAGCACCATTTATTAAATAGGGAATCCTTTCCCCATTGCCTGTTTTTGTCAGGTTTGTCAAAGATCAGATGGTTGTAGATGTATGGTGTTGTTCCTGAGGCCTCTGTTCTGTTCCATTGGTCTATATGTTTGTTTTGGTACCAGTACCATGCTGTTTCCTTGCAGTGTAGTTTGAAGTCAGGTAGCGTGATGCCTCCAGCTTTGTTTTTTTTTCTTTTTTTGCTTAGGATTGTCTTGACTATACGGGCTCTTTTTTGGTTCCATATGAAATTTAAAGTAGTTATTTCTAGTTCTGTGAAGAAAGTCAATGGTAGCTTGATGGGAATAATATTGAATCTATAAATTACTTTGGGCAGTATGGCCATTTTCACGACATTGATTCTTCCTATCCATGAGCATGGAATGTTTTTCCATTTGTTTGTGTCCTCTCTTATTTCCTTGAGCAGTGGTTTGTAGTTCTTCTTGAAGAGGTCCTTCACATCCCTTGTAAGTTTTATTCCTAGGTATTTTATTTTCTTTGTAGCAATTATGAATGGGAGTTCACTCATGGTTTGGCTCTCTGCTTGTCTATTATTGGTGTATATGAATGCTTGTGATTTTTGCACATTGATTTTGTAACCTGAGACTTTGCTGAAGTTCTTTATCAGCTTAAGGAGTTTTTGGGGTGAGATGATGGGGTTTTCTAAATATACAATCATGTCATCTGCCAAGACAGGCAATTTGACTTCCTCTCTGCCTATTTGAATACGCTTTATTTCTTTCTCTTGCCTGATTGCTGTGGCCAGAACTTCCAATACTATGTTGAATAGGAGTGGTGAGAGAGCGCATCCTTGTCTTCTGCCAGTTTTCAAAGGGAACGCTTCCAGCTTTTGCACATTCAGTATGATATTGACTATTGATTTGTCATAAATAGCTTTTATTATTTTGAGATATGTTCCATCAATACCTAGTTTATTGAGAGTTTTTAGCATGAAGGGGTGTTGAATTTTATCGAAGGCCTTTTCTGCGTCTATTGAGATAATCCTGTGGTTTTTGTCGTTGGTTCTGTTTATGTGATGGGATGGTTCTGTTTCTGTTACGTTTATTGATTTGCATATGTTGAACCAGCCTTGCATCCCAGGGATGAAACCAGCTTGAAAGTGGTGGATAAGCTTTTTGATGTGCTGCAGAATTCAATTTGCCAGTATTTTATTGAGGATTTTTGCATGGATGTTCATCAAGGATATTGGCCTGAAATTTTCTTTTTTTATTGTGTCTCTACCAGGTTTTGGAATCAGGATAATGCTGGCCTCATAAAATGAGTTAGGGAGGAGTCCCTGTTTTTCTATTTTTTGGAATAGCTTCAGAAGGAATGGTACCAGCTCCTCTTTGTACCTCTGGTAGAATTCAGCTGCAAATCTGTCTGGTCCTGAGCGTTTTTTGGTTGGCAGGCTATTAATTACTGCCTCAGTTTCAGAACTTGCTATTGGCCTATTCAGGGATTCGACTTCTTCCTGGTTTAGTCTTGGGAGGGTGTGTATGTGTCCAGGAATTTATCCATTTCTTCCAGATTTTTTAGTTTATTTGCATAGAGGTGTTTATAGTATTCTCTGATGGTAGTTTGTATTTCTGTGGGATCAGTGGTGATATCCCCCTTTATCATTTTTTATTGTGTCAATTTGATTCTTCTCTTTTTTCTTCTGTATTAGCCTGGCTAGCAGTCTATCTATTTTGTTAATCTTTTCAAAAAACCAGCTCCTGGATTCACTGATTTTGTTTAAGGGTTTTTCATGTCTCTCTCTCTTTCAGTTCTGCTCTGATCTTAGTTATTTCTTGTTTTTTGCTAGCTTTTGAATTTGTTTCCTCTTGCTTCTCTAATTATTTTAATTGTGATGTTAGGGTGTTGATTTTAGATCTTTCCCATTTTCTGATGTGGGTATTTAGTGCTATAAATTTCCCTCTAAACACTGCTTTAGCAGTGCCCCAGAGATTCTGGTACGTTGTCTCTTTGTTCTCATTGGTTTCAAAGAACTTCATTATTTCCGCCTTAATTTCATTATTTACCCCTTGGTCATTCAAGAGCAGGCTGTTCAGTGTCCATGTAGTTGTGCAGTTTTGAGTGAGTTTCTTAATCCTGAGTTCTAATTTGATTGCACTGTGGTCTGAGAGGCTGTTTGTTATGATTTCCATTCTTTTGCATTTGCTGAGGAGTGTTTTACTTCCAATTATGTGGTCGATTTTAGAATAAGTGCTATGTGGTGCTGAGAAGAATGTATATTCTGTTGATTTGGGGTGCAGAGTTCTGTAGATATCTATTAGGTCAGCTTGATCCAGAGCTGAGTTCAAGTCCTAAATATCCTTGTTAATTTTCTGTCTCGTTGATCTGTCTAATGTTGACAGTGGGGTGTTCTAAGTCTCTTTGTAGGTCTCTAAGAACTTGTTTTATGAATCCGGGTCCTCCTGTATTGGGTGCATATACATTTAGGATAGTTAGCTCTTCTTGTTGCATTGATCCCTTTACCATTATGTAATGCCCCTTTTTTGTCTTTTTTGATCTTTGTTGGTTTAAAGTCTGTTTTATCAGAGGCTAGCATTGCAACACCTGATTTTTTGTTTGCTTTTCATTTGCTTGGCAAATATTCCTCCATCCCTTTATTTTGAGCCTGTGTGTGTCTTTGTACATGAGATGGGTCTCCTGAATATAGCACACCAATGGATTTTTGACTCTTTATCCAACTTGCCAGTCTGTGTCTTTTAATTGGGGTATTTAGCCCATTTACATTTAAGGTTAATATTGTTATGTGTGAATTTGATCCTGTCATCATGATGCTAGCTGGTTATTTTGCACATTAGTTGATGCAGTTGCTTCATAGTGTCGTTGCTCTTTATATTTTGGTGTGTTTTTGTAGTGGCTGGTACTGGTTTTTCCTTTCCATATTTAGTACTTCCTTCAGGAGCTCTTGTAAGGCAGCCTTGGTGGTGACAAAATCCCTCAGTATTTGCTTGTCTGTAAAGGATTTTATTTCTCCTTCACTTATGAAACTTAGTTTGGCTGGATTTAAAATTCTGGGTTGAAAATTCTTTTCTTTAAGAATGTCAAATATTGGCCCCCTTGTCTTCTGGCTTATAGAGTTTCTGCAGAGAAATCTGCTGTTAGTCTGATGGGCTTCCTTTTGTAGGTAACCTGACCATTCTCTTTGGCTGCCCTTAATATTTTTTCTTTCATTTCAACCTTGGAGAATTTGACAATTATGTGTCTTGGGGTTGCTCTTCTCGAGGAGTATCTTAGTGGTGTTCTCTGTATTTCCTGAATTTGAATGTTGGCCTGTCTTGCTAGGTTGGGGACATTCTCCTGGATAATATCCTGAAGTATGTTTTCCAATTTGGTTCCATTCTTCCTGTCACTTTCAGGGACGCCAATCAAACATAGGTTTGGTCTTTTCACATAGTCCCATATTTCTTGGAGGCTTTGTTCATTCCTTTTCTATCTTTTTTTCTCTAATCTTGTCTTCTCACCTTATTTCAGTAAGTTGATCTTTAATCTCTGATATCCTTTCTTTCACTTAATCGATTTGGCTATTGATACTTGTGTATGCTTCACAAAGTTCTTGTGCTATGTTTTTCAGCTCCATCAGGTCATTTATGTTCTTCTCTAAACTGGTTATTCTAGTTAGCAGTTCCTGTAACCTTTTTTCAAGGTTCTTAGCTTCCTCACACTGGGTTAGAACATGCTCCTTTAGCTCAGAGGAGTTCGTTATTACCCACCTACTGGAGCCTACTTCTGTCAATTCGTCAAGCTCATTCTCCATCCAGTTTTGTGCCCTTGCTGAAGAAGAGTTGCAATCATTTGGAGGAGAAGAGGCATTCTGTTTTTTGGAATTTTTAGCATTTTTATGCTGATTTTTTCTCATCTTCATGGATTTATCTACCTTTGATCTTTGAGGCTGATGACCTTTAAATGGGGTTTCTGTGTGGGGGTTCTTTTTGTTGATATTGATGTTATTGCTTTCTGTTTGTTAGTTTTACTTCTATCAGTCAATCCTCTTTTCTGCAGGTCTGCTGCGGTTTGCTGGAGGTCCACTCCAGATCCTATTTGCCTAGGTATCACCAGCAGAGCCTGCAGAACAGCAAAGATTGCTGCTTGCTCCTTCCTCTGGAAGCTTCATCCCAGAGGGGCACTGACCTGATGCCAGCTGGAGCTCTCTTGTATGAGGTGTCTGTCAGCTGCTGTAGGGAAGTCTCTTCCAGTCAGGAGGTATGGGGGTCAGGGACCCACTTGTGGAGGCAGTCTGTCCCTTGGCAGAGCTTGAGCACTGTGCTAGTAGAACCCTCCTTGTCAGGATCCACTGCTCTCTTCAGAGCTGGCAGGCAGGAACATGTGAGTCTGCTGAAACTGTGCCCACAACCTCCCCTTCCCTCAGGTTTTCTTCCCAGTGATATGGGAGTGTTATCTATAAGCCCCTGACTGGAGCTGCTGCCTTTCTTTCAGATATACCCTGCCCAGTGAGGAGGGATCTATAAAGTCATTCTGGCCACAGCCACTTTGTCACGCTATGTTGAGTTCCACTCAGTCAGAACTTCCAGGCCTTTTTAGCTCTGTCAGGGGAAAACTGCCTACTCAGGCCTCAATAATCATGGACGCCCCTCCCCGCACCAAGCTCAATCATCCCAGGTCGGCTTCAGACTTCTGTGCTGGCAGCAAGAATTTCAAGCCAGTGGTTCCTAACTTGCTGGGCTCTGTGGGAGTGGGCCCCACTGAGTGAGACCACTTGAATCCGTGGCTTCAGCCCCCTTTCCAGGGGAGTGAACGGCTCTGTCTCGCTGGAGTTCCAGGCATCACTGGGGTACGAAAAAAAACTCCAGCAGCTAGCTCAGTGTCTGCCTGAACAGCCGCCCAGCTTTGTGCTTGAAACCCAGGCCCCAGATGGTGTAGGCACATGAGGGAATCTCCTGGTCGGCTGATTGGAAAAACCATGGGAAAAGCGTAGTATCTGGGCTGGATAGCACAGTCCCTCACAGCTTCCCTCAGCTAGAAAAGGGAGGCTCCCTACTCCTTGCACTTCTTGGGTGAGGCAACACCCCACCCTGCTTCTGCTTGCCCTCCATGGGCTGCATCCACTGCCTAATCAGTCCAATGAGATGAACAGTGTACCTCCGTTGGAAATGCAGAAATCACCTGAATTCTGTGTTGGTCTTATTGGGAGCTGCAGACCAGAGCTGTTCCTATTTGGCCATCTTTAATGTCTCCCTGTATTTAACTTTTTAAGAGCTTGCAAAACTGTTTTCTAGAATAGCTCTTCCATTTTGCTCTGATCAACCCTATGTGAGTTCTAATTGTTTCACATCCTTGCCAACACTTGACTTTGTCAGCATTATTTTAGCCATCCCAATGAGTTTATAGTTATATTTTACTGAGCTTTTAAATTCTATTTCCCTGATGGCTAATAATGAGCATATTTATTGGGTTTATTGGCCATTTGTATATCTTCTTTGGTAATTTCCCTTTTCATGTCTTATCCTCATATTTTATTTGTTTTGCCTTATTGATTTATATATCGTTTGTACAATTTTTTTTGTCAGATATATGAATATTTTCTCCCCTTCTGTGACTTCCCTTTTTGTTTTCTTAATGGTGTCTTTTGATAACTAGAAGCTTTAAATTTTGATAAACTTATATTTATCCACAACATAATTATCATTACTACACACCTATTAAAATAGCTAAGATTAAAAAGACTGGCCACACCAAGTGTTGGTAAGGATGTGGAGGAAGTAGAGCTCTCATACATTGCTGGAGACAACATGAAATGGTTCAACCAACTTGGGAAACAATTTGTTGGTTTTTAAGAAGCTAAACATAAAACCAACATATGATCTAACCATTACACTTCTGGTATTTACCCAAAAGAAAAGAAAGCAAATGTCCATTAAAATACTTATTCACAAATATTTATAAAAGCATTCTTTACAATAGCTAAGACTGGAAACCACACAAATGTCCATCAACAGGCAAATGGATAAACACATTATGGTATATCAATTCAACAAAATAATCAGCAATAAAAAGGAGTGAAGTATTGATACACATAACAACCTAGATTAAATCTCAAAATAATTATGATGAGTAAAGGTAGCCAAACAACAAAAAGTACATATTGTATGATTTTATTTACATACGACTCTACTCTATAGTGAAAGAATGTAATTAATAATTGCCTAGAAATGGCAAGGAAGGCCAGGAGGGAGATATTACATGGGGCATGAGAATACTTCTGGGGCAATGGGTATGTTCTCCATCATAATTATGGTGACATTTCATGGGTGCATACATATGTCAAAACTTATCAAATTTGCCTTTGAAATATGTATAATTTGTTGAATATCAATCATCAGAGACAGAATGAAGGTGAAGCAAGAGAGTCTCCTATGGTCCAAAATTCAAGAAGGTGCTCAGACCCAGACTTGAAAATGACTCCTCAAGTTTTCAATTTATTCCCTAGGAGTCTTTCTTGCCTCACCCTAGTCATGACCCTGTTGGTTGTGCCTCAGTAAAGCTGATAAAAGTCCACAGAAAAACTAGGAGAAACCAAAAGGCCCATCAACAGATTAATGGGTAAGCAAAATGGTATATTTATATAATGGAATACTACTCAGTGATGAAAAGGAATGAGCTATTACAGTATGCAACAACATGAATAAATCTCAAAGCATTATGTTTAGTGAAAGAAGTCAGAATAAAAGAGCACATAGTGTATGTTTCTATTTATATAAAATTCTAGAAAAATGCAAAATGATTTATGTTGATAAAAAGCAGATCAGTGATTATCTGTGGCCAAGGGCAGATAGAAAGGTGCATTTAAAGATCACTGGAAAATGTTCTGTATCTTGACTATGGTGTGGGTTTTTTTGGCATGTACATCTGTCAAACCTATCCAATTGTATGCTTCAAGTGGATAATTTATTTTATATGTTATAATAAAGTTGATAATTAAATCAAATAATGTAATCCACATGTTTCACAGAATAGAGGAGGAAATTATATAATTATCTGAGTACATCCCCCCACAAAATCTGTATAAAATTCAACACCTGAATTCACGGTCAATATACAAAAATGAATCATCTTTCTGTATGTCAAAAAGAAAACTGAGAAATGAAATTCACAAAAATAAACCATGTGCAGTAGCATCAAATCACATAAAATAAATATAAATACATTTAATGTAATATTTACATGACTGCTATACTGAAAACTATAAAATATGGCTGAGAAAATTCAACAAAGACTAATTAAATTGAGATATATGTCCACTTTGGAAGAGAAACATAACTGGAGAAGACTTATATAACTAGATTTAAAGACTTGCTACAAAGCTCCAGTAATCAAAGCACTGTGGTATTGGCACAAGCATAACCAGACCAAGTAAATGGACTAGCATCCAGAAGTATATTCATACACAATTGGTAACATAATTTTCCACAAAGGCACCAAAAGAATTTAACTGGGAAAGGCGAGTCTTTTCAATAAATGACGCTCAGTGTCTGAATATTCATATGAAAACAGAAACCTACTACCTCATACTATACAAATATTAATTTGAGATGTATCATAGACCCAAATGTGGAAGCTAAAATCATGAAGCTCCTAGAAGAATACACAAGAATATCTTCATGACCTTCAGGCAGGCAAAGATTTCTTATTCAGGACTGGAAACTCACTAATCATATATTATCTATATGAACTTCCATGGGTTTTTCTCCTATATTCATGCCTAAATTTGTGGAATCCTCAGCACATAAAGACTCGAGGACCAAAGCCAAGTCTTTAATCTTATCCTGAAGCAGACATGACACAGGTTGAAAGATGCCAAAGTCAGCACAAAGTTGGTCTTAAATAGAATAATTTTCTGAGACTTCTAAAAAAAGTTCCTCAGCAGTGCATCTTACTTGACAGCTCCCTTTGCAGAGAAAAATCTCTGTGGAAACCCAGAGAAGAAGGAGTGATCCTTTGTCAGAAAGCTGAGCTGTGGCTAAGGCCAGGGAAGCATGGAGGGAAGTTGGAAATCCCCCTCATTGCGCGGTTTATGACTCTGGAGATCTGATCAATGGAAGGAGGTCTTAATGGTGGACAGAGTCGCACCAAGGTCTACAAAAAGTTATGTGGTTGTCCTTTAACATCCAAGGTGGATTTTCTTGAAAGGCCAGCAGAAGGACAGAAAACTATCCAGTTTCTCCGAGTCCCATCACTGGTCATCCTTATAGAAGACTTTCTTTATTTGCCTAGGATGGGGCTTTCAAGTAAGTCGTTTACTTGTGCTCTGTGGTCTCGTTTTTCCAGAGCATATTATGGTACCAAGGCAGGTTCTTGCTGGTCTTACGGTTCTGGTAAATTTCCATTTCTTGGGTTTGTAAGTGCAGCTTTCATTTCCCCAGGAGCATTCCCCACCCCCAGAACCTGGCAGATGTTAGGAATAATCTCAGCACCCATACCCAGAGAGGCCTGAGGCTGCCTCAGAATCCTTTCCCCAACACCTTTGTGAGTGGAGAGGGTGCATCAGTTGTTTACCTCCCTGTCCTGCTCTGGAACAGCTCTGCTCTAGATTTGGGATTATTCCTTCCTTCTCCTTCCTCCTATGGTCTTTCTTTGGATGAACAGATAAGACAAATATTTAGCTTATGTTGAATAAATGGGGCACTTTCCAGTGTTGTGAAGTGTCTGCAACTAGCAGGAGTCCTCCTTCCTGACCTTCTTATTCTTGAAAATGAATGTGAGAGTTAAAGCCAATCTAATATCCCTATTTACAGTCATTCCTATATGAACACCTCTATTTCCCATGGTGACTAATTTTCCAGAACTCTAGGAATTTAAGATGTAGCATTAATTGTTTTAAGTGGCATGAATTCTTCACTCTCTCTCCCTCCAGAATTAGTCAAGCATATAATGTAGTCTGACACAAAATAAGGCTGTGGTGAAATTTCTCCAAGACTCCCGTCTCAGGAATCCCATTAATAGAGATTTGAATAAGCTGACTTGGGTCCCCATTGGCTTTTTGGCATATTTCACTCACCTCTGCAAGTTAGTGTCAAGTCTCCTTAGAGAATTCTCAGGATACTTGGGATGGAAACAATAGCCATGATGGGTTGGGGATGTGCTTGGGGATCACTTTCCGTTCTTTACCAGGAAGACTTTCTGAGGCAACCATTCAAAAATAGCACCCACAGACTTCCTGTGGAGTACCCAGAATGCAGTCTCAAGCCTGCACCTGGGCACACAACCAAACAGCAGTGAGGAGCCTGCCAGCTGGTGGTTTGGCCTCGCAGTGAGGCAGACTGTGATCAGGGCCACAGCCAGGCAAGCTCAGGGGTCTTGCGGCTATTTCGTGGCCAAGACATCAGTGAAACTTTCCTTGACAGCAACAGCTCAGCCAAGTAGGAATTTGTCAAGAGATTGTTCTGGGTCCAGATGTGATTGATGCTGAAGAGTTCAGAAATGAAAGTGCATTAACCCAGTCCAAGGCAGTTGAAGTCATGGTTTGAAATCTATTGGGGTTAATAGCAATTATAGAATTAGCCATTTGTTTGCCAATCTACTCAAATTTCTGTTCAAATGCACCCACAGCCAATGAAATACAAGCTCCCAAATAAACTCTAAGGTCCCACATTGTCGCAACTACGAGGTTGTATATAAGGATTGGAGAATTCAAATGTAGAAAGTCTGAGGGGCTTGGTGTGAGATCCCAGGGAAAGAGCTTGGGGGATCTTCTTTCTCCAGTTTAGATTCACAAGGCCCCTGAGGAGGGTCTTCTCTGTGTCACCACACTGAGGGAGGCCGAAGACCATCCTAATTCAAGAATCCTTATCTCTACTTTGAGAATAAGTAGCAAAGGCCAAAAGGACATCAATGTCTAAGGTCACTCAACTCAGAAGAGCAAACTAATATTCACTCCCACTCACTCTGGTCAATTCCTCTGTCCTAGCTTGTCTCTAGCCAACCCACACTAGCCTCACATATCAGCTCCCAGCTTCCTCACAAAGCACCTGCCCTTATCACCATAAGATGACTTTCAGATAACTTTGAGAACACATTGCCCTACTCATATAATTGTCTGGACTAAATCTTCACCAAGTATGTATGGCCATGGGTAGCTTCTAGCTGACTGATTCTTATTCTCTGCTGTCCACCAAGTAATCTGGGGTGGAGAAAGTTATGGCCTTTTTTGAGACTCAGTTTTCCCAACTGTCAAATGGAAATAATGTTACCTATATTTCAGATTGCCATGAAGGTCAAATGGAATTATGGGCACTGTGTTGCACTGCACAGGTTGTAGATAAGGGAGCCGGCTAAGGAATATGTGAGGCTCCTGCAATATGTGAGGCTCCATCACATAGGGGCTTTAATACCCTAATCCTCTACCACTATCAATCCTGCAGTAGCGGCAGCATCCCCCTTGTCATCTATGTCTAGAGTCTGAAAGGGGCATTTGTCATTTGTATAACTCAAATGACAGCCAACCTGTGGACAAAACAAATCAGCCAATTTTCTGCCTAAGTCCAAGATGCTGCTGCCTTTCAATCCTATAATGGGCAGGTCACCCTCAACTTCCCAGAAGGCAAGGGAAGAGAGTTGGAATGAAGTTGGCTGTTGGCCACACACCAACTGGGCAATGACTCAAAGGCAATGCTTTAGTTATCTTTAAGTTTAACATAATTTTCTCTGTCTACTCCCTGGTCATATCCCCATAGTCATGATGTTGGAATAAAAATAGCAAAATACCTTCAAGAATTGCCCAGAGAACTGAGAAACACTATAGCTCCCTGTTGCCCAGATTCCAGACACATTGCCTGGCCTTCAAGGTCAGGTCAGTGTAATAGACGAAGACACAATCTGGTCCTCCACTGTGTCTTCATCTATTATACTCTCCTGCTCACCTACCTCTGGTCACCCCGAGTGCATCTGTGTTTGTCAAATCTATCATACCTCTACAGCCTCCATGTTTTTGCTTATGGTGTCACTTTAGTTAGGAACACCTTTTCTCCTCTTCATTTAATACTGAAGTCTTTTATCAGTGCTCACAACTGCATCTCCTTTTGTTGTCATGTGGACAGGGATTTTCACCACTTTCTTCTCCCAGTTTTGACCGTATTTTATGTCCTTGTCATAACACTGAATGTGGGAATTAATATACAATTCATTCTCTACAGCAGAGGCAGCGTCCTCAGGGATAACAGTGTATACATTGTAACTGCTTAGAAAATTTGTCTTGAGGGCCGGGTGCTGTGGTTCATGCCTGTAATCCCAGAACTTTGGGAGGGCGAGGCAGGCGGATCACAAGGTCAGGAGATCAAGACCATCCTGACTAACACAGTGAAGCCCCATCTCTACTAAAAATACAAAAAATTAGCTGGGCGTGGTGGCAGGTGCCTGTAGTCCCAGCTACTCGGGAGGCTGAGGCAGGAGAATGGCGTGAACCCGGGAGGCGGAGCTTGAAGTGAGCTGAGTTCGCGCCACTGCACTCCAGCCTGGGTGACAGAGCAAGACTCCATCTCAAAATGAAAAAAAAAAAAGAAAATTTGTCTTGAATAAACAAAGGGGATCGTAAATTATTCAACAGAAGATTTTAGTAATGAACCAAATCATTTACACCTTTTTGAATTAAAAAGTGACCTTTTGAGGGTATGGCTGAAAACCTTTGATGTAATTGTTTTTTTTAAGTGACTCTGAAATTTTGGATAAAATTAGGCAAACTAGCTAGAGACATCGGGACTTAAAGAACTGCAATTCTTGTGTTCTTTTTGCCTCATATGTTCTGGACTGGGTGCTGACGAAGACAACAATCAGCATAGACAAAAAAAAAAAAAAAAAAAAAGCACCAAGGAAAGCCTGTTTTCTCCAGTTCAAAGGACCAGGAAAGAGAGGGCCTAGCAAGACAGAAAACTTATATACAATAACCACCCTCCTCCATCCAAACACTGCAGGAAACACTGTGGCCACACCACCATGCACACCACCAAAAGCCACGTGGGGACCCCAGACTTCCACTCCCTCAAGGCTGGAATGAGGCACCCTTACTTCCCTATGGGGTGGTATCAGAGAAGACCAAGTATAGAGCTGGGACCTTCATCTTCATGCTGCAGTAGTGAAGCTCCCTCCACTTCCTGCTAAGGTGATGTCACAGGAGGTCACCACCCATTGGCCACAAGGCCCTGACAAGCTGTATGTGGGGGACTATGTGGGAAGCGGCAAAGAGGTGCCCCTCCCCCTTCCAGTCCTGCTGTGTCAGCAGAGGCCTCAAAGGGAGCCTGGCTCCACCCCTGCCAGCAGGCATGAGGAGGTCCTGTACCTTCGGGGTGCAGATGGAGGACAACTTGAAACCCAGACTTGTACCCCAACTGCCAGAGAGAAACAGTGCCCCACTTTTCCAACCAGTGTAGTATCACAGGAGATATGCTAAAATAGAAGATTTAAATGAAATGAAGAGTCTCCTCATACCCATAATGCTCAGGATTCAATCTAAAATTATTTATCATCATAAGAACCTGAAAATCTCAACTGGAATGAAGATAGACAATGAACATGTTACCAGTGGCCAATCCATACAGGCCTGCTGCAACTCGATCCTTGCTTCCTCAGGGGAAAGAATTTAGCCGAGGGCCAGAAGTAGGTTTAAGGCAGAGGAGGAGACTAAGGCAAGTTTTATGGCAGGAGTGAGAGTTTATTAAAGTTTTAGAGCAAGAATGAAAGGAAGCAAAGTATACTTGGAAGAGGGCCAAGCAGGATACTTGAGAAATCAAGTGCACACCAGACCCTTGACTTGAGCTTTTATACATTGGCATGGTTCCAGGATTTGCATTTCTTCTCCCTTGATTCTTCCCATGGAGTGGGCTGTCCACATGTACAGTGGCCTGCCAGCACTTCGGAGGTGCCTCATGTGCAGTGTGTTTACTGAATTTGTGCACATGTTCACTTGAGGTTTTTTTCCCTTACCAGTCAAGCCTTGCCAGAGGAAGGTCATATACCAGTTAAAGTATGCCATTTTGCCTCTTAGTGCACATGCATGAGCCCCGTCACCCAACTCCTGAGATTGTATCCAGAAGTTGCTTATCACCAGCTCCAGGTATTTTCTGTCTATTGGGAAACTGCCTTTCCCTGGTGCTGACAGCCACCTGACCACCACCTGATGGTCATCTGACATTTCTTCGGGTTTTGGAGGAGGGGGGTGCATCTCTTGCCCTGCTCATGTCTGCCTAACCACCTACTCTAACAAACACATACCAATATCAAGATGACACAGATGTTTGAATTATTTGATAAGAATTTTAAGCAGGCCAGGTGTAATGGCTCACACCTATGTTCTCAACACTTTGGGAGGCCAAGGCGGGAGGAGTGCTTGAAGCCAGGAGTTCAAGACCAGCCTAGGTAACATAGTGAGACCTCCATCTCTACAAAAAAAAAATTTTTTTTTAATTAGCTAGGTGTGGTGGCATGCATGCCTGTAGTCCTAGATGCTTGGGAGGCTAAGGTGGGAAGATCACTTGAGCACAGGAGTCGAGGCTGCAGTGAACTATGATAATGCATTCCAGTCTGGTGGAGCAAGACCTGTGTCAAAAAAAAGAAAGAAATTTTAAGCCGTAACTACTGTTACCTATGCCATTATTGTGACTATGGTTACCACTATTACTACTACTATTCATGCCACTATTAAAATCACTACTACAGTTCTTCCTACTATTACTGCTATTACTACATAAACTACTATTACTCCTAGCACTATTGCTATTACTAGTATCACTATTATTTTTACCTGTACTACTCTTGCTACTGTGTCTACTATTGCCACCATATTATTATCACTACTATTACTATTGTTACTAATACAATTACTAGTACTATTAATACCACAATTACTCTTGCTACTACTCCTAATACTCTTACTGCTACTATAACTACCGTTGTAACTAACATTATTGCTACTATCACTCTTTTCACCTCTACTACAATCACTACTTCTATTACTATCACTAGTACTAATACGTTTATGAGTGGTACCAGTACCCATTTTCATTTGTACATCATTTTGTAAATCACATACTTTTTTTACTTCAAATTAAATGGAGTACAAGCTCAAACAAAGAGAGAGAACTTAAGTGATGAGGTAGGAGAAGCTAGAGAAAATAGTACTAACAAAAAATCAGATAGAAACCATCAATCCCACTTCCCCTGGCTCTTTTCCCTTTATGTTTTCTTTCCTTCCTCTTTACCCATAAACTGAAATTAGAGATTAGTTTATCTCCAACAGGCAGAAGTGTGTTTACCAAGCAGCTAACATCATAGCTCCAGGATCTCCATTTGCACAAGCACTGCTGGCTGCTGCTTTTGTAGAACTTCTAGGGGAGGAAGAGAAGACAAGTTGCTTTCAGGTAGCATTTCTAAATAAGTGTTTCTGGTAAACTGCCTAAGGAGCTCTCAGAAGAAAAGCACTGAATCTCCAAGCCTCCAGAAATTTGTTTTGATTTATTTCCTAATTCTAAAAAAGCATTCACTTTTGTACCAAAAAAAATTGAAGCAGCTATCATAAAAATACTTCAACAGGCAATAACATATGCACTTGAAACAAATGGAAACATAGGAAGCCTGAGCAAAGAATAGAAAACTTAAAGAACAACTAAAGAGAAATGTTAAGACTGAAAAACCCAGTAACCAAAATAAAAAACCTCAGTGCATAACAATAGAAAATACCCAGTCTGAACAAAAGAGAGAAAATAGACTGAAGAGAAATGAACAGAGCTCCTGGGACTTGTGTGACCATAACAAAACATCTTACATTTGTGTCATTGAAGTCCAAGGAAAAGAGAAGAAAGAGAGGAGGGCTAAAAAGTTTGAAAGAAATAATGACTGTAATTCCCTAAATTTGGCAAAAGATATAATAAACCTTCAGATTTAAGAGATTTAAGAAACTGAGCAAACTGAAAACGTCATAAACCCCTCTAAAACAATGCCAACTGACATCATAAACCAACTGCTAAAAACTGAAGACAGGAAAAAAAAATCACAAAAGCAGCAGGAGAGAAATGCCTCCTTATTTATAGAAGAGAAAAATATTCAAATGGCAGCAGATTTCTTATTAGAAACCATGGAAGTCAAAAGCAAGTGGGATAATATTTTTCAAGCACTATAAGAAAAGAACTGTTAAGATAGAATCCAATATCCAGTGAAAATACATTTCAGAAATTAGAGAGAAGAGAAGACATTTGCAAGTGAAAGAAATGTAAGAGATAGACCCACCCTGAAAGAATGACTATAGGAAGTTCTATAAACAAAAAGTATAAAAGACATAATTTTGGAAAATAAGGACAGTAGAAAGAAAAAGAATAATGGCATTTATAATGTATTTTCTTCCATTCTTGAGTGTTCTAAATTATATTTGACACGAAACAAAAATTATAAAATTTTCTTAAGTGGCTGCCCATGAATATAGAGGAAATATTTAAGATAAGTATACAGGAAGGAGAGAAAAGAAACTTAAAAAGAGATAAAGTTTCTATACCTCACACAAATATATATAAAAGGAATTTTTAAAATGTTCAAGTAACCCACAAGAAGGCAGAAAAAATAAAAACAGATCAAACAGAATAACAAAAAATAAAATTACACACTTAAGCATTAACATATCAACAACTATACTGAATATAAATGGTCTAATAAAATATTTTTTAAAAACAGACATTGGTAGAGTGAAGAAAAAAATACCAAAAGATATGCTGTTTACAAAAAATTCCCTTTAAATACAATAGAGGTAGAACTAAAGGAAAAGGATGTGTAAAGATACACCATGCCAAAATTAATCGAAAGAAAGCTAGGGTAGCAATATTAAAACCAGATAAGATAAGTTCCCAGGGATAGAGAGAAAGATTACATAATTAAAATGGGCCAGTCCCCTAAAATGCCATAGCAATCCAAATGTCTATGCACCAAACAACATAGCTGCAAAATACATGAAGAAAGAATGATAGAACTAAAAAAGGAGAAACGGAAAAATCTACAATTATAACTGGAGGCTTCCACACTCTTCTCTCAATAATTGACAGAATAACTAGACAGAAAATCAGGAAGAACATTGTATTAATCAGGATTCTCCAGAGAAAAAGAACCAATAAGATGTGTGTGTGTGTGTGAGTGTGTGTGTGTGTGTATATGTATGTGTGTCTGTAAAGAAACTTATTAAAAGGAATTGACTCAGTCAATTATGGAGGCTGGCAAATCCAAAATCTGTTGTGTGGGCTGGTAGGCTGGATAAAAAGGGGAGATAATGGCACAGATAAAATGTAAAAGCAGTCATCCAGAGAATTATTTCTTTTTTTTTATAATATATATATATTTTTAATTATACTTTAAGTTCTAGGGTATAGGTGCACAACGTGCAGGTTTTTTACATATGTATACAGGCGCCATGTTGGTGTGCTGCACCTATTAACTCGTCAATTACATTAGGTATATCTCCTAATGCTATCCCTTCCCCTCCCCCTACCCCACAACAAGCCCCAGTGTGTGCTGTTCCCCTTCCCATGTCTAAGTGTTCTCATTGTTCACTTCCCACCTATGAGTGAGAACATGCGGTGTTTGGTTTTTTGTCCTTGCGATAGTTTGCTCAGAATGATGGTTTCCAGCTTCATCCACGTCCCTATAAAGGACATGAACTCATCCTTTTTTATGGCTGCGTAGTATTCCATGGTGTATATGTGCCACATTTTCTTAATCCAGTCTATCATTGTTGGACATTTGGGTTGCTTCCAAGTCTTTGCTATTGTGAATAGTGCCACAATAAACATACGTGTGCATGTGTCTTTATAGCAGCATGATTTATAATCTTTTGGGTATATACCCAGTAATGGGATGGCTGGGTCAAATGGTATTTCTAGTTCTAGCTCCTTGAGGAATCACCACACTGTCTTCCATAATGGTTGAACTAGTTTACAGTCCCACCAACAGTGTAAAAGTGTTCCTATTTCTCCACATCGTCTCCAGCATCTGTTGTTTCCTGACTTTTTAATGATCGCCATTCTAACTGGTGTGAGATGGTATCTCATTGTGGTTTTCATTTGCATTTCTCTGATGGCCAGTGATGAAGAGCATTTTTTCATGTGTCTGTTGGCTGCATAAATGTCTTCTTTTGAGAAGTGTCTGTTCATATCCTTCACCCACTTTTTGATGGGGTTATTTTTTTCTTGTAAATTTGTTTGAGTTCTTTGTAGATTCTGGATATTAGCCCTTTGTCAGATGAGTAGATTGCAAAAATTTTTTCCCATTCTGTATGTTGCCTATTCACTCTGATGGTAGTTTCTTTTGCTGTGCAGAAGCTCTTTAGTTTAATTAGATCCCATTTGTCAATTTGGCTTTTGTTGCCATTGCTTTTGGTGTTTTAGACATGAAGTCCTTGCCCATGCCTATGTCCTGAATGGTATTGCCTAGGTTTTCCTCTAGGGTTTTTATGGTTGTAGGTCTAACATGTAAGTCTTTAATCCATCTTGAATCAAGTTTTGTATGAGGTGTAAGGAAGGGATCCAGTTTCAGCTTTCTACATATGGCTAGCCAGTTTTCCCAGCACCATTTATTAAATAGGGAATCCTTTCCTCATTTCTTGTTTTTGTCAGGTTTGTCAAAGATCAGATGGTTGTAGATGTGTGGTATTATTTCTGAGGGCTCTGTTCTGTTCCATTGGTCTATAGCTCTGTTTTGGTACCAGTACCATACTGTTTTGGTTACTATAGCCCTGTAGTATAGTTTGAAGTCAGGTAGTGTGATGCCTCCAGCTTTGTTCTTTGGGCTTAGGATTGTCTTGGTAATATGGGCCGTTTTTTCATTCCATATGAACTTTAAAGTAGTTTTTTCCAATTCTGTGAAGAAAGTCATTGGTAGCTTGATGGGGATGGCATTGAATCTATAAATTACCTTGGGCAGTATGGCCATTTTCACCATATTGATTCTTCCTATGCATGAGCATGGAATGTTCTTCCATTTGTTTGTGCCCTTTTTTATTTCATTGAGCAGTGGTTTGTAGTTCTCCTTGAAGAGGTCCTTCACATCCCTTGTAAGTTGGATTCCTAGGTATTTTATTCACTTTGAAGCAATTGTGAATTGGAGTTCACTCATGATTTGGCTCTCTGTTTGTCTGTTATTGGTGTATAAGAATGTTTGTGATTTTTGCACATTGATTTTGTATCCTGAGACTTTGCTGAAGTTGCTTATCAGCTTAAGGAGATATTGGGCTGAGACGATGGGGTTTTCTAGATACACACTCATGTCATCTGCAAAGAGGGACAATTTGACTTCCTCTTTTCCTAATTGAATACCCTTTATTTCTTTCTCCTGCTTGATTGCCCTGGCCAGAACTTCCCAACACTATGTTGAATAGGAGTGGTGAGACAGGGCATCCCTGTTTTGTGCCAGTTTTCAAAGGGAATGCTTCCAGTTTTTGCCCATTCAGTATGATATTGGCTGTGGGTTTTTCATAAATAGCTCTAATTATTTTGAGATACTCCCATCAATACCTAATTTATTGAGAGTTTTTAGCATGAAGGGCTGTTGAATTTTGTCAAAGGTCTTTTATGCATCTATTGAGATAATCATGTGGTTTTTGTCTTTGGTTCTGTTTATATGCTGGATTACATTTATTGATTTGCGTATGTTCAACCAGCCTTGCATCCCAAGGATGAAGCCCTCTTGATCATGGTGGATAAGCTTTTTGATGTGCTGCTGGATTCGGTTTGCCAGTATTTTATTGAGGATTTTTGCATCGATGTTCATCAGGTATATTGGTCTAAAATTCTCTTTTTTGGTTGTGTCTCTGCCAGGCTTTGGTATCAGGATGATGCTGGCCTCATAAAATGAGTTAGGGAGGATTCCCTCTTTTTCTATTGATTGGAATAGTTTCAGATGGAATGGTATCAACTCCTCTTTGTACCTCTGGTAGAATTCAGCTGTGAATCCGTCTGGTCCTGGAGTTTTTTTGGTTGGTAGGTTATTAATTATTGCCTCAATTTCAGAGCCTGTTATTTGTCTATTCAGGGATTCAACTTCTTCCTGATTTAGTCTTGGGACAGTGTGTGTGTCGAGGAATTTATCCATTTCTTCTAGATTTTCTAGTTTATTTGCGTAGAGGTGTTTGTAGTATTCTCTGATGGTAGTTTGTATTTCTGTGGGATTCGTGGTGATATCCCCTTTATCATTTTTTATTGCATCTATTTCATTCTTCTCTCTTTTCTTCTTTATTAGTCTTGCTAGTGGCCCATCAATTTTGTTGATCTTTTCAAAAAACCAGCTCCTGGATTCATTGATTTTTTGAAGGGTTTTTTATGTCTCTATCTCCTTCAGTTCCGCTCTGATCCTAGTTATTTCTTGCCTTCTGCTAGCTTTGAATGTGTTTGCTCTTGCTTCTCTAGTTCTTTTAATTGTGATGTTATGGTGTCAATTTTGGATCTTTCCTGCTTTCTCTTGTGGGCATTTAGTGCTATAAATTTCCCTCTACACACTGCTTTAAATGTGTCCCAGAGATTCTGGTATGTTGTGTCTTTGTTCTCACTGGTTTCAAAGAACATCTTTATTTCTGCCTTCATTTCGTTATGTACCCAGTAGTCATTCAGCAGCAGGTTGTTCAGTTTCCATGTGGTTGAGCAGTTTTGAGTGAGTTTCTTAATCCTGAGTTCTAGTTTGATTGCACTGTGGTCTGAGAGACAGTTTGTCACAATTTCTGTTCTTTTACATTTGCTGAGGAGTGCTTTACTTCCAACTATGTGGTCAATTTTGGAATAAGTGTGATATTGTGCTGAGAAGAATGTATATTCTGTTGATTTGGGGTGGAGAGTTCTGTAGATGTCTATTAAGTCCGCTTGGTGCAGAGCTGAGTTCAATTCCTGGATATCCTTGTTAACTTTCTGTCTTGTTGATCTGTCTAATGTTGACAGTGGGGTGTCGAAGTCTCCCATTATTATTGTGTGGGAGTCTAAGTCTCTTTGTAGGTCTCTAAGGACTTGATTTATGAATCTGGGTGCTCCTGTATAGGGTCCATATACATTTAGGATAGTTAGCTCTTCTCATTGAATTGATCCCTTTACCATTATGTAATGGCCTTCTTTGTCTCTTTTGATCTTTGTTGGTTTTAAGTCTGTTTTATCAGAGACTAGGATTGCAACCCCTGCCTTTTTTTGTTTTCCATTTGCTTGGGAGATCTTCCTTCATCCCTTTATTTTGAGCCTATGTGTGTCTCTGCACATGAGATGGGTCTCCTGAATACAGCACACTGATGGGTCTTGACTCTTTATCCAATTTGTCAGTCTGTGTCTTTTAATTGGAGCATTTAGCCCATTTACATTTAAGGTTAATATTGTTATGTGGGAATTTGATCCTGTCTTTATGATGTTAGCTGGTTATTTTGCTCGTTAGTTGATGCAGTTTCTTCCTAGCATCGATGGTCTTTACAATTTGGCATGTTTTTGCAGTGGTTGGTACCGGTTGTTCCTTTTCATGTTTAGTGCTTCCTTCAGGAACTCTTTTAGGGCAGGCCTGGTGGTGACAAAATCTCTCAGCATTTGCTTGTCTGTAAAATATTTTATTTCTCCTTCACTTATGAAGCTTAGTTTGGCTGGATATGAAATTCTGGGTTGAAAATTCCTTTCTTTAAGAATGTTGAATATTGGCCCCCACTCTTTTCTGGCTTGTAGAGTTTCTGCTGAGAGATCAGCTGTTAGTCTGATGGGTTTCCCTTTGAGGGTAACCCAACCTTTCTCTCTGGCTGCCCTTAACATTTTTTCCTTCATTTCAACTTTGGTGAATCTGACAATTATGTGTCTTGGAGTTGCTCTTCTTGAGGAGTATCTTTGTGGCATTCTCTGTATTTCCTGAATTTGAATGTTGGCCTGCCTGGCTACATTGGGGAAGTTCTCCTGGAAAATATCCTGAAGAGTGTTTTCCAACTTGGTTCCTTTCTCCCTGTCACTTTCAGGTACACCAATCAGACGTAGATTTGGTCTTTTCACATAGTCCCATATTTCTTGGAGGCTATGTTCATTCCTTTTTACTCTTTTTTCTCTAAACTTCTCTTCTCACTTCATTTCATTCGTTTGATCTTCCATCACTGATACCCTTTCTTCCAATTGATCGAATCAGCTACTGAAGCTTGTGCATTCGTCACATAGTTCTCGTGCCATGTTTTTCAGCTCCATCAGGTCATTTAAGGACTTCTCTACATTGGTTATTCTAGTTAGCCATTCGTCTAATTTTTTTCAAGGTTTTTAACTTCTTTGCGTTGAGTTTGAACTTCCTCCTTTAGCTTGGAGAAGTTTGATTGTCTGAAGCCTTCTTCTCTCAACTCGTCAAAGTCATTCTCCATCCAGTTTTGTTCCATTGCTGGCAAAGAGCTACATTTCTTTGGAGGGGGAGAGGAGCTCTGATTTTTAGAATTTTCAGCTTTTCTGCTCTGTTTTTTCCCCATCTTTGTGGTTTTATCTACCTTTGGTCTTTGATGCTGGTGACATACAGATGGGTTTTTGGTGTGGATGTCCTTTCTGTTTGTTAGTTTTCCTTCTAACAGTCAGGAGCCTCAGCTGCAGGTCTGTTGGAGTTTGCTGGAGGTCCACTCCAGACCCTGTTTGCCTGGGTATCTGCAGCGGAGGCTGCAGAACAGCAAATATTGCTGAAGAGCATATGTTGCTGCCTGATCATTCCTCTGGAAGCTTCGTCTCAGAGGGGTACTGGCCATGTCAGGTGTCAGTCTGCCCCTACTCGGGAGTGCCTCCCAGTTAGGCTACTCGGGGGTCAGGGACCCACTTGAGGGGGCAGTCTGTCCATTCTCAGATCTCAAACTCTGTGCTGGGAGAACCACTACTCACTTCAAAGCTGTCAGACAGGGACATTTAAGTCTGCAGAGGTTTCTGCTGCCTTTTGTTCGGCTATGCCCTGCCCCCAGAGGTGGAATCTACAGAGGCAGGCAGGCCTCCTTGAGCTGCAGTGGGCTCCACCCAGTTGGAGCTTCCTGGCCACTTTGTTTACCTACTCAAGCCTCAGCAATGGTGGCCGCCCCTCCCCCAGCCTTGCTGCTGCCTTGCAGATCAATCTCAGACTGTTGCGCTAGCAAAGAGCGAGGCTCCATGTGCATGGGACCCACTGAGCCAAGTGCGGGATATAATCTCCTGGTGTGCCGTTTGCTAAGATGGTTGGAAAAGCACAGTATTAGGGTAGGAGTGACCCAATTTTCCAGGTGCCGTCCTTCACCTCTTCCCTTGGCTAGGAAAGGGAATTCCCTGATCCCTTGCACTTCCTGGGTGAGGTGATGCCTCGCCCTGCTTCAGCTCTCACTCAGTGGGCTGCACCCACTGTCCTGCCCCCAGTGTCTGACATGCCCCAGTGAGATGAACCCAGTACCTCAATTGGAAATGCAGAAATCACCCGTCTTCTGCATCGCTCATGCTGGGAGCTGTGGACTGGAGCTGTTCCTATTTGGCCATCTTGGAACCGCCCCCAGAGAATTATTTCTTGCTTGATGAGGCTGGTCTTTTTGTTCTGGGCAGGCCTTCAACTGATTGGATAAGGCCCACTTGCACTAGGTAAGACAATCTGCTTTACTCAAAGTTCAGCGATTTACATGCTAATTTCATCAAAAAATACCCTCCAGGTTTGCACATAAAATTAGTCATCATAAATATAGAAGTACTCAACAACACCATCAACCAAAAGGATCTAATTTGCATTTCTAGAACACTCTACCTCACTACAGCAGAATGCACATTATTTTTTACACATTTACCAAGCTACACCATATCTTGAGCCATAAACAAACCTCACCAAAAAAGAATTAAAATTATACACAGTAAGTTCTGTGATCACAGTGGAATCATATTGGAAATCAATAACAGAAAGATAACTGGAAAATCTCCACAACCTGATAAATTAAACAACTAATCCATGACTCAAAAAGGAAGTTTCAGGGAAATTTTTAAAATACTTAGAACTGACTTAAAATTTGTGAGACACAGATAAAACAGTGCCAAAAGAGAAATTTATAGCATTGAATCCTTACATTAAAAAGGAAGAAAAATCTCAACTACATAATCCAAGCTCCCACTTCAAGAAACTAGAATAAAAGAAAAATGAACCCAAAGAAACACAATGAAGGAAATACTTTTAAGAAGCACAGATATCAGTGAAATTATGATCAGAAAAGCAACAGAAAAAATCAATGTGACAAAAAGCTAGTTTTTAAAAAAGACCATTAAAATTAACCAACTTCTATCAAGACTGACAAAAAAAAAAAAACCCAGAGAAGACACATGCAACTAATATTGAAACTGGAACAGGGAATATCACTACACACTTACTAGGCATCAAAAGAATAATAAAAGAATACTTGAAAAAAGAACACTCAAAAATTTGACAACTTAGATAAAACAGACCAATCTTTGAATGGCACAAACTACCAAAATTACTCAATATGAAGAAGATAATTTGAATATCCCTATAACTATTAAAGGAATCAAATTCACAACTTAAAAACAGACAAAAAAGAAACCTGCAAGCTTAACTGATTTCACCACATAATTCTACTAAATATTGATAGAAGAAACAGTACATTTTTACAAAATCTCCTCCAGAAAAGAGAAGAGGAGAAAACACTTCCCAACTCACTTTATGAGGTCAGTAGTACTTTGATACCAAAATTAGAAAAAGATAGTACCAAAACTGAAAATATACACCCAAATCTCTCAGGAACATAGATTCAAATGTTCTTAATAAATTATTAACAAATTAAACTCAGCAATATATAAAAATAATTATATGGCATGACCAACTAAGTTTTATTCCAGGGATACAATGCTAATTCAGTATTTGAAATTCAATCAATGCAATTCCCCATATGAACACTCTAAAGAAGAAAAATCATATGATAATATCAAAAAATTCAGAAAAACACTTGACAAAATTTAACACCAATTTATGATAAAGACATTCTGAAAACTAGGAACGGAGAGGAAATTTCTGTACTTGATAAAGAACATCTACTCAAGGAAAAAAAAATCCTATAGGTAATATCATACATAATGGTGATAGACTTAATGTTTTCCCCCTAATTGGGAACAAAGCAATAATGTCTTCTCCCAGCACTCTTATTTAACATAGTAATGAAAATCTAGCCAGACAGGCAAGAAAAGAAAGTATGTAGAAAATCACGAAGAATTTTTTTTTTAACCCTAGACTAACAAAAGAGTTCACTAATGTCTCAGGACACAAAATGAAGATACAAAAATTAAATATATTTCTATATACTAATAATTAACATGTTAGAACCAAAATAAAAAAAATCAATACCCTTTGCAATCACTTAAAAATGAAATACTAAGCAATAATTCTAATAAAGCATTGACAGGGCTTGTACACAAAAAGCTACAATATGCTGATGAAAGAAATCAAAGAAGGTCTCAATAAACTGCAAGATATATCATGCTCATGGATTGGAAGACTCAATATAGTAGTCTTCAATTATCCCTGAATTGATATATAGGCTTAATATAATTTTACCAAAATCCCAATAACATATTTTACATATATTGACCAGCTTATTCTAAAATTTATATGTAAGGGGAAAGGAACTAGCTTAAAAAGTTTTTTTCAAAGCAAGAAAACATGTAAAGATCACTCTACCTGATGCTAAGACTTATGGTATGGCTACAGTAATCGAGACAGTATAGTGTTGCAGAGGTATAGACACATAGATCAGTGGACAGAATAAAGAACCCAGAAATATGCTCACAAATACATCCAGCTGAATTTTTAGAAAAGAGCAAGAATCTAAGTAGAGGGGAAAATAGCCTTTTCAACAATGGCACTGGAGCATTTAGACAGCCATAGCCAAAAAAAAAAAATTACTTTGATTTAAACCTTATACTTTTTGTAAAATTAACTCAAATGGATCATAGTTTTAAATATAAAATGTCAGAAGCTTCAAGACGGCTGAGTAGAGACACCTGACATTCACCTCCTCCACAAAGAAGAACAAAAATAACGAGTAGATAATCACACTTCAAATGGATCATCAAATAGAGAATACTGGAATTCAACATAGAAGTGACAGGAAACACCTAAAGCAAGGAAGTAAATGGAAGCAAGGCAGCCTGCTCAGCCAGGATCATCTGGGAGCCCAGAGAGGCTCCCCAGTGTGGGAAAAGGGTAAATGAGAGACTCCCAATTGTCCACATTCCCATCACAGACTCCTCCAATCCTAGCCATGGGAAAGGCCCTTGACCCTTGTGTGTCCTGAGACTGATATAGAGAGCTGCCTAGAGACTGTGTGGTGATGTTGCTCCAGAGAGGGAGCTCATGCCAGGTCCCATACTCCCCCTGACTCCTAAGCAGCTACAGTGCAGGACTATTTTGGAAGCTCAGCCCCCATCATACTGAATCTGGCCCTGGGGCCAAAAGCCTCTGCATCTCCACATCCCTGGAACTCCACTGACATCCCCCACCTGCAGCCACCATTGCTGCTGGATGATGCCACTGGGGTAGAAGTGCATGCCACTAGCAGCAACCCCACTACCTTCAGCACTGGGGCCACAGTGCATTTACAAATGCCCTGAGGATAGGCTCTCCTGCCTGCATCTGCCACTGCTGCTGCCTGCTGCCTCCGGGTGCTAAAGTGCACCTCACTGACAGTGACACTGCCACCCACAGCCACAGAGCCACCACACATTTACAAACACCCTGAGGACAGCACCCCTGCCCACAGCTGTCACTGTGGGCTGCTGCTACTGGGACCAAAGCACAAGCCACTGGCAGCAACCCCCCAATCATTAGCTATGGGGCCACTATACATTTACAAGCACCCTGAGGACAGGCTATCCCACCCGCAGCCACCACCTGGAGCAGAAATGCGAGCTCCCCAGCTACCTGCCCATAGCTGCTGACACTGAAAGCAACCCTGCCCTCACCAGGAGTAGGACTGCAGTGCAGCCACTGCCATCCCCATCTGAGCACCTTACCAGAGGCCTAGGGATCACCACACCCCTACCACCACAGCCGGCAACCATATGCACCACTGGGGGTCACGAAGACAGGCCTGCCCAGCCTGGCCCCACTCACCTCCCCAATGCCCAAGCACACCATCTAGGTGCCTCGGGATCATCTTTCCCTGTTAGGCACTTCTGAGCACTTTTCCCAGAAGCCTGAAGACAGGCTCACACAGCCTACAACTAACACCAGAGCTGGCACTTACTTGCGCATGCCACCTTCAGGCCAGAAGACTGATCTGCCCAGCCCATTATAACCACCACCACCATCAGTGCAAACCACTTGGGAGCCACAGGGTTGTCCCACCACTGCTATTGCCATTGCTCACACCACACCTGCTGCTCAGAAGCCTGAACATTCTCCCACCTGTCAAGTCCACTGCTGCCACTGCAGACACCCAAGAAAGATGCCTGGACCCACTAAAACTGGTTCCAGTCTACACCACTTTGGGAACCAAAGATGTTCATACTAAGCCCACCATCGCCCCCATTGGCGCCTGAGCACAGGCCCAATCCCCATCTCTGTCCCCAGCAAAAATTCACCACAGCCTCCACTAACAACTACACTTTGAGCCACTGAGAAGATCATAAATGCCACTCATGCTGTTGAAAGCCAAACAAATTATATGGAGAATACACCATGGCAAACACCCAGAATCAAAGCCAAAGTGCCCTACTCAACGAATATCATAGATACATCTTCAGGAAAAAAAGTCCTCCCTTATGAAAGCAAATCCAAAAAAATTGGAAGAAGTAACTGTTACACCAGATGCACAAATATCAATGTAAGAACACAAGAAACATGAAAAAGTAAGGAAATATTATACTTCTAAGAGAACACAATAGTTCTCCAGTAACAAGTTCTAATAGAAAAAAAAAACTTATAAATTCCCAGAAAAAGAACTCAAATTAATAATATTAAGGAAGCTTTGTGGGACACAAGAGAACACAGGTAAACAATATAAAGAAATCAGAAAAATAATTCAGGATATCAATGAAAAAATTATCAAAGAGATAGATATCAAAAAAGAACCACACAGAAATCCTAGAAATGAAGAGTTCATTGAACAAAATAAAAATTACATTTGAAAGTTTTAGTCCAGGTGCAGTGGCTCACACCTGTAATCCCAGCACTTTGGGAGGCCAAGGCAGGTGGATCACCTGAGGTCAGTTTGAGACCAGCCTGACTAACATGGCAAAATCCCATCTCTACTAAAAATACAAAAATTATCCGGGCGTGGTGGCGCACACCTGTAATCCCAGCTGCTCCGGAGGCTGAGGCAGAAGAATCGCTTGAACCTGGGAGGCAGAGGTTGCAGTGAGCCAAGATCAAGCCATTGCACACCAGCTTGGGTGACAAGAGCAAAACTCCCTCAAAAAAAAAAAAAAAATTTCAACAACAGATCAAGCAGAAGAATTTCAGAACTTGAAGACAGGTCTATTGAAGTTACCTACTTGGACAAAAAAGTAAAGAAAAATAAATTTTAAAACCAAAGAACAAAGTCTACATGACATTTGAGACACCATAAATTGACCAAATATTCAAATTTTTGGTGTCCTAGAAGACAAAGAGACCAAAGGGCTAGAAAGCCTACTTAATGAAATAATAGCTGAAAACTTCCCAAGTGTAGCAAGAGATTTAAACATCCATATACAGAAAGCTAAGAGATCCCTAAATAGATACAATTGAAAAAGATCTTCTCTATGGCACATTAGAGTCAAACTGTCAAATGACAAAGAGAGAATTCTAGAAACAGCAAAAGTAAAACATCTAGGTACTTATAAAAGAATACCCATGAGACTAACAGCAGATTTCTCAGCAGAAACTTTACAAGGCAGGAGAGAATTAGATGATATATTCAAAGTGCTGGGAGGAAAAAACTGCCAGCTGAAGGCACCAAACTCAGCAGAGTTATCTTTCATAAATGAAGGTGAAATAAATTCTTTCCCAGACAAGCAAAAGCTCAGAGAATTCATCACCACTAGACCAGCTCTACAAGAAATGCTTAAAGGAGACTTCCATCTGGAAATGAAAGAATGATATCTACCATCATGAAAATACATGAAAGTATAAAATCCGCTGGTAAAGCAAACACACAAATAAGAAAGAGAAAGGCCTTAATGTTACCATTACAGAAAATCATCAAACCATAATGATAAATAATAAGAGAGAAAAAACAAAGCATATACAAAAAAAAAATTAATAAAGTTATAGGAATAAGACATCATATATCAATAATAACCCTGAATGTAAATACATCAAATTTTCTGCTTAAAAGATATGGACTGGCTGAATGGATGAAAAAAACATAACCTAACTATATGCTGCCTATGAGAAATTCAATTCACCTATAATGACACATATAAAGTGAAAGGAAAGAGATAGAAAAATATATCTCATGCAAACAAACACCAAAAGTGAGCAGGAGTAGCTAAACTTATATCAGATAAAACAGACCTTAAGTCAGAAACAATAAAAACAGACAAAGAAGGTCATTATATAATGATAAAGGGATCACTTCAGCAAGAGGATGTAACAATTCTAAACCTCTATGCACCCAAAACTGGAACATCCAGATATATAAAGCAAATATTATTAAATCTAAAGAGAGAGAGACTCCAACACAATAATAGTTAGGCATGTCAATAACCCCACTCTCAGCCTTGGACAGATCTTTTAGACAGAACAAAGAAATACTGGATTTAAACTGCACTTTACACCAAAAGGACCAAACAAACATTTACAGAAAATTCACCCAATAGCTACAGAATACACATTCTTCTCATCAGCATATGGAACATTCTCTAGGATAGATTATATGTTAAGACACAAAACAATTCCCAACAAATTTTTAAAAACCAAAATTATATCAAGTATCTTCTCAGGTCACAATAGAATAAAACTAGAAATAAATAACAAAAGGAACTCTGAAAACTGTACAAATACTTGGAAATTAAGCAACGTACTCCTGAATGATGATTGGGTCAAGGAAGAAATTAAGAAGAAATTTTTAAAATTTCTTGAAACAAGTGAAAAATCAAAACATAACATATCAAAACCTATGGATACAGCAAAAGTAGTGCTAAGAGGAAGGTTTATAGCAATAAATACCTACATCAAAATAATAGAAAAATTTCAAATAAACAATATACTGATGCACCTCAAGGTATGAGAAAAGCAAAAACAAAACAAACCCAAAATTAGTAGAAGGAAAGAAATAATAAAGATCAGAGCAGAACTAAATGAAGTAGACTTATAAAAATAAAGAATCAATGAAATGAAAAGGTTTTTTTAAAGATAAACAAAATTGATAAACTCCTAGCTAGACCAACAAAGAAAGAAAGATGACTTCCATTCTTTACACCTGCTTGACACCATGTGGAAGCCACCGAAGCTTATAGTTTGCACCCTCCAGAGCAGCAACCCAAGCTGTACTTGGGCCACTTTGACGAAAGGCTAGAGCTGAAGTGGCTGGAATGCAGGCAGTAGTGTCCTGAGGGTAAGCAGGACAGCAGTATCCTGGACCTGGCCCCTGAAACCATTCTTTCTTCCCAGGCCTCTAGGCCTGGGATAGGAGGGGCTGTCCTGAAGACTTCTGAAATGCCTTCAAGTCTTTTTTTCTATTGTCTTGGATATTAGCACTTGGTTCCCTTTTAATTAGCCTGCTTGGATACTTTCTCTACCACAGGGCCAGGCTGCAAATTTTTCAAATTTTTATATTCAAATTTTTACATTCACTATTTTGCTCCCGTATCTGGTTGTAGGCAGTTAGAAGCAACCATACCACATCTCAAATGTTTTGCTGCTTAGAAATTTCTTCCATCAGATACTCTAGGTTATCACTCTTAACTTCAAGTTTCCACAGATCCCTAGGGCTTGGACACAATGCAGCTAAGTTCTTTGCTAGGGCATAAAATAGGTGATCTTTACTCTAGTTTCCAGTAACTTCCTCATTTCCATCTGAGACCTCATCAGCCTGGCCTTCACTGTCCACATTTCTATGATTTTGGTCAGAACCATTTAACCAGTCTTCAAGAACTTCCAAATTTTCCCTCATCTTCCTGTCTTCTGAGTCCTCCAAACTCTTCCAGTCTCTGCCTGTTAACCAGTTCCAAAGCTGCTTCTGCACTTTCAGGTATCTTTATAGCAATGCCCCAATTATTAGTATCTGTTCTTTGTGTTAGTCCATTTATGTTGCTCTAAAGCAAGGGTCTCCAACCCCAGGGCCATGGACCAGTACTGGTCCGTGGCCTGTTAGGAACCAGGCCGCACAGCAGGAGGTGAGCAGCAGGTAAGTGAGCATTACTGACTGAGTTCCACCTCTTGTCAGATCAGGAGCAGCATTAGATTCTCATAGGAGCACAAACCCTATTGTGAACCGCACATGTGAAGGATTGAGGTTGCATGTTCCTTATGAAAATCTAATGCCCCCCCACCCCCCACCCCAAGTCCATGGAAAACTTGTCTTCCACAAAACCAATCCCTGGTTCCAAAAAGGTTGGGGACCACTGCTCTAAAGGCAGACCAGAGGCTGGGCAATTTATAAGGAAAAAAACTTTATTTTGGCACGTGGCTCTGCAGGCTGT
This sequence comes from Homo sapiens, assembly GCF_000001405.40. NCBI lineage: Eukaryota > Metazoa > Chordata > Mammalia > Primates > Hominidae > Homo > Homo sapiens. The sequence continues at coordinate 45,307,158 of NC_000007.14, read as the reverse complement.
AAAGCATGGTGCCAACATGTGCTCTTTAGTGATGCCTCAGGAAACTCACAATCATGCCAGAAGGTGATGAGGAGCCAGTGACACGTGGCAAAATGGAGCAAGAGAGAGAGAAGGGGGAGATCCTGGACTCTTTTAAACAACCGGATCTCACATGAACTACTTGAGCAAGAACTCACTTATCACCAAGGGAATAGTGCTAAGCCATTCACAAGAGATTGACTCCCATGATTCAGTCACCTCCCACTATGCCCCACCTCCAACACTGGGAGTCACATTTCAACATGAGATTTGGAAAGGACAAACATCCAAACCATATCAGATGTATCCACTGGGAAAAACTGAGTAACAGGTGCACACAACCTCTCTTTCCCATTTTTGCAACTTCCTGGGAATCTATAATTATTTCAAAATAAAAAGTTACAAAACAACTTTTTAGGCATTTCAGATATAAGAATATTTTAGTGAAAACTGGTTCCAAATTCTTAAAGTTAGCATTAGTATCTTTCTTATTACTCTGAATGTGACAAGGATAATCCTACATTCTCATCATCTTTTCTTAGAAACTAAACAGATTCATGTGTCCAAAATAAGTCAATTTTAACTAAACCTAGTTTACTTTACATAAATCCCTCAATATTTCCTTGAACTATCTATGTTTTAGTCTTGCAGTAGAATTCTAAAGCAATCTCACTGTGCCCATCCCTGGTCCACCCACATAACTACAGCCTAAGGTACCATGCTAGTGCAGTGATCCAGTGGGAACATGACCCAGGCTGAGCTCTTCTTTCTCCATAAACGTTGGCTCCAATGCAGAGAAGTGTCTCTCCCTGTGACTGAACATACTGTGGGCAGCTTGCTCCTTCCAAGCAGCTGGTCTAGAGAGAGAGACAGGAGTCTGGTGACAGAGATGCAATGTAGAGAGAGCATCTTTTTGAAAGTCCCTCAGTTCCTTTTGGGGCACATGACCACACTTAGAGGAGAAGGCTCTCACGGGTACATCTTCAGCCAATCCTTAGGCTGTGTAGGATGTCTGCAAAAGCAGGATGTTAATACTGGTTATCTCTTGGAGATGGGATTATGATTGACATGTTTATTTTTTTCAACTTTTCTTTATTTCCCAATTTTCAAGCATTGTAAAAATTGACATACATACCTTTAGGATTTTTTTTTTTTTTTTGAGACGGAGTCACTCTGTCGCCCAGGCTGGAATGCAGTGGCATGATCTCAGCTCACTGCAAGCTCCGCCTCCCAAGTTCATGCCATTCTCCTGCCTCAGCCTCCCAAGTAGCTGGGACTACAGGGGCCCGCCACCACACCCAGCTAATTTTTTGTATTCTTTAATACAGAAGGGGTTTCACCATGTTAGCCAGGATGGTCTCGATCTCATGACCTTGTGATCCACCTGCCTTGGCCTCCCAAATTGCTGGGATTACAGGCGTTAGCCACTGCGCCTGGCCACATACCTTTAGGTTTTCAATGTGTTCATTTTGGTGTTTCAGCTCCTGAAATAAATGCTACCATGAAAGGCAAATATTGGGCAGACTTGTATCTGGGAACAGTTTCTCTGTGTTTCAACCAGAAAATACTCACTCCCTCTCTGCCTCATTCCCAAGGAAATTTGTTATGGATTAGTCAAGTTCAATGAAACATTTGGGGCTTTGTTTTCTCTACAACATTTTTCAAACTTTAACGTGCCTAAAGATCACATGATGATATTATCACACCTGATTCTAATCCAGGGAGTCTGGAACAGGGCTTGAGATTCTGCATTTCCAACAGGCTCCCAGTCCTACACGTTACAGAGCAGGGCACACTGAAAATGCCAATCAGCCTAGACGAATGTCCACCCTGTCCTTTTGGATGTGCTTTTCTTGTGAAGTCGGCACTGGAGTCTTCCACTACAGAGCCTTCCACATCCTGCTCACTCACAACTACCTGCTACCTCCACACAGATAACAAATACCCTAGGAAGAGGTCCCATCTCCCCCATAATTTTATCCCCTCACCTGCTCACCTACAGCCAACTCCACTCTGGACATCGGGGTGCCCTGTCTTACTCTGGCTGCCTTCTTTTTTAAAAAATTAAAGTAAAATTTACCTATCATAAAATTAGCCAATTTAAAGTGTACAAACCAGTGGCATTTAGTATATTCACAATGTTGTGCAAGTATCACCTGTAGTCCCAAAACATTTCATCAGCCCCAAATAAAACCTTGTATCCATTAGGCAGTCACTGTCTCTTTCTCCTCTGACCCCCAGCCCGTGGCAACCTCTAATCTGCTTTCTGTCTCTATGGCTTTACCTATCTAGGTATTTAATGTAAATGGAATCATACAATATGTAACCTATGGTGTCTGGGTCTTTCAACGAGCATTATATTTTCCTCTCTTTTTTTCTACAAACATCATATATTCTCATTTATTTGTGAGATCTAAACATCAAAACAATTGAACTCATGGAGATAGAGAATAGAAGGATGGTTACCAGAGACTGGCAAGGGTAGTGAGGGCTAGGGGCAAGGTGGGGATGGTTAATGGGTACAAAAAAAGTATTTAGAGAGAATGAATAAAACCTAGTATTTGATATCATAACAGGGGTACGATAGTCAATAACAATGTAATTATACATTTTTAAATAACTAAAAGAGTATAATTGAATTGTTTGTAACACCAAGGATAAACACTTGAGGGGATGGATACCCAATTTACACATTGCACACCTGTACAAAAACATCTCGTGTATCCTACAAGTATACACCTACTGTGTACCATAAAAATTAAAAGTTAAAAAAAATTAAGTTTTACCACATTCGTTACATTTGTAAGACATCTGTTGAATATCAATACTCTGGTAATAATTTTGTGGATTGGTGAAAGGCTTTCCCACATTTGTTACATTTGTAAAAGTTCTCTGAAAAATGAGCACTCTGATGTTTACTAACATGTGAGCCATTGTTAAAGTTTTCCTGATTTTCATTACAAAAAAAATTTCAAAAATTAATGTTGATTCTTACCAAAAGAAAAAAAAAACAGGGTTCTGTAGAAGTAGCAGACATAAATTGAGGTTTCTTCTGAGATATTTTATGTTCTTAGTCTCCTTTGGCACTTAAATTATTGTTAAGAGTAGTTATCAGACACTGGTTATATGCATTATAACATTCTTTTTGCCCTTCACAGTTACCCATACTTTCCCAGTTTTTTCTTAAGTGTAAATTCTCAAGGCCACAGCTCCCATATCTTCTCTGTATCACTTTTCGGAATGAATCTTCTATGCTTTGCTCTGACAAACAACCTTGGTTGTAATAAGAATACGTAGCTGGGGCTTTAGCTACTATCTCCTGCCTCTTCGCATCCCAGGGCTCTTTCCTTTGCTCCAGATAGGTGATCAGGTTCAGCTTGGAGAACAAGACAAAAAGGAAGACCAGGTTTCTGTAGTTCTAACATCACATTCCTATACAATTTCCACTGAGCAGGGTCCAGTCATTCTCACTTACCTAGAGAGAATTCTTTGGTCACATTCCTGAATGTCAACAGTCCCATTTCCCAGCTTCCAGGGTGTTCTGTCGTCTTATTTACGGATCTCCCAGTACCTGTAGGTCACAAGGGGACAGAGGCTGTGGCAGAGCCATCTGATCACTCCCAAAGCCGAGGAGACACTTCAAAGATGACACCCCAAGCTAGGAAGGTGGTCCGACGAGCATTTTATTATCAAGATTCATCCATGTTGTAGCATGTGTCGATACTTTATTCTTTTCATGACTCAATAACAGTTCATTGTATGGATATACCATATTTTGTTTATCCATTCTCAGCTGATAGACATTTGGGTTGTTCCTATTTTTTAGCTTTTGGAAATAGTGCTGCTATGAACATTTATGTGCAAGTGTTTGAATATCCGTTTTCAGTTCTTTTGAGTATATACCTAGAAGTGGAATTACTGGTCATATGGTAATTCTATGTTTAACTTTTTGGGAAATTCCCAAACAGTTTTCTACAGTAGCTGAGCCATTTTACATTCCCACTAACAATGTACAAGTGTTCCAGTTTCTCCTATCCTTGCAAAAACTTATTTTCCATTTTCTAATTAGCTATCCTAGTGGGTACGAAGTGGTATCACATTGTGGTTTTGATTTGTGTTTCCCAAATAAAGAATGATGTTGGGCATCTTTTCATGTTCTTGTCGCTAATTTATATATCTTCTTTAGAGAAATGTCTATTCAAATACTTTGCCCATTTTTTAATTGGATTGTTTGTCTTTTTATTGTTGAGTTGTGCAAGTTCTTGGTATATTGTGGATACTAGACTCTTATTAAATATATGCCTTGCAAAAATTTCTTCCATTCTGTAGGTTGTATTTTCATTTTCTTGATAGTCTTCTTTGGTTCACAAAAGTTTTTAATTTTGATGAGTCTAGTTTGTCAGTTTTCTCTTTTGTTGCTGTTCTTTTAATGTTATATCTAAGAATCCATTGCCAAATACAAGGTCATGAAGGTTTATCTTTATGTCTTCTTTGAATAGCTTTATAGTTTTGGCTCTTACATTTAGCCATTTGATCTATTTTGAATTAGTTTTTATATAGGTATAAGGTAGCGATCCCACTTCCTTATTTTGCATGTGAATATTCAGTTCTCTCAGCTCCACTTGTTGAAGAGACAATTCTTTCCCCATTGAATGGTCTTGGCACCCAGTTCAAAATCAGTTGACCATAAAAGTATGGGGTTTATTTCTGGACTCTTGATTCTATTCCATTGATCTATGTCTATCTTTATGCCAGTACCACACTGCGTTGATAACTACTGCTTATTTTCAGCCTTATTGAAGTATAAGTGACAAATAGGAATTGTATATTTTTAAAATATGCAACTAGATATTGTGATAAATGTATGTATTGTAAAATTATCACCATGATCAGGCTAATTAACATATCTATCACCTCACATAGTTACCATTTTCTTTCTTTTTTATGTGTGAGGATAACACAAGATCTATCATTTTAGCAAATTTCAAGTATACAATACAGTATTGTTAACTGTATTCACCATGCTGTATATTAGAACTCCAGAACAAATTCATCTTGCATAACTGAAATTTTATACTCTTTGACCAATGTCTGCTCATTTCCTTCTCACTCTCACCCCCAATCCCAGCAACCACCATTCTAGTCTCTGCTTCTATGAGTTTGGCTGTTTTAGTATCCATATGAGTGATGCAACATTTCTTTTTCTGTGTCTGGCTTATTTCACTTAGCATAATGTCCTCCAGGCTCATCCATGTAATTGCAAATGGCAGTATTTCTGTCTTTTTAGAGGCTGGATAATATCCTATTGTGTGCACACACACACACATGCACACACCACACACGCAGACACACACACACATGCACACACCACACACACACAAACACACACACATGCATACACCACACACACAGAGACAGACACACACACACACCACATTTTTTTTTTTACCCATTCAGCCATTAGGTTGTTTCCATATCTTGGCTACTGTGAATAATGCCACAGTGAACATGGGAGTGCATATATCTCTTTGAGATCCAGATTTCATTTCCTTTGGATATATACTAGAAGTGCTAGATCATATGGTAGTTCTACTTTTAATCTTTTGCAGAATCCTCATTTTCTCCACATTGTCAACAAGACTTGTTATCTTTGGTCTTTTTGATAGTAGCCATTCTAATAGGCATGAAGTGATATCTCACTGTGGTTTTGATTCGCATTTCCCTCATAAGTAGCAATGCTGAGCACCTATTTCTGTATCTGTTGGCCATTTGTACGTCCTCTTTTGAAAATTTTCTGTTCAGGTCCTTTGCCTATTTTTGATTGGATAATTTGGGGGTTTTTGTTTGGTTGGTTGGTTGGTTTTTGCTATTGACTTGTATGTGTTTCTTATATATTTTGGATATTAACCCTTAACATATGTATGGTTTACACATATTTTCTCCCATTCTATAGGTTGCTTTTTCACTCTGTTGATTGTTTCTTTTGCTGGATAGAAGCATTTTAGTTTGACACAATCCTCTTGTATATTTTTGCTTTTGTTGCCTGCGCAAAAAAATCATTGCCAAGACCAACACAGTGGAGATTTTCCCTTATGTTTTCTTCTAGTAGTTTTATAGTTTCAGGTCTTACATTTTAGCTTTTAAGTATTTTGAATTGGTTTTTATATGGGGTGAGATAAAGAGCCAACTTCATTCTTTTGCATGTGGGTATCCAGTTTTCCAGCATCATTCTTTGAAGATATTATCCTTTACCCATTGTGTGCTTTTGGTATCCTTGTTGAAGATCAGTTGATTTTAAATATATGGATTTATTTCTAGGCTCTCTATTCTATTCCATTGATTTTTTTATCTCTGTATTTATACCAATATCATACTGTTTTGATTAGTATAGCTTTGTAATGTATTTTGAAATTGAGGAGTGAGGTGCCTCCAGCTTTGTTCTTGATTGCTTTGGATATTTGGGATCTTTTGTGGTCTCATATGAATTTGGGGACTTTTTCTATTTTTATAAAGAATGATATTGAGATTTTGAAAGGATTTCATTGAATCTATAGATCACTTTGGTAGTATGGACATTTTAACAATATTCTCCTAATCCATGAACATGGGTGGAACATGGGATGTCTTTTCATTTATCTGTGTTGTCTGTATTTCATTTATTAATGGTTTATAATTTTGAACTTATTTTTGTGTGTTAAGCTTATATCCTGCAACTTGCCTGAATTTATTTAGTAACTCTAATAGTTTTGGACTTTTTTGGTATGTCTTCAGGTTTATCTACATATAAGATTGTTTCATCTGCAAGTAGAAGTAAGTTCACTTCCTTCTTTCCTATTGGATGCTTTCTATTTTCATTGTCTTACCTAAGTGTTCTGGCTAGAAGTTCCAGTATAATGTGGAATAGAAGTGGTGAAAGCAGGCACCATGGTCTTAGGGGAAAAGCTTTCAGTCTTTCACAATTAAGTATAAAGTTAGCTGTGTTTTTTATAAACGGCCTTTATTGCTTTGAAAGAGTTTCCTTCTATTCCTAGTATGTTGGGTGTTATTATTATGAAAGTGTTTGAGATTTTGTTATATGCTTTTTTGGCCTCAATTAAGATGATCACATGGGGTTTTATCTGTCCTTCTAATATTATGCTGATTGATTTTTACGTATTGAATCTTCCTTCTCATTTCTGGAGTATATCCAAATTGGTCATGATGTATAATACAATCCTCTTAATATGCTGCTAGATTTAGTTTGTTTGTTTTTGTTCAGGATTTTTGCATTTGTATTTATAGGAATAAGAGTCTATAATTTTTATGATGTCTTTATCTGCCTTTGATATCTGACTCATAGAATAAGCTAGTAAATATTCCTTCTGCTTCCATTTTTTGGGAGAGTTCAAGAAAGATTTCTGTTAGAGGTTCTTAAGAGGATCATTAGAATTCACCAAGGGAGCCTTCAGATCTAGGGCTTTTCTTTGTTGGGAGGTTTCTGATTCAATCTCTTTACTTTTGTAGTTCTGTTCAAGTATTCTATTTGTTTTTGAATGAGTTTTAATAGTTTGTGTGTCTCTAGGAATTTGTTTGTTCCATGTAGAGTTATCTAATTTGTTGATGTACAATTATTCATAGTATTCTCATAATCCTTTTTATTTCTGTAAGATCTGTAGCCTCCATTTTCATTTCTGATTTTCCTAATTTGAGTCTTCTCCCTTTTTTTCCATGGTCAAACTAGCCAAAGTTTTGCCAATTCTGCAGATAAAAAACCAACTTTTGGGTATGTTGAATCTCTCAATTGTTTTCTATTCTCCATTTTGTTTACCTCTGCTCCAATCTTTACTATCTCCTTTCTTCTCCCAACTTTCGGTTTAGCTGGATTTTCTTTTTCTAGCACCTTAAGATGTAAAGTTAGATTATTGCTTTGGGATTTTGTTAAATGTAAGCATTTTATACTTACATATTGCCTCTGAGCACTGCTTTTGCTGTATCCTATAGGTTTGGTATCTTGAGAAAATATCTCAAGATATTTTCTAATTTCATTCGCAATTTCTGTAATTCATTCATCATTTGTGTTATTTAATTTCCACACCTTTGGCCAGGCCCGGTGGCTCACACTTGTAATCCTAGCACTTTGGGAGGCTGAGGTGGGCGGCTCACTTGAGGTCAAGAGTTTGAGACCAGCCTGGCCAACATGGCAAAACCCCATCTCTATCAAAAATACAAAAATTACCCAGGTGTGATGGTGCACACCTGTAATCCCAGCTACTCAGGAGGCTGAGGCAGGAGGATCACTTGAACCCTGGAGGTGGAGGTTGCAGTGAGCTGAGATAGCACAACTACACTTCAGCCTGGGCTTTAGAGTAAGAATCTGTCTCAAAATTCCACATATTTGTGAATTTTGCAATTTTTCTTTTATTATTCTTTTCTGGTTTTGTTTCATTGTGGTTGGAAAAATCACTCATATGATGTCAATATCCTTAAATTTATTGAGACTTGGTTTGTGGCCTAACATATGTTCTTTTCTGGAAAATGTTCCATGTGCACTTGATAAAAATATGTATTTTGTTGTTTTGGGGTACAGTATTCTATATATTTTTATAAGGTCCCGTTGGATTATAATGTGATTCAACACATTTTTTTAATTGGTAAATTATTTACTTCTATCTAGTTGTTCAATATACTATTAATAGTGGGTTATTGAAGTTGTCAACTATTATCATGTAACTATCTATTACTCAATCCAATTCAAGCACTTTTTGCCTTAAATGTTTAGGGGTTCTATTATTAGGTGTGTATGTTAGTATACCTTCTTGAACTGACTTTTTAATCAATGTATAATTTCCTTCTTTGTGTCTTATAACAATATGTGTCTTAAAGTCTATTTTGTCTGATATTAGTACAGCCATCTCTGCTCTGTTTTGGTTACTATTAATGAAATATCACTCTCCATCCTTTCACTTGAAATCTGTTTTTGGATCTAAAGTGAGTCTCTAGTAGATAACATATAGATGCATCATGGTTTTTTAATTCATTCTGGCAGTCTCTATCATTTAATTAGAGAATTAAATCCACTTACATTTAAAGTAATTACTAGTAAGGAATAACTTCTGACATTTCGCTAATTCCTTTCTCTATGTCTTTTAATTTTTTTAATATTTTTAGTTAGCAAATCATTCTTGTATAGATTTATGGGACACAACGTGATGCTTTGATAAATGTAAATAATGTGGAATGATTAAATTAAGCTAAAATTGCCTGCATATCATTTTTCAAATAGTACTCTAGAAAAAATTAATGTCAAAAGAAGGCAATGATAGATGAATTAAGGAACAACCAATATTTAAGACAGGCTAAAGCCTACAACCACAATTCTTTCAGGATAAGGTCTATGTTGCTCCCTCTGGCCTTGTTAACCTGCACCAGGAATGTGGGCTGCTATCCTCATAACCTCTGCCAGTCTGGGACGTGGAGGACGATAGGCATGCAATTTGAAGTGCAGCTGGCTGCTTTTTTTTTTTGACAAAGTCTCACTCTGTCATCCAGGCTAGAGTGCAGTGACTCACTTATAGCTCACTATACCTTAAACTCCTGGGCTCAAGTGATCCTCCTGCCTCAGCCTCCTGAGTAGCTAGGGCTACAGGTGCATGCCACCACACACAGCTAATTTTAAAAAAAAAATTTGTAGAGCCGAGGTCTCCCTTTGTTGCCTAGGCTAATCTTACACTCCTGGCTTCAAGCAGTCCTCCCACTTCTGCCTCCCAAAGTGCTGGGACTACAGGTGTGAGCTGCCACACCCAGACACTGCTTCTTTCTTTACCAAGCCTTCCAAATTTTTTCACTAGATTCCAGAGTTCTGCCAACACTGTTTCTGACATTCTGACTAGCTCATTAGTTGATTTTCTGGAGGGACAGAGCCCTGAAGTCCCCAACTTTGCCATTTTTCTGTGATATCCTCTGCTCTCTTTTTTGTATTGCTTTTTCTCTCTGGCCCATGCAGTCCTGGAGCTGGCTGCTTCTTCCAGCAGAGTAATGAGATGTGGAGGTCCAAGTCTCCAGTGTGAGCTTAAAGGAGAGGGGTGGAGATTGTCCTGGGTCATAGTCCCAGGCTACATCCAACCTGGAGAATAGGAGACCAACTCACTATAAAACTACATTAGTTTAGGACAAAACCCCAGGAAGCAATAAAGAGATTCTTCTTCTGTTTTTGCTGACTGTGCATATCTCCCCTGGCAACCTCCTGGGAGGTGGAAGTTGGCTGAAGACAAAGCTTGGGTGAATCTACTCCCAGCTACCATCTTAATACCTTGGGAATATAAAAATGACCCTTTCCCTGGCACAGGACTCTACAGTTGTCCTGATCAGTGTCCCTGATCTTCTTTTACTTTCACAATGGTACTGGGATGTCACACAGTACAGAGGAGAAAACTCAAGCTCAGGGAGCACCAGAAACTTTCTCAAGGCTCTGACAGGTGAATTATAGGGCCAGGGCACTACCTCAGGCAGCACTCAGCTCCTCCCATTGTCCTTGAGCCCCATTGCACGCTCCCATAAAACCCCAGCTTTCTCTCTAGAAACCCTGGAAGACTCTCCTAAAGAGTGGACACCCCATCCTCTGCCTGCTCCCACCAGCAATGTGTTCTCATCAACAGAACAGCTAATAGACCAACCAATTGGAAGCTTAAACCCCTTTCAGGGATGTTTCCTCCTAGGCAGGCATTGAGGAGACAAGGAGAAGAAAGAGGTTGATGGGTTGATGTGTCCAGAAGCTTTGGGTTTTCTTTTCTTTTCTTTTTGAGATGGAGTCTCGCTCTGTTGCCAGGCTGGAGTTCAGTGGCGCAATCCCGGTTCAATGCAACCTCTGCCTCCCGGGTTCAAGCGATTCTCCTGCCTCAGCCTCCTGAGTAGCTGGGACTACAGGTGCACACCACCATGCCCAGCTAATTTTTGTAGTATTAGTAGAGACTAGGTTTCACCTTGTTGGCCAGGATGGTCTTGATCTCTTGACCTTGTGATCCGCATACCTTGGCCTCCCAAAGTGCTGGGATGGGTTTTCTTTTTTGTCTGTCTCATCAGTCCTCGCTCCTCCTGATTTACATCTCCCAGACACAGTGCTGCCCAGAATGATGCACAACACCCCCATGGAGTCTGCCTTGTATAAGACACAGGCTTCTCTTAAAGCTGCATCCCACTGGCCTAACACTTTTCTCTAACAGCAAGTCTTTTCACACTTTCTGAAGCCAAATGGTCCCAATCAAAGTCCTCAAAGTTTTCCCTCACAGATTTTATCCTGAGATATTTGTCCAGGTTGGCAAGATAATTTTAGATTTTGACTCTAAATAAATGGTCTTTCACCATGTTATCTGCAGATTTCATGAATCCCCTTGCTATGATAAACACGCTAATCAAGACGCGGGCTGGGACAGAGCCTGGTGGCCATCAGAGACTTCCCTCTAGGCCAACAGATTCACTAGTTAGTGCCCAGTGGAGATGCACACCGGACATTCTAGAGACCTGAGATGCGTGGGGACCAGAGCAAAGCTGCACTGGGACTACAGCAAAGCTGCTTTGATCCCACATTTTTGGTCTTCCTATCTTTCAGGAAAGACCAGAACAGCCTGCTTTAAAAACATTAATGAGGTAAAGGGATTATTAATTCAAAGCTTATTAAAGCCATATGTAGCTGCATGCATTCTAAGTCAAAATAAACTGCAATGTCCTGCTGATTTCTCTTGCGTCATGTCACCGGCTTATAGCAAGGGGAAGCCATGTGGAGCTGTGCTAATTACCAGGACCATATGCTGCGGGAAAATCAGGAGGTGTTATTAAAATGCCTCTTGGACTACTGCTCAAGCTTATGAGATTCTCTTCTTCCAGGACTGCAACTTGGTATTTGTTGATATTTGAGTAATGAGGCTGTCCGCACATATTTTTAGGTTTCCCTTTCACCGGGCAGTCTCCAAATACATTCCGTGGGCTGAGCTCTGTGCTATGTCTGAGCAGGGATCCCACCATCAACCACATGCAGCTTCAGCTCCTGAAGCTTTTCCTGCAATGTGAGTTCCCCAAACGGTTAACAAATATCAAACACACTTGCTTAGTATACGCTGGTTTAACAAATATCTATGGTGCATCCACTAGGTACAAAGCACTGTCCCAGGTGCAACAACCTTGGAAATAAGGTAAGTGACCACCATGCTTCTGGGAACCCCTCAGTTTGTAAGTCTTCCTTACCTTCCATGTTCTTTGCCTGCACTCTGCACTGTTTCCACAAGAACATTGTTTCAGGATTAACAAAGGATTCACCTAAGACACTCCTATGGAGTTTCCTCAGGAAACTTGGAATGACATGTAAAGCCACTGCAACAACACTGAACGCACTGGCCTTGCTGCCAGGAACACTGTCACCATCGCTGGGGACACAGCCAGGCCACATGCCAGGGACTATCACAGACACCATTAAATGTCACCATGCCCTGTGAAATGTTACAAGGGTCTCTATTTAACTGAGACTCAGAGAAGTTAAATAGCCGGGCTCCGGGTCACCCATGTTGGGAGGGTCAGAGGGGGCATACCAAAGAGCCCATCTACACACACTTTCCCCTGTACTGCCAACGTTTTTCATAAGCTCAATTCATAAAGACCTTTGACTTCCCAACTTGAGGCACATCGTGTAAAAGCACACATGATACCACCCAGCTCCAGGCTCACACACACATGTGCAAGGGGGAATGTGGCCTCTCTAAATGCCAGGAGCCTTTGATCTGAGGGTATCTCCCTCCCATGCCCTGCACAGTGCTCCCCCAGCTTGCAGCTTAACTGGGCTTCCCCATCAGCCCCTTCACACCCCCATGAGCCATGGGCTAGGAGGCTGCAGGTGCCACCTGCCCCCGCTACTGGCACCACAGCGCTAGCAGTCCGCCTTGCTCTCCTTGCAGTGCCTGCCCTCTGCTTCCCACTCCCTGATCTACTGTGGCTAGTCCCATCCTCCACCAGGCACTGATTCCCTGGACCCCCAACTCACATGGCCTCTCCCGCCCTACGGCTCCACACTTGGCTTCTCATGGTTTCCTACCACAGCAAGTAGGAGGGTTAGTTTTATGTCAACTTGGCTGAGCCACAGTACCCAAATATTTGGTCAAAAGCCAGTCTAGATGTTGTGTGGCTGTTTTTTAAATGAGATTAACATTGAAATCAGCAGACTTTGAGTAAAGCAGTCCACCCTCCATAATGTGGTGGGCTTCATCCAATCAGTTGAGGCCTTAGAGAAAAGACTGAGGTCCCCCAGGAAGAGGAAACTCTTCCTCCAGGCTGCGTTTGGCCTCAAAAGTCAAAATTGCAATATCAACCCCTCTCTGGGTCTCCAGACTGCCAGTCTGCCCTGCAGATTTCACACTCGCCAGCCTCCGCAATCACATGAGCCAATTCCTTAAAATAAATCTACACACACAGACACTCTTCCCATAGGCTCTGTTTCTCTCAGAAACCCTGAATAGTACAGCAAGAAAATGCTTATCAGACTGTTTGAACCTGAGTTCTTCACCAGACTGTATGACGCTTGAGGGCAAGGACATCATCTTATTCACTTCTGAAACCCTAAGCCTTAGCAAGTGGACAGACAATAAACAGGTGTCGAGTGAATAGAAAGTAGATGAGTTCAGACTCAGTGTGCTAAGACATGGCCTTTCCTGGGCCATTGCCAAGGCTAATAAAAGACCCTGAGCTGGAATATTTAATCTCCAGACTTAGCCCTGAGTATGCAAGAATGGATTTTTCCAGCACAAAGGCCTAACACTGACCAGTACCTCCATAACCCCTACAGCCCTGGGCTATGGGGATCCTGACCCTCCCTGCTATTCCCCACCCTCCACTGGGGCCAGCTTCCCCTCTTTGGAAGTGATGTCCTCTCAGTCTCTCTGCACTTGCACACTTAATGTGCACAGTGTCTGCCAGCCAGCCAGAGAGGGCACGCAAACTCACTCACACACTCAATCATACAAACGCACTCACACACACTCATGTACTCACACTCATAGGCATGTACACACTCACACTCGCTCCTGTGCACACACCCACTGAGACACACTGCAGTGTGCACAAACACAAGCACCATCACACACGTGCATATACACACACGTGTACACACATGCCTGGCCTTCCTCTCTGGTTCCCAAAGTAGCACCCCACTTGCGGGTGCCGAGGGATGGCTCCAGGCCATCAGAGCTTGAAGCAGAAAGATGAAAGATTGCTCTGAAACCCTCCTCACTGCAGTCATCTTCTGAACACAGAAGCCCCTTCCAGGTACAGCTGCAGTCACTCTCTCCTGTCCTCTCAGCACACCAGCAGTTGGGATGAACCAATCCATCTCCACACACAGGGCTGCCCAGCTTCCTACGCCCAAGAACAAAGCCCTCTCCTCCCTCTAACCGCGTCTCACACCACAGTCTCCTCTAGCCTAGTTCCTTTGAGTGACTGAGAAAAGGGTTTGGAGCCCTTCCAAATACCCCAAGCCAGGCAGCTGCAGGATGCTGTCAGTCAGGGCCTGAAAATAGTGTGTTAGCCACTGCAGAGGCCACAGACACAACCTCAGGGGCACTCCACAGCCTCACAGCCTGCACCCTCGCCTGCAGAGCCATGGCTCTTTCTGCTGTAATTTCTCACATTTCAATGGATCCTCACACAAGAACTGTGTTGTTTACATAGAAAGAAACTGAGATTAAATGAACTTTTAAGAAAATTGTACTATGATATGTGCAGATTGACCTCTGTCCTCAAACCCACCTTCTTTCTGTGCTGTCAATTTCCTTCTCAACATTGGTGCCCAAAATCTGATTAACCTGTATTTGACCTTATCATCTGCCTAAAGCTACATGTTTCATGTTAAATCTTTCATGTACAACATTGTGAAGCAGACAGACCATCTGCCATGCTTGTGACCAGCTCTGCAAATGACCCCATTGTGGTCAGAACCAGAGCAAATGGAATAGATGAAGGGTCCTTTTTTTCCCCTGAATTCCTAAATTTAACTCAAATCAACCCTAAGTCCACAAGTAAAATCTATGTATATTCAACCTTCATTCTCCTGGCTAGATTATCTATCCCGTATTTTATTTCTAGGAATAGATACTCTCTTTGCTGTTGTTACCAGAAAGGGGTCCCAATCCAGACCCCGAGAAAGGGTTCTTGGGCCTTACTCAAGAAAAGTATTTGGGGTGAGACCATAGAGTAAAGTGAAAGCAAGCTTATTAAGAGAGTAAAGGAATAAGGCTGGGCGCAGTGGCTCACGCCTGTAATCCCAGCACTTTGGGAGGCCAAAGCAGGCAGATCCCAAGGTCAGGAGTGTGTGACCAGCCTGACCAACATGGTGAAACCTTGTCACTACTAAAAATACAAAAATTAGCCAGGGGTAGTGGTGCCGTGCCTGTAATCCTAGCTACTCAGGAGACTGAGGCAGGAGAATCACTTGAACCCGGGAAGTGGAGGTTGCAGGGAGCCAAGATCGTACCATTGCACTCCAGCCTGGCCAACAGAGCGAGACTCGGTCTCAAAAAAAAAAAAAAAAGAAAGAAAAAAGAAAGGAATAAAAGGATGGCTACTCCATAGGCAGAGCAGTGGCTCAGTATACTTATAGTTATTTCTTGATTATATGCTAAACAAGGTGGATTATTTATGAGTTTTCCAAGAAAGAAGTGGGCAATTCCTGGAACTGAGGGTTCCTCCCCCTTTTAGACCATATACAGTAGCTTCCAGACATTGCCATGGCATTTGTAAACTATCATGGCACTGGTGGGAGTGTCTTTTAGCATGTTAATGCATTATAATTTGTGTATAATAGGCAGTCAGGATGACCAGAGGTCACTCTCATCACCATCTTGGTTTTGGTGGGCTTTGGCTGGCTTCTTTACTGCAGGCTGTTTTATCATCAGGTCTTTATGACCTGTATCTTGTGCCACCCTCCTATCTCATCCTGTGACTTAGAATGCCTAATCTGGGAATGCAGCACAGTTGGTCTCAACCTTATTCTACCCAGCCCCTATTCAAGATGGAGTTGCTCTGGTTCAAATGCCTCTGACGTCATGACCCAACAGATTTTTGAGTGTTCACTCTGTGCATGAGGCTGAGCCCAGGTTCATGTGAGCTGTGGTGGACAGGATGGGCCTAGTCCTTCCCGCGTGGAGATCACAGGCACTGAATCCACAAACACTCAAAAACACATAGGAATGTAAACCAAAAATAAAATCCTAAGCCCCCCCAACCAACTGAACAGAGCCCCTCTGGACCAAGAGGACCCCAGAGAAACCTGGAAAACTGAATTCCCAGCCATGACAGGGAGGTGGGACAGTCCTCAATCTACCCCCTCTCTTTTGGAGTTTGGGCACAACTGATTAGCATTAACTTTCAAATAGATGTCATAAGACTGAAAAAACAGACTCTTTGTGGTAATAAATGTGAACCCAGAAAATCTGAGACAGGTCTCAGTTAATTTAGAAAGTTTATTTTGCCAAGCTTGAGGACGTGCAGGTGGCACAGCCTCAGGAAGTCCTGACAACATGTGTCCAAGGTGGTCCGGGCACAGCTTAGTTTTTTACATTTTAGGGAGACATGAGACATCTGTCAACATATGTAAGAAGTACATTGATTCGGTCTGAAAAGGCGGGACAACTTGAAGCAAAGGCAGGAAGACTCAAAGCAAGGAGAGGGCTTTCAGGTGAACAGTTGCATTCTTTTGAGTTTCTGATTAGAATTTCCAAAGGAGGCAATCAGATATGCATCTATCTCAGTGAGCAGAGGGGTGACTTTGAATAGAATGGGAGAGAGGGTTGGCCCTAAGCAGTTCCCAGCTTGACTTTTCCCTTTAGCTTGTTGATTTGGGGGCCCCAAGAGTTATTTTTCTTTCACATTTCCCCCCTTTTCTTTTTTAAAATATTTTGGAGAAAGCATTTTACAACAAAATAAGTCCCTGGTCTCAGATTTCATCTGATCTCTCATGACGAGGATGGTTAACACTCATCTTTAGCAGATTGTGAAGTCTCATGTCCTGTGAAGAGAAAATAGTGGGGGAGGATGGGAGAAAAACAACAACAAACAAAGGAACAATCCTGAAAAAATCTATATAGGCCACATTACTCTGAAGTCCATACATTAGTAGGCAGGTATGAAAGTGGCTTATGTATGTAAATGGGTTGCTGTTTTTTTTTTTTTTAATTTAAGTTGTTTGGCTTCAGTTGGCAGGGTTTTAAGAAAGCACAGCTTAGTTTTCAGTGACTCCAAATTAGGAAAAATGGGAAAAAAGCAGGAAAAAAAGAAAAAATAATGAAAACATTATTTTGAAGACTTGTAGCCAAGAAAAAATTCTGCCAGAACTGTAGAAATAATAAAAACTGAAAAACATTAGACAAGACTAGAGTGTACTATAGTTTTTGAAACATAATTTTTCTCTCTCCAGTTTTCCATTTTTGCTAAAGACAAATCATGGTAGGATTGGTTTGCTTTATTATACTTGGCTTAATTATTTGTATACAGTGCAGCAAGAATAATTATATTTTTTACATAGGTTTTAAATTGGCTTTGATGGAGCTTTGTTCCATAGAAGGAATCCCAGATAAGACTTTTTTAAAGCCAGGCCCAACCATGGATTTGTGCCAGCAAATATCTGTGAGTTGGGTGAATTTTCTGTCCTCTTGAGGTTCCAAGATAAACATGGGGCTTCTGGGACTGTCAGAAAGTGATATTCTTTACTTACCACGGGCCAGAAACCCTGTACAGAGACTGTGTATACAAAATATGAGGCCAGATTTTCCAAGGGCTTTATTGGCGCCATAAGTCAAGTTTGACTCCTTAAAGGAAAGCACAACATTCCAGTCAAATCCTTGGTAAAATAACCAGTTTCTCCAATTGTGTCCTGTTACAAATGAAAACAGATTCTTACTGCACTTATGCAAATAACTGCATTGCCATAAGTTAGAATACTCACAAATAGTTTCCAAATTCTGGAGAAATCAGGTAGACAGAAATAAATATGCTCCAAATTTTGTTCATGGGAGTATACTAAATTGTTAAAAGGTATCAATAGCTCAAAAGAAAAGTTTTAAGACTCTGAAAAACAAAACAAAGGGTCAGCAACAGCTTAGTGATTTAGAGGCCCCAAGATTTATTTTCCTTTCACATAAGATAACAAATCCAACCTGATTCTAGCATTGCGTGACAGATAGCAGACCCTGAAGGAAATCAAAATATTTTTCCCCAGAATGTATTTCCTTGACATATTTTTGAATGGCCCTCCAAAGCCATCTTTTTGTGGGGGAAATTCGCATCTGTAGAGAATCTCCAATAACACAGCCAGGCCTTTCCTTTCCAGGCCTTTCCCAAATCTAAGTGAGATTAACTAAGTGTGTGACACTTTTTACGTTCTGAAAAGAGACATTTACAATTTATCTCTCTGATGTCTGCTACCTAATGAGGCTTCACCTACATAACAAGAACTCTGCCTCCACAATCCCCTTATCTTAAAAATTTCTTTCTACTGACTTCAAGTCTTCAGACAAAGCTTAACTCTTTCAACCAATTGCCTATCAGAAAATATTCAAATCCACCTATGACTTGTAAGCCCTCATGCCCCCTACTTCAAGATATCCTGCCTCTTTAGGTTGAACCAATGTATATCTTCCAAGTATTGGTTCATGATTTTATCTAGAATCCCTGTCTCCCTAAAATGTCTAAGACTAAACTGTAACCCAACCACCTCAGGCACATTTTCTCAGGACTTCTTTAGACTATTCCCCAGGCCATGGTCACTCATACTGGCTCAGAATAAACCTCTTTCAATATTTTACAGTTTGTTTTTCTGTTAACAGGAGGTTGTGAAACAGAGTGTCATGAAAGAGACCATAGAGAAGGCTACTTTGGGCCTGATGGGGAAGGCAACTCTGAGGAAACAGTATCTGACCCAAGACCTGGAGGCTGAGAACTTAGAGTAAGTGCGGTGTAGTAATAATGTTTGGTCTTTGTCCTAAAATCTGAGTGACAGTAGGGTCCTTTGTTATCCATAACAAGCCCGTTTGATCACACCTGAGTTTATGCTAAAAGGTGACTTAGTGTGGGGCCCCTAGATAGCCTCTGGATGGGGTTGGTCACCAGAAAGACCAAGGGATCCAAGGGTGGGAATTTTCAGCTCCACCCACTGGCCTCTGGGAAGGAGGAGGGGTAGCTGGAGGTTGAGCTCTGTAAAAACGCTTGAACAAGATTTGATGAGCTTCCAGGTTTGTGAACATGTGGAGGTGCTGGGAGGGTGGCACCCCTGAGAATCTCTGTACCACCACCACCACTAACTCATCCTCTGCATCTCTTCCATCTGGCTGTTCCTGAGTTGTTTATAATAAACTGGCAAATGTAAGAAAAGTTCTGTGAGCCATTCTAGCAAGTTATTGAACCCAAGGAGTGGGCCATGGGAACCTGGATTAACAGCTGTGTTGCCAGAAGTACAGGTGGCTCCAGGGACTTGTGAATGGTATGTGAAGTGGGGGAAGTCTTGTGGGACCCGGCCCCTAACCTATGGGATCTGACACTAACTTCAGGTAGACAGTTTCGGAAATGGATTGGATTGTAAGACACCCAGTTGGTGTCCAGAGAGGGAGAATTGCTTGCTGTGGGGAAGAAAATCACACATTTCGTGTTAGAAGTGTTGTGTGAGTAGAGAAGCAGTTTCCCAGAATCAGGAAAATGACATTTCATTCATCCCTGAATTTATTTATTCACTACACTATGGGTACACTAAGCCTTCTGGAAAGGGATCAGCTCCTTAATGCCACAGGTTCTGGTTGTTGATACTCCTTAATCTATCCTAAAATTGTAGCCCACTGTTTTTCCAAACAGGACCAGTGAACCTGTTGGAAATCTCTAAGGAACAATAGATCTAAAATAAAGGATGTTGGGAAAAAAAGAATGGTTAATATTAAAAAAAAAATACATTCTGTAAAGTACAAATCTTAGAACTCTGCATTGGTCCCAGATTAAGCTATGAAGTCACAGGTACAGACAGGACACAGAAGCATCTAGATTGTGAAGCCTTCACACCCCACAAGATCCCAAAGACCAGGCTAACAGTTCCTTTGTCAGTAAGGTTGGTCCAATAAGTGGGACCAGGGTATACGGTCTAAGAAAAAAACATGCCTGGACTCAGACAAGGCATTTGACAAGGCCTTTCATGAAATTTCTCTCACCACCATAAAGAAATATGAGCTACATATCAGTATAATGTGAACTTTAATGACAGGATACATCCCAAAGATTTCATTTCTGTGTGCTAAAGCAGAAATGCTTTCAATTCTGTGTGCTACACAATCGAGGATTAGAAATAAAAAAGAAAAGGGCCAGGCACGGTGGTTCATGCCTGTAATCCCAGCACTTTGGGAGGCTGAGGCAGGTGGATCACTTGAGGTCAGGAGTTCGAGACCAGCCAGGCCAACATGGTGAAACCCCATCTCTACTAAAAATACAAAAATTAGCCAGGCATGGTGGCAGATGCCTGTAATCCCAGCAACTCAGGGAGCTGAGGCAGGAGGATCACTTGAACATGGGAGGCGGAGGCTGCAGTGAGCTGAGATTGCACTCCTGCGTAGGTGACAGAGTGAGATGGCATCTCAAAAAAAAAAGGAAAGGTTTACTCTCATATCCATCAGAAAACAGATTATTAAATTAATTATTATTAATTATCAAAAAAAAAGGAAAGGTTTACTCTCATATCCATCAGAAAACAGATTATTAAATACAGTTTTCAACAAGATTCCAAGTGAGCAGTTAGCTACTTTCCCTCTTCAGTTCATCCAGCCCCATACAATTCATTCTTATTCTATGGCATCTTGGGTTGGCATCTGCTTTCATGAGCTCATCTGCTTCTGGCCTGAAAAGAGTCTGGGAAATCTTGACTTGGACTCACTGGTGCAGTTTGAAGGTTGTCTAAGCAAAGTCAGCTTAATCTCCAAAGTCTGTACCCATTTCCTGGAATGTGAGTAGTAAGCAGTGCCTACAACAGTCTTTTCCATGTGGTTCTGAAACTAACCTTGGTTGTCGAAGACCTAGTTTCTCAGCCTATAACCTAGAGCAGAGCTCTCAGGCAATCAGAAGAACGCAGACACTAGCTGTTGATGACAGAGCTGTAGTTATTTTATTACAGTACCCAACAACATCAAAATTGGGGGAGGGGGGAATCAAGCTCTATATTAGAATATCATACATAATTATTTCACATGGATTTAATCAGTGTTTCCTTTGCAGTTAAGAACACACACAAATCTTTGTGATTTTCTGGTGCCTATCTGGGAAATCACAAGGATGGTTCAAAGTGCTAACAAAATTCAAAATCCATTATTTTTCTAAATTTAGGGTTTGGTCTTGGGAAGGCAAAATCAAGATTATTATCAGAGGAGATTTGGTCACTCAGTTAAGATTGAACCAAGAGTGCCTAAGAACCATAGTTTGTTTACCTATTAGGAAAAAATATATACTTTTTTTTCAATAAACATGAAAGACGATAATAAGACTGAAGGAGCCCACATCTCTCAGAAGTGAAGAATTCCCTCCCATGTTCTATTTTAAATGAAAGACAAAACAAAGTCACCAAAAGCACAAACGTGTACCTGGGAACATAAGAAATAGGAAGTCAAGAAACTTTTACTTCCGCAGGTTAAAATTAGACTAAATGTTCTAAGCAGGTTATTTTATCAGAGAGAAAATTCATGCTGGGCTCAGTGGCTCACGCCTGTAAACTTACCACTTTGAGTGGCCAAGGCGATTGGATTGCATGAGCTCAGGGATTTGAGACCAGCCTGGGGAACATGGCAAAACCCCATCTCTGCAAAATATACAAAAATTAGCTGGGAATGGTGGCACGTGCCTGTAGTCCCAGCTACTCAGGAGGCTGAGGTGGGAGGATGGCTTGAACCCGGGAGGTGGAGGTTGTCATGAGCTAAGACAGTGCCACTACACTCCAGCCTATGTGACAGAGCCAGACCCTGTCTCAAAAAATAAAAAATAAAGAAAATTTAATTCCTAGTTTTTCAATAACACAATATCTGCTAGTAAATTATTTACACATTCCTTTTTTTTTTTTTTTTTTTGAGACAGAGTCTTGCTCTGTCACCCAGGCTGGAGTGCAGTGGCAGGATCTCAGCTCACTGCAACCTCTGCCTCCTGGGTTCAAGCGATTCCCCTGCCTCAGCCTCCCTAGTAGTTGGAATTACAGGCACCCACCCCGACACCAGGCTAATTTTTTTTTTTTTTGTATTTTTAGTAAAGACATGGTTTCACCATGTTGGCCAGGCTGGTCTTGAACTCCTGACCTCAAGTGATCCTCCTGTCTCGGCCTCCCAAAGTGCTGGAACTACAGGCGTGAGCCACCATGCCCAGCTAAACATTACAGATAAACAAGGAGGAACAGCTAGACTCAAGCAGGTGGTACTGGATGAGAGTTGGAGATATCAATGTGAACTCACCTTTAGCCTAAAATACAAATGTGTCTGCAGATGGATGAACATATACATATATGAACAAATTTATAGAGCTGTGTGCATGCACAGCCTAGAAGGAACGACACCCCAATACCATCAAGCACACCCAATGCCCATATCTTGGATTCAAATACTATTCTTCAATAAAACGAACCAGGATTCCTTAAAGAATTGGCTGATTCCAGGTCTGGGAAAATAATATACGAGATGAACCTGGAGCATTTTGTAGTGCAAGAAAGTAAGAAAATGCTAAAAACGAATGAAAAGCAAGTAATGCGAGCATGTCAAAGGGACACAGGAAGAAACTGAAAGTTTGCAAAGTTCAAATCTGGGACCATTTGAACAAGAAAATTCAGAAAGTAGTATTGGACTATAATTCAAAATATAAAATAAATATCCATAAAGCTGCAATGATTTAGATAAATGACTGGATAAATAAAGAGGGATGCAATGGTTAATTTTTTTCTTTTTTGTTTGAAACAAAGCCTCACTCTGTCACCCACGCTGGAGTGCAGTAGTGTGATCAGCTCACTGCAACCTCCACCTCCTGGGTTCAAGTGATTCTCGTGCCTCAGCCTCCCGAGTAGCTGGGACTATAGGCACACACTGCCACGTCTGGCTAATTTTTGTATTCCTAGTACAGACAGCATTTCACCATGTTGACCAGGCTAGTGTGCAACTCCCCATCTCAAATGATCCGCCTGCCTTGACCTCCCAAATTGCTGGGATTACAAGCATGAGCCACCGTGCCTGGCCTACAGTGGTTAATTTTATATGTCAACCTTTTTAAACAGAACAGGGAGCCTGAATATGTGCCAACTTGACTGGGATAAGGGATGCCCAGATAGCCAGAGAAACATTATTTCTGGGTGTGTCTATGAGGGTGTTTCTCAAAGAGATTAGCATTTGAATCAGTAGACTGAACAAAGAAGATCCACCTTCACCAATGCAGGTGAGCATCATCCAAACCATTGAGGGCCCAAATAGAACAAAAAGGTGAAGCAAGGGTGAATTGTCTCGTTCTTTTTGAGTTGAGACATTCATCTTCTCCTGTCCTCAGACATTGGAGCTCCTGGTTCTTAGGTTTTCAGACTTGGAATGAATTACACCATTATCCCCCCTGGGTCTCCAGCTTGCAGAGAGTAGATCATGGGACTTCTTGGCCTCCATACTCATGTGGGCCAATCTCTCATAATATCTCTCTCTCTCTCTCTCTCTCTCTCTCCTCTCTCTCTCTCTCTCTCTCTCTCTCCTATTGTTTCTGTTTCTCTGGAGAATTCTGACCAATGCAAGGTAGAAAAGACAAATCTCCTGTACCAAAAAATCCCAAATAGTTTATTATAGATACTGTTCCCTCAAGAAGGTGGAACGTAAGTCTCTGACCCTTAAGTGCTCATTGTGTATAGTGATTTCCTTCCAAAGGGTACATACAGTCTGGAAAGGGGAAACAGAAAATAACTTTACAGTAGGAAGACTGGCAAACACTGCCTAGCCAGGTGATCAAGGTCAACATCAACAATAAGCCATGGTGACAGCAGGCACCCCTGATATCATATGAAGATAATGGTACTTCTTTCTCCTCTGTAGCCTTCTTCCCAAAACCTCATAACCTGAGTCTAACCATTAGAAAAACAACAAACAAACCCCAGTTGAGGGATATGCTACAATACACCTGACAATACTTCTCAACGTAGTCAAGGTCATCAAAGACATGAAAATCTGAGGAAATTGTCATAGCCAAGAGGGTCCTGAGGAGACAGGATGCTGATGGAATGTGATGTCCTAGATGGGATCCCTGGACAATAAAAGAACATTAAGAAGAAACTAAGGGCTGGGCACAGTGGCTCATGCCTGTAATCCCAGCACTTTGGGAGGCCAAGGTGGGTGGATCACTTGAGGTCAGCAGTTCGAGACCAGCCTGGTCAATATGGTGAATCCCCGTCTCACTAAAAATACAAAAAAATTAGCTGGGCATCATGGCGGGCGCCTGTTAATCCCAGCTACTCAGGAGGCTGAGGCAGGAGAATCGCTTGAATCTGGGAGGCAGAGGTTGCAGTGAGACGAGATGGAGCCATTGCACTCCAGCCCAGGTGACAGAGTGATACTCTGTCTCAAAAAAAGAAAAAAAAAAAGAAACTAAGGAAGTCCAATAAAGTATGAATTTTCATTAATAACAGTATATCAATATCAGTCCATTCATTGGTACTAATTCATCACTAATCCACAGTAATGTAAAATATTAACAACAGGCGAAACTGGGTGCAGGGCATCCGGGGCCTCTCTGCACTATTTTTACAGTATCTCTGTAAATCTAAAACTATTCTAAAGTTAAAAGTGTATTTTTAAAATCATGATATGACTATTCCATCACTACTGAATAAAATTTGCCAAGATTCTTAACACATACCATTGTTTCTTTCAGACACTTAATTTGTCGTTATTTGAAGACAAATAAGTTTGCCTCTCTCACACACTCAAGTTTCATCTGTCACCACACTCTGCCTATTCTGGAATAACTTGATCTAGAGCATGTTTGTGTACATCTCAAAGAATCAGGCAAAGAAAGAGATATTATGATCTGGAAAAAAAAGTATTTTGTATTATGATCAATACAAAAATTCCTGTACTGATATTGAGTTTGGTATGCATACCATCTATGTGTCAGGGCCTGGTTTCTGCATCTCACATGTTGAGATCTATTTAACACCTCATATCAACTCTATAAGAGACATTACCACCCTTTCGCTAACATGGAAATTCAGGCACAGTTTCTCTAATGGGGGAAAATCCTGAAAAAAAAATGTAATGAAGATGAAATAAAGTTATGTATGTACAACACTTAGTGCCTGGGGTGTCTTTTGTGCTAAACAAATGTTAACTACAATTTAGTTTTTTATTTTAGAAATCCCGCTTTCATTGTAAGCGTGTTTGAGATCCTCCAACTATGTTCATGGATCTGGATATGCCACTCAGCCCTTGTCACTTATTTTCTTAATTGAAATTTTTATTGAGACAATTTGTAGGTTCAGATGCAGTTGCAAGAAATAATACAGAGAGATCCCACACACCTTTCACTCAATTTCTCCTAATGGTATTACTTGCAAAAATGACAGTACAATTTCACAATCAGAATATTAATACTGATATTGACACAGCTGACTAATCTTATTCAGAATTCCCCAATATTACCTGTACTCATTAGTGTGTGTATATTTAGTTCCATACAGTTTTGTCACATGTATAGGTTCATGTATTTACCATCATAGTGAAGACACAGAACACTGCATCACCACAAGCATCCCTGTGTTGTCCTTCTACAACCACCCACCCCTCCCTCCCAGCTCCACCACTCTACCCCTAAGTCTGTTATCCAATAATCCACTCTCCATTTCTAAAATGTTGTCATTGCAAGAATATTGTATACATGGAATCATACAGTATGTAACCTTTTGGGATTGGCTTTTTCACTCTACATAATTCTTGGAACTTCAACAAGTTGCACAGATCCCCAGTTTGTTTCCTTTTGTTCCTGAGCAATATCCCATGGTATGAATATACCCCATTTTATTTAACCATTCACCTGTTGAAGGACACCTCGGCTGTTTTCATTTCACCAGTGAAATGTCTTTGAATATTCAGGTACACATTGTTGTTTAAACATAATTTTCATTTATCCGAGATAAATGCCCACAGGTATGACTACTGGGTTGCATGGTAGTTGGCATGCTTAGTTTTTTAAGAGATTGACAAACTGTTTTCCAGGAGTGGCTGTGCCGTTTTACATTCTCACCAGCAATGAATGAGGGATCCAGTTTCTCCACATCCTAGCCAACATTTGGTGTCATCACTATTTTTTATTTTAGCCATTGTGACACTTGTGTAGTAATAGATCATTGTGATTTTCGTGTGCATTTACCTGATGGCTAATAATGTTGAACACTGTCTCCTGTGCTTATAGCCATCTCTATATGCTCTTCAGAAAAATGTTCACAGCTTCTGTGCATTTTGTAGTTGAATCATCTCTTTCTTTACTGTTGAGTTTTGAGAATGTATATATTCTAGATACCAGTTCTTTGTCAGATATGTGGTTTGCAATATTTTCTCCTAGTCTATAGCTGGCCTTTTTATCCTCTTCTCGTGGCCTTTTGCAGAGCAAAAATTTTTAATTTTGATAAAATCCAATTTATCCATCAAAATGCCCTTCGATGGATCATGCTTTTGGTGTCAAATCTGAGAAATAGCCCCAGATCTTAAATATTTTCTGTTTTCTCCCCCAAAAGGTGTATTGTTTGACATTTTATACTAACACCATGATCTATTTGGAGTTAACTTTTGTGTAAGATGCAAAGCTTAGGTTGAAGTTCTTTTTTGTTTCTTTTTTTGTTTTGTTTTGCTTATTTGTTTTGCCCATGGATGTCCAATTGTGCCAGCACCATTTGTTGCAAAGACTGCTTTCCTCCATTAAATCGTTTTTGAATCTTTGTTAAAAATCAGTTGGGCTCATTTCTGTCAGTCTATTGCTGGATTCTCTGTTTTGTACTATGGATTTGTGTGTCTGTCGTTCCCCAATACTACACTGTATTGATTACTGTAGCAATATATACCTAACATTTACCCAGGATTACTCTATAGCTACAGCATATATTGCTAGATCTATTTCCAGTGTCTCTGAAGGGCCGTAGAATCTCACTCCTGCAGCAACAAAGGGGCTTCTAGGCCAGCCCACCTGTGGCAGGATTCCATCTGAGTGTTGCCCAGCTGCTCAGTACTTCTTGGTCGGGAGGGGCATCTGGGATCCAGAAGGAAGGAGAACACTTCCCTGCTGGCTGCTTATGGCTAGTGGGGTCCCTGACCAGTCTCTCTTGTGCCTCTCACCTCCTTTGATGATAAGGTCTCTCTTTCAATCTAGGGGATAGACATGCCCACCTGGGCCACCTTCTATCACCTTCGTCTGTTGGATGGGGGGTATAAGACCCCCGTATTGCATTGCTTTTCAGTTCTTGGTCCCAAATCAGGCCACTTCCCTCCTTCCACCTTTCAGAGTTCTCCTCTGGCACTCTTGCTTTATTTCCAGGGCTGATTCTGGACTTGGCAGAGTGTGGCAGAGAGAAATGAGCCTTTGCCATCTTGTTCAGGCTGAGAGTTTCATCATTATTTTTATATAGCAGAACCTTGGCTTGAAAATTCAAGCCTTTTAACCCATTTCTCCTTGTGTAGCTTTTGTACTATGCTGAATTTTAAAGGCAAATTGATCTAAGCAAATGAACAGCAGGATAATTTAGATTGTTAAGGAATTTCAGCATCATTGGTCCTGGTGCTATTTCAGAACTTCCAAACAATGGTACATAAATGAGCTCCAGTTCCTCACAACAGACCAATTGTCCATGTGGCCGGCCCACATTGTCATGAAATTCAAACCACTCTGAAAATCTGTCTTCTTTCAAAAAAAGATGGAAGCCTATAAAAGCTGTGACTTGAAACCCTTGACAAATGTCCATTATGTAAATCTATTGTCACACCAAGTGTAGAAATAAAAAGAGAGAATGAAGCAAATCCCACATAGACTAGAATTGTAACCATGACTCCAACTGCTGCAGGCCCCCCCAGAGAAACTATAATTAGTTTTCTCATCTTCCTACACCCCACACAACCAAATGTTCAATTTTCACAAAGTGTTGTTAGTCGAGGCAACACTTCACAGTGAGGCGTGATGCTCACAGAGCTGAGTTGTAGCACGTTATTAAGCCACTGATAGTGCATGAGCCCAACCCAAGACACTCCAACCAACAGGTCCCTCCAGTGGCACATGCTGCACTTCACTCTCCTTGCAGCCTCCTGGGAGCAGCTCCTGGTGAATTTTTCAACTCTTTCTTTGTGTCCAGATACCTCACTTTAGTAGGATTTGGAGTCATAAATGAAATACTGAGCTGAGAACTAGAAAGGGTGGGAAGCAATGGAGTGCAGTTCATTCACTTATTCACTCTTTCACTCACTCAACAGACCTTGCCTAGCTACTCTGTGCCACACAGAATATTGGTGTTCTTATGGAACTTTAGAGTCCAGTGGGGAGATCCATATTGGACAAGTACTTAAGGTCATTAAACAATGGAAGATACTAGACAGGAGAACTGCCCAGTGCAATGGAAGCATATGAGAAAGGGTCCCAAAGTGGCCTGGGGTGTCAGAGGATGCCCTCCGGGGAGGTGAAAGCTGAAATAGAAACAGAATATGAGTGAGAGGCTGTCCCTAAACACCTATAGTTAACTCTGTTCTAGGTCAGTGGCAATCCCATACAGCCTCCTCAGAGTCACTCTTCTCAAAGTCCTCCCATGACACATCCAGAACTTCCTTCCTGATCTCATCTTCCCATGACCATCCAAATTAGTCCCCCTAAAACCTATTCTCCCATGACTGTCCACACCTTCCTAAACCCATTCTACATGACAAGTCCAGAGCAGCCTTCCTAAAACCCATATTCCCATGACACATCAAGGCCAGACTTCCTAAAACTCATTATTGCAAAAATACAAATTCACAGATTAAAGAGGTTCAAGACAAAAACTGCATCAAGTCATGTCATATCATATTGCTCAAAACCACTGATAAAAGGGAAATCTTAAAAGTCATTAGAGAAGTAAGACCCATTAAACAGAGGGGAGTGAAGACAAAGATGAGAGCAGACTTCTCATGTAACACTGAAGACATCTTTAAAATGCAAAGAAATATCACTGTCAACCTGGAATTCTTAACTCAAAGAGAATACCTTTCAAAAGAAGGTAACAAAAAAAAGACATTTTCAGCCATATAACAGTCAAAAGAATTTTGACTCCAGCAGGTCTGCACTATGAGAGATGCAAACAAAAGAAAAATTACACGAGATGGAAATCTGTACCCACCCAAAAGAATAGAGAACAGCAAAAACAGTAATTAAATGAGTAAATATAAAGAATTTAAAAAGTAAACCTTTGTAAAAGATAAGCAAACGTTTAGAGCAATCATAATAATATACTGTAGAATTGATAACATCTACAGAACATATATATTATATTAAAATATATAAAATGTACTACAACAATAGCACAAAGAACAAAAAGAAAGAAATGGAAGTATACTCATTTAAGTCCTTTTACTGCATATAAAGTGGTATCATATCACTCAAAGTTAGACTCTGATAAGTAAAAGATATATATCATAAACTCTAAGGAAATCACTAAAATATCACAACAAAAAATTAGCTAATAATACAACAAAGTAAATAAGGAATTGTTTTTAAATGTTCAATAAATCCAAAAGTAGATAGAGAAACAAGGAAAAAGGAACAAAGAACAGATGGGACAAATAGAAAACAAATAGTAAGATGATAGAGTTAAACCCAACTATGTCAATGATCATGTTAAGTATAAATGGTCCAAAAATCCATTTAAAATTTAGATACTGTCCAGTGCAATAAAAAAAAAAAAGTAAGCATATACTACCGCCTATGGGAAATTTACTTTTTTGCTTTATTTTGTTTTGGAAATTCACTTTAAAGACACAGGTATGTTAAATGTTATGAATGGGAAAAGGTATACTATGCTAACACTAATAAAAAGAAACCAACTGTGTCCATTATACCTCAATAAAGCTGGAAAAAGGAGAGTGATAGCATATTAATACCTGAGAGAGTTGATTTCAGAACAAAGACTATTACAAGGGATAAAGAGACTCTTGTTATAATGATACAGGTGTCAATTAATCAAGAAGATATAACAATAATCCTAAATGCTTATGTACATAAAAACAGAACTTCAAAATACAAGAAGCAAAACTTGATATAGGCAAGTAAATATAGACAAATCCACAGGTAGACTCAGAGATGTCAGCATCACTCCCTTAATAACTGATAGAGTATGTAAACAAATCATCAGTAAGGGTATTAGAGATATGCACAACAGCATCAATTAACTTGACCCTAATGACATTTGTGGAACACACCACTCAACAGCAGCAGAATACACATTCTTTTCAAATGCATATGGAACATTTACCAAGATCAACCATATTCAAAGCCATGAAACAAGACTTAACAAATTATTTATATATTTATTTATTTACTTATTTATTGTATTTTTGATACAAGGCTTCACTCTGTCCCCCAGGCTGGAGTGCAATGGCATGACCATGGCTCACTGCAGCCTTGAAATTCTAGGCTCAAGCAATCCTACTGCCTCAGCCTTCTGAGTAGCTGGGACTGTAGGCACACATCACCACACCCAGCTTATTTTTTTTATTTTTTTGTAGAGACAGAGCCTCAATATGTTGACCAGGCTGGTCTTAAACTCCTGACCTCAAGCAGTCCTCACATCTTGGCCTCCCAAAGTGCTGAGATTACAGGCGTGAACTACCACTCCCAACCCTAATAAATTTAAAAGGACTCTATCATAAAAATATGTTCTTAGACCACAAAATAAAATTAAATTGGAAATCAATAATAGAAAGGTAGCTAGAAAACTCCCCAGATTTTTAGTAACTAAAACCCTGTTTCTAAATAACACATTGATCGAAGAGAAAATCAAAAGAAAAGTTGGAAAATATTTTGAGCTAAAATAAAATATAACAACACATCGACACTTGTAAGATGCAGCCCAAGCAGTGTTTAAAGAGAAATTTATAGCACTAAATGTCTACATTAGAAAAGAATGTCTCAAATCAATGATTTCAGCATGCATCTTAAGAAAATTTTAAAAAGGAAAGCAAATAGAAACCTAAGTAAGTACAAGGGGGTAAAATCATACAGATCAGAGTGAAAAACAATGAAATAGAAAACAGAATGGCTATAGAGAAAGTGAATGAAATCAAAAGCTGGTTCTTTGAAAATATCAGTATAATTAATAAGCCTTCTAGCCAAGTTGATCAAAAACGGAAAAGAAGAAACAAGTCACTATCATCAGGAGTTAGAGAAGTGGTACCACTTCAAGTAATACAGATATTAAGAGCATAATAAGGGAATACTATAAATAAATCATACTAATAATTTTGGCAACTTCGACAAACTCAAGAAGTTCCTCAGAGGACACAAAGTACACGCACTCACTCAAGAAGAAAGAAACCAAATAGCCCTATCATCTATTAATGAAATTGATTTGTGTAGTTTAAAAATAGCCCACAAAGAAAACTCCAGGCCCAGGTAGCTCCATTAGGAAATTCTATCAAATATTTAAAGAAGAAATTAAACCAATTCTACACAAACTTTGCCAGAAAAATGAAGAGTAAAGAACATGTTCTAAGTCATTATGAAAGATAAGAATTATTCTGATATCAACACCACACATACACATTCCAAAAAAGGAAAATTACAATATATTTCATGCACATAAGTAGAAAAATCCTCAAAATTTTAGCAAATTGAAAGTAACAAAATATAAAAAGATAACAAATCATAACCAATTTAGGGTCAATGCAAGTTTAGTTTAAAATTAGAAAAATCAAGCAATGTAATTCACCATATTATTAGATAGAAAGAAAAATCCATACGGTCATCTCATTGCAAGCTGAAAAACATCTGACAAAATCCAGCATTGATTCCTGCTAAAGATTCTCAGCAAACTAGCAATAGAAGGGAACTTCCTCAACCTTATAAAGGGCATGTACAAACAACCCACAGCTAACATACTGATAAAAGACCGAATGTTTCCCCTAAGACCAGGAACAAGACAAGAATTCCACTCTCGCCATTTCTATGCGACATAGTATGGGAGGTTCTGGTCAGTGCAAAAAGGCAAGAAATAAGAGGTGTTCAGATGGGAGTGGAGAACAGAAAGTCTTTTTTAAAAATAGATCTGAAATAATTGGAGATTTCATAGGTAACACACATGCAAAGGAAGGAAGGGAGGAAGGGAGAAAGGAAAGAAGAGAGGAAGAAAGGAAGGGAAGACGGGAGGAAAGAAACTTTAATTCATGGGTTACACCATATACAAAATGAACTTAGTTAATCACAGACCTAAATGTAAAGCCTAAAACTGTTATACTTCTACAAGAAAATACAATAACAAATCTTTTTGATTTGGAGTTACGCAAAAATTACTTAGATACAGCATAGGCATGATCCATAAAAGCAAAAACTGATAAATTGATCTTCAGGAAAATTAAAAACTTCTGCTCTTATAAAGACATTATGAAAAGAATTTTTTTTAAAGCTACAAAGTGGGAGAAAACATTTTCAAAATTTTCTCAGCAAACCACCAAAAATAAGAGAATAAACCAAGAAAGAAGAAGATGGAAGTTCCATGAATCAAGGCGCAAATCCAGGGAAGAGGCTAAGGATTTTCCCAGGATACCGGAAGACAGAAGTCCCAGGAAGGCAGTTTTGAGAGGGCCTAGAGAGCAGCCACTCCACGTGGGAGCTGGAAGGCAGAGACTTCCAGAAGAGACGCCTCCATGACCAGCAATATCTGCCACAAAACCTGCTGTGTTTTGAACATACTGAGAGATTTTTCAGTTCAAGGGGAATTAGTGCTAGTGTGACGGTTAATTTCATGTGTCGAATTGGCCAGGCCACAGTGCCCAGATATGTGGTCAAACATTATTCTGGATGTTTCTGTGACTGTATCTTTGGATGCAATTGACATTAAATCTGCGGACTTTGGCCAAAGCAGATTGACATCTCACAGGAGTGGGCCTCATCCAACCAGCTGAAGGCCTGAAGAGAACAAAAGACTGACCTCCCTCAAGCAAGAAGGAGTTCAGCAGCAGATGGCTTTTGGACGTGAACTGCAGCATGGGCTCTTCCCTGGGTCCCCACCCTGCTGGCTTCCTCCATCAGATTTTGGATGCACCAATCCTCCACAATGATGTGAGTCAATTCTTTAAAATAAATCCCCTCTATATGTACACATGCTGTTGGTTCTGTTTCTCTGGAAAACCCTGACTAATGCAGATTGCATTAGCTTTCCAGACTGCAATCTGTTTGCTTACCAACAACCACCAGACTGCTATGCCACAATCACACATTAATCACTTCGGTTATGGCACCTTCCTGCTTCAAGAAACTAACTTCTGGTAAGGTGAAGCTAAGCTGCTGTAACAAAAGGACCCCAAGATGCAGAACTTCGAAAAGTAAAAAAATGCATTTCTCTGTCATATAACAGGTCAAGTTGAGCATTCCAGGTTGGCAGGATGGAAACAGTGGTGACATAGCTTCCCCTGAGCTGTGTTCTGCTGCCCAGGCCTTCATCATTGCCAAAACAGGGCCTGAGCCACATCTAGCATGTTGCTGGTGGGAAGTTAGAGCAGAGACTAAATAAATCATGCCCACTACGAACACCTTGGCTTAGAAGTGTCCCTCATCACTTCTGCTCACATTTCACCAAAAAAGAGTTTGTCACACAGTCTCATTTACCTGCAAGGAAGGCTAGGAAATGTAGTCAAGCCACATACTCAGAAGAAGAGGACAGATGTAGTTGGTACACACTTAACAATCTCTGCTCTGGGTACCCAGGAATCTGTGTAAACACAATAGCAAGAGAATGACTGACTTCTGGAAATGAAAACTTGTACAAGAACAAAAATAAAATTATAGTATTCTACATGTCAGAGCTTCAAATGATATTTGCCTATTAGAAAATGTAATCACTAGTGTATTAGTCTGTTTTCACACTGCTATAAAGAAATATCAGAGACTGGGTAATTTAGAAAGGAAAGAAGTTTAATTGACTCGCAGTTCTGCATGGCTAGGGAGACCTCAGGAAACTTACAATTGTGGTGGAAGGCAAAGAGGAAGCAAGGACCTTCTTCACAAGGCAGCAGGAGAGAGAAGAGTGAGCAAAGGAAGAACTTGCCAAACAAGTATGAAACCATCAGCTTTCATGAGAACTTACTCACTGTCATGAGAACAGCATGGGGGAAAACTGCCCCCATGATCCAATCACTTCCCACCAGGTTCCTCCCTCAACACCTGGGGATTACAATTCAAGATGAGATTTGGATGGGGACACAAAGCCTAACTATATCAACTAGTTATTAATCTAAATTCTGTGATTAAACTGTATCAGCATTGTGGGGCCAAGGGAAGTATAAGTTATGTATGTGAAGCTGCACAAGAGACCTAAATCTTCACCTCTGCCACAGAAATAGCAGATAACATCCAAACCTAGGAAACCAAACACTGCAAAAGAAATTTATTATTTAGGAAAAGGGAGATAAAGGACAGATAAGTCCTCAAAAAGTTGAAAATGGTTGCCACGGAGGAATAAGAATTTGGAATGGGTACAGATAGAGCAGATGACTGCTGTTTTTAATTAAAAGTCTAGAGTATTTGGCCTTTCAAATCATGCACATGTATTACTTTGATGAAATATAAAGTATAATTTAAAGAACTTAAGCCAGGTGCGGTGGCTCATGCCTGTAGTCTCAGATACTCAGGAGGCTGAGGTGGGAGTATCACTTGAGCCCAGGAGTTTGAGTCCAGCCTGGGCAACATAGCGAGACCCTGTCCCTTAAAAAAAATAAAATAAAAAGACGATGTAGAAATGGTAAGGAGAAGGATTGGAAGGAGAGCCTCCAGCTATCCACGTGGGTCAAGTGCCCAGCTGGGCTAACCAGCTATGACCAGGCAGCCAGTAGGGTCGAGAAGGAATATGGCAGCTTCTATAAGAACGACAGGGGAGCAAGGCAGGAAGTAGGATGCTTCCCAAAAGGACAGGGCCAGTCTTGAAACTGGGGAGGCTCTTTGGGTAGGCAAAAATAACAGGTGTCCACTGCTGGCCCAGCTTTGGATTGATTTCTATTTGATACAAATCCATTCAGAAAAACTTCACTGAGCATCACTTTAGCCCCCGGGTCAGTTCTAAAGTTGTGGATACAAAAATGAATCCGACACAGGCCTTGCCCTGCTCATAATAACAAAATCCACCAAAAGTGCTTTCATCCTGTGCCAGGCTCCACTCACATCTGCAGGTATTAAATCGCTTAATCCAAAAAGCAATCCTCCTGGGTGAGCACTAGCATTAACCCACTTACAATGAAGGAACTGGGGTTAACCAACCTCCCCAGCATCCCCGGTCAAGGAAGCTGAAAGGTAGGCCCAGGCAGCCTCTGACCCCACACAACAATGATGAGAACACACATCTCGTATTATTTCCCAGGTGCCAGACACTGACAGGTGCTCTGCTGGTATTTTATGATTTAATTCTCACAAAACTCTATGAAGAGAGCACTGCTGGTGTTTGCATTTTACCTGTGAGACTTAGAGAGAATTGTCTGCCTCACGGATGACCTTCAGTAGTGAGGGTGACTTGGGTCCTTTGGGAACTCTCACCTATCCCACCCCAGTTCCTATGGACCCCAACTTCCAATCCTGGGCATGCCCCAGACTCTGTAGAGGCCACGCAGCGGTTCAGCACTGAGGCATCCAGAATTCAACTCTCCTCTGCCTTCTGCCCTTAACACCAAGGCCTTCTAAGGCAAAGATTTTGAATCCTGAACAGGGGTTGCCACTATCTACGGGTCAGGCTGTATTTTAAGGCACTGCAGAGGTGGCAGCTTCACTGCATGCTTTCTTTTCATTTCTTTTTCCTGCTTTCCTTTTTCACTGGCCTCCTGGAATGTTCTGTCCCAGGTCTCCACATGGTCCCTGCCCAAAACACAGGCTCACCCAACACCCACCCTTCCCTATTTGTTTCCCCTGTGTCTTCTCCCCAGCTGGCACACAGTTCGGCTCACTTATGATGTTTACCGTCTTTCTCTACCCCAGGATGTAAACTCAATGGGGCAAAGATTTTTGTCTGCTTTGTTTACTGATTTATCTTTAGCACCCAATAGAATGTCTCACAATGCTAAGTACTCAAAAATGTTTGAAGCAATGAATGGAAAAAAGAATGAATAAATGTCTTCCAACTTGCTCCCTCTTGCCCAAGGGTTGCCCCAGAGGCCCTCAGGGCAGTAAATCATCTAAGTTCTTATATTCCTGAAAATATTTTTATTTTGCTGTCATATATAAATAAAAATTTAGCCAGGTGTGGTGGCGTACACCTGTGATCTCAGCTTCTCGGGAGGCTGAGGCAGGGGAATCACTCAAGCCCAGGAGTTTAAGACCAGCCTGGACAACATAGTGAGACTCCATCTGGAAAATAATAATAATAATAATTTTCTGAGTTATAAATGAAAATTTATCTGACATAAAATTATAGGTTCAAAGTACATTTCCATCAACATTTGAAGAAAACACTCCTTCAGCTTTGTTCTTGGGAGATATAATGTGATTCTCTTGTTCCTCTAAAGGTGGAAGATGTTTCTCACTAGAGGCTTCTAGAGCCTTCTCCTTGATTCCATGGTCTCCCATGTCAGTGAGATGTGTGCAAATGGTGTTTTCTTATGTATCACCCCTGACACTCTGTGGCTTTTTCAGAAGGAGGCTCAGCATCTCTTGACAGATCCTAGTGTATTGTTATTACTCAATGTTTCTTTGAGTATTGTTCCCCGTCAGTCTTTCTCACATCTCCTCCTGGGTAGACATCGGCACCCTGTAGTTGCATCTTTCATTTGTCTTAATGTCTTGCTGGGACTTTGGGAGTTCGGTTGGCCATGGTCCACTCCTGCTCTCAGCCCTGCCCCTGGGGCATCACTGAATCTGTCCCCTCCCAAATTTCCTGGCCCTTTTTTCCTTTGGAGCAGCCACCTGCCACTCAACCACTTTGTCCACTCAGGAGCTGGCCAGCCCGTGTGTACCTGCTACTACCACAGATATATACTGCCCCTCGATCCTCAAAAGGACTGGGGGCCAGTTTTGGGACCTAACTAAGCAAACAATAAGCTGCAATACTGTACACAGTGACTCCCTAGGAGCAGACACTGTAACATGAGAAGAATGACCTCTGTGTCAGGGGTCTCCAGAGAAATAGAACCAACAGGATGGATAGATGGATGGATGGATAGACAGACAGACAGAAATAGATAGATAGGTAGGTAGATAGATAGATAGATAGATAGATAGATAGATAGATAGATAGATATAGAATAGATAGGATAGATATAGATAGAAGGTGTTAGATAGATATAGATGATAGATAATAGTGATAGACTAATAGATACATGATAGATAGATTAATAGATACATGATAGAGATAGATAGAGATGATAGATAGATAGAGAATTGGCTCACATGATTATGGTGGCGGAGAAGTTCTGAGCTCTGCAGGGTCAGGGCAGTGTGAAGACCCAGAGAAGCCAGTAATGTAAGCTCCAATCTGAAGGTCAGCAGGCTTGAGAGTCAGGAAGAGCTGATGTTTCCGTTCAAGTCTGAAGGCAGGAAGAAGCTGACCTTTCTGTTTGAAGGCCATCAGGCAGGAAGAATTCTCTTGCTCTGGACAGAATCCACCATTTTGTTCCATTCAGGCCTCCATTCACATAAGGGAGGGAATCTGCTGCCTGCAGTCCACCAGTGTCAAGGTCAATCATATCTAAAACACCCAACCTAATCATAGACCAAATGTCTGGGCACTCGATGGCCTGGGCAAGTTGACACATACAAGTCACCACCACAGTCCCCATGGGAGATGTGTCCTGGATGTGTGGAGGCCAGAGCAATTCAGTCTGGAGGGTGACGCCCTGAGCTGCACAGTCTCCATATTCTCTCTTCCAGGAGACACTCCTGAGGAGAGGCTTCAATCAGCCGCTTCCTAGATGAGTGACAGAGGCAGTGAGGGTCCCAGACACCATGTCATGTCAGTGATAGGGAGCAGGTATGGGTCTGTGTTCCTGGAGAAGAGGACTTCAGGGAGCCCTGACGGACAGCCCTGGGAGACAGGCATGGCCATGGAGGGTGGATGACCAAGATGTCAGAGTCCAGCTCAGGATTTCAAATACCCAGCCCTGGAACTGGGACCACTTCTCAGCAGCAAAGGGTTCTAGTGCTCCAAGTCAGTTATTAACCAGGATAACTACTTCTTTCTCATCAAAGTTCATTCTCTTGCCCTTCAACGGCACCAATGGATGCTAAAATGATGTGGTGATGCTGTGCCTTTTTTTCGCTGCTTCCAATCTGGGAACACACATTTTCCTCTCAGATAATTTTTGTCAAGCTTTTGAAATTCCTTAAAAGAAAAAGACCAAACAATTCCCATTGAGAAAGTGCCTGAACCAGACATCAAAGACAAGCTGAGTGTCCCCTTGCAAACTCCATGCACCAAGATGAAATCAGGAGAGAGCAAAGGAGGCATAAACTGTTACTTTCCTCAGACTAGAGGAATGGAGAAATGTTTTTTATCTTAGCAGTTGATTAGAGTGCATGGCCAGAGAAACAGTGGGTGCATTGAAATCACTACATGATCTTAGTGGCCTTGGAAGAAGCAGGATGGAGTCCTAAGGCAGCAGCACCTTTCTGATAGGGAAACAGGTACAGCGCAGATACCAGAACTGGCTCAGAGCACCCAGCCCAGTGTCATCCCCATTTGGCTGCAGACCGTGTGGGAGGAGAGTCTCCAACAGACAGTTTGCAGAAAGCAAGCACTTGACACTTGGCAAGGATATGGTGGAACGATTCTAGTTGCACATTAACCACAATAGTAATGTTCTTAAAAACCAATTAGGGAAAATAATTTGCCAGTAATGCTTAAATAGCCATAAAGTCTTCTCAGTAATTTCATTGCTAGACAGTTTGCATAAATCAATAGTCCTCCCCAAAGGGAAAGGCTGAATCCATGAAGATACATGTATGTTGCCGATAGTCTTCACTTTCATGACAATGTGCTGTAGTGAAACATCCAGTCAGGACGCGGCGACATCATATGTCAACACAAAGAGACCTGGCACAGCCCTCCAGAGGGACAATTATGATGACTGCTTAACAACATTTTGTTTAAAAAGCTAATAAGTGACAAACAGAAGTAAAAAATTACAACCATGCTATATTTAGATGTGCAAGGACAGTTGATGTGTCAGAGTAGTGGGATTCTGGATTTTTTTAACAGATTTAATCTGTTATTCTTGTAACAATACAGTTACATAAAATGTTCTGCAAGCAGCATGTTAAATTTTCAGTGTCTGCTAACATAGATAAATCCACTTTAGAAATGAGGGAGCCCCACTCTAATGACCAGGTGGGAAATAAACTGCTCATGCGGCTACTCGCGGTCTTCAGAGCCGCCCTTGGCCACCCATTCAAGGACGGATGTCAGAATTCCCAGCTCCTTCTCTCGGAGCTGTCCAGCCTCTTCCCTACACCCTGGAGCTGTCCAGCCTCTTCCCCACGCCCTGCCTGTTGTCATCTGTAGCACACTTCATCCAAGCTTAGGCGTTTGATCTTGATCCCCAGGGAAGGGACACAGGGGATTTACCTAAAATTACCTAAAACACAAACTCATGCCTTCATTTTCTCACAGGCATTGTGGCGAGTATTCCCAGTGTGGGGTTTCTGAATGGTTAGGGGAGAGGGAGAGAGAGAGACAGAGAGAGACAGAGATCTTTACCCAGAGAGTTGAGAACATGTGGGAGGGAAGCTCTGGACTCAAGGAATCAGCTTCAGATCCCAGCTGTGCTAGGTATTGCCCCTAAGATAGAGTTAACATTCCCTCAAATGCCCACCCTACATTCTGCAGGAAAATGGAAGCCTTCGCAAGACTCTTCTAAATCCTAGGGGATTTACATCTCCCCTGGCCTCCAAGTTCTCCTGGTTCTAGCTCCAAATTTCTGAATTTCCAGCTCATCACATCTGTGTGACGTTTCTTTCATTTCTTTTCTGTTCCCTGTCTGGGTGACAAAAGAGTCTGTAAAACATGCAAAAATGCTTTCTTTCATACAGCCTACATTCTGGTAAGTAGAGGCAGAAAATAAACACAATGACCAAAATCTAGAGTATGTGAGATGGTGTTACGGGTTGCATTGTGTTCCCTCAAAATTTAGATGTGGAAGTCCTAATATTCAGGACCTCAGAATGTGACTTTCTTTGCAGATAGGGTCCAGACAGAGGTAATCTAGTTACAATGAAGCCAACAGGGTAAGCCCTAATGCAGTATGACTGGCATCATTATAAGGGGAAATTTGGACACAGGCATACGTAGAGGAAAGATGGGTGGAGACACAAAGAAGACAGCCATCTCCAAGCCAAGGAGAGGGGCCTGCAGCTCATCCCTCCCTCTCAACCCTCAGAGGAACCAGCCCTGCAACACCCTGATGTCAGGCTTCTGGCCTCCAAACTGTGAAACAATAAACCTCCATCGCTGAAGACACCCAGTTTGTGGCACTTGGTTACAGCAGCCCTAGGAAGCTACTGCAGGGGGTGACGAGTGCAGTAGAGAAAACAGAGGAATGTGGAGGAGAGAACAGGGTCAGGAGAGGAGGCTGGACTTCCTCACCAGGGAAAATTCAACCACAAAGGTGACCTTTGAGCAAAGATTGAAAGAGAAAAGGGGACAGACCAGGTGACCAAAAACTGAAACAAGTGCTACTGGATGTCTGGATAGTGCGTTTTGAACAGATGAGGGTGATAAGTTTAGAGAAGTAACAGGGTCCCCGTAGGGTCTGGAAAGGACCTTGGCCTTTGCTCTGAGTAATGGGGGAGCCATGGCAGGGTTTTGAGAACAGTGACACGTGCAAGGGTCACTTTAGTGTCTACATTGAGTGTTGAGGCAGAGGCTGGACATAATTTCTGAGGACGTTGCCAGTAAGAGCCAGTGGTGGCTTAGTCAGGTGGCAGCAGGGAAGTAGTCAGATTCCAGACATGCTGTAAGGCTGAGTGCCCCGCATTTGCTCATAGACTGGGCATGGATTGTGAGCGTAGCAGGGGAACCACAGTGGATATCAAGGCTTCTTTCTTACCCGGAAAAATAGGGCTACCATTTGTAAAGTTGGAGAGACAGTCAGGAGCAACTGTAGGGAGTGATAAGACCTGGTGCTCAGTTTGGGACAAGCTGAGATGTGGAGCACCGTTTGAAGTCCAAGTTGAGATGCCTCATAGGAAACTGAGTGTACAAATCCATGGTTCCAAGGAGAAATACAGACTGGGGATTTAAAAAAATTGGAGATTGTAGCATATAAATGGATTTAAAACCAAGAAACTAGAGGAGATTACCAAAAGGGTGACACCTTGAAGCTCATTCTTCTTGAAACTTTCTTTCCTTCAAAATGCCATTTGCACAGAGCAAAGATAAGCAATAAGTATACTTTTATTAAAGACCAAGAACATGAGACCAAGGCAAGAAACTAAATGAAAACAGGCTGCTCAAACTGTGGATCAGCAGCTGCAAGATCACAAGGAACTTCTCAAAAATGTGGAGCTTCGGGGCTATTCAGAAGCAGACATTAAAGTTTGAGAAGCACAACTAAAGTGCACATAATTTTAGAAATAAATATATTTTTGAATGGCTCTCCATCATACACTATATAAAAAATCCAGCCAGGCATGGTGCTACACACCTGTAATCCCAGCACTTTGGGAGGCCGAGGCAGGCAGATCACCTGAGGTCAGGAGTTCAAGACCAGCCTGACCAACATGGTGAAACCCTGCCTCTAGTAAAAATACAAAATTAGCCAGGCGTGATGGCGCAGGCCTGTAGTCCCAGATACTCGGGAGGCTGAGGCAGGAGAAGCACTTGAACCTAGGAGGCAGAGGTTGCAGTGAGCCGAGATCATGCCACTGCACTCCAGCCTGGGTGACAGAGTGAAACTCCATCTCAAAAAGAAAAAAAAAAAAAACCAACTTGAGCAAAAACTCAAGTGTAAAAAAACTAAAATAATAAATAAATGCAAGAAAAATCTAAGAAACTACATCTACTATTTAGCGGTCATGGAGAACTTCCTAACCAAGTCTGGAAGTCAGAAGCTGTAAAATAAAAGGTATATTTGAGTAGGTAAACATGAAAAACTGGTTTCCAGTTCCAGCCAAGATGGAGTAGCCTCATTCCCCCAGGGTCCTCCTTCCTACAATTAAAACCCCTTACAAATAAAATGTCAGCTGTGATATATTACATATATATGGGGTGGGAAAAAATCAGTCTCAAAAGGTCATATAGCATAACATTTCATTTACAAAACGTTCTCAAAGTAACTAAACTATAGATATGGAAAGCAGATTAGCGGTGGCCAAGGGATAAAAAGGAGTGGTGTTAGGTGTAGGCATGAACAGATACGGTAGCACCAGCTGTTTTGTGGTGATGTGCACTGCTGTATCTTGATTGTGGGGGTGGTTACATAAATCTACACTCATGACGAAACTACATAGAACTACTGTAGTTCTCTGTGTTTGCAGAGAACTACACGTACACACACAGGCACACACACACACACCATGCACATAAGTGCAGCTTTTAAAAAATGGTGAAAACTGGCAGGGCGCAGTGGCTCACACCTGTAATCCCAGCACTTTGGGAGGCCAAGGCGGGTGGATCACCTGAGGTCAGCAGTTCAAGACCAGCCTGGTCAACATAACAAAATCACGTCTTTACTAAAAATACAAAAATTAGCCCAGTGCAGTGGCAGGCACCTGTAATCCCAGCTACTCGGGAGACTGAGGCAGGAGAATCACTTGAACCTGGGAGGCAGAGGTTGCAGTGAGCCGAGATCGAGCCACTGCACTCCAGCCTGGGCAACAGAGCGAGACTCTGTACCAAAAAAAAAAATGGTAAAAACTAAATAAGGTCTATAGGCTAGTTAACAGCAATGCACCCACATCAGTTTTCTGGTTGTGA
Source organism: Homo sapiens (assembly GCF_000001405.40). Classification (NCBI taxonomy): domain Eukaryota; kingdom Metazoa; phylum Chordata; class Mammalia; order Primates; family Hominidae; genus Homo; species Homo sapiens. The sequence goes on along the minus strand of NC_000007.14, from coordinate 45,263,996 downwards.
CAATGTACTGCTATCCATAGTTGTGCAGATGTAACATTAGTGACTTAGCTACATAAGGTATCACAAATGTGGCAGGTGGGCGAAGGGTACACAGGACTCTGTATTTACTTTTACAATTTCCTATGAGTCTATAACTATTTCTAACTAAAATTTTTCACAAAAGAATAACAGACTTCCATATGGCAAAAGACATTATAAACACATGATAAATCGGGAACAAATATTTGTCATGAGATGACAGAGGGTTAATATCTATAATATATAAGAGCTCTGTTGTATTGATATGGAAAAGTCAAAATGGAGAAAGGATAAGAAAAGAAATTTACAGAGGAGCAAATCTGAACAGCTAACAAATGTGAAAGGATGCTCAAAATTACTAGGGACATTAAAATTTTAAAAGAATGAGATATCACTTTAAAAGAATTATACTAGTAAAAATACAAAAAGTGATAACACCCACTAAGTGACAATCCAAGGAAGATGGTACCCTCATGTATTGCTGGTAGGAATGCAAGTAACACAGCCTAGCTCTACGGCTATAGATTTTAACTTTCTGAAATGCACATATATCGGGGGAAATTCAGCCAGATACAGGTGAAATTCACCCCCGATATTTCACGTAGGTTCTTTTCTATATTCCCTAAGTGTCGGCCAGTCTGAGAAATAAAGGGACAGAGTACAAAAGAGAGAAATTTTAAAGCTGGGTGTCCGGGGGAGGCATCACATGTCGGCAGGTTCCTTGATGCCTCCTGAGCCGTAAAACCAGCAAGTTTTTATTAGTGATATTCAAAAGGGGAGGGAGTGTATGAATAGGATGTGGGTCACAGAGATCACATGCTTCATAAGGTAATAGAGTATCACAAGGCAAATGGAGGCAGGGCGAGATCGCAGGACCACAGGACCAGGGTGAAATTAAAATTGCTAATGAAGTTTCAGGCACGCATTGTCATTGATAACATCCTATCAGGAGACAGGGTTTGAGAGCAGACAACCGGTCTGACCAAAATTTATTAGGCAGGAATTTCCTCATCCTAATAAGCCTGGGAGTGCTACGGGAGACTGGGGCTTATTTCATCCCTACGTCTTCGGCCATAAAAGACGGCCACCCCTCAAAGCGGCCATTTTAGAGGCCTACCCTCAGGAACACATTCTCTTTCTCAGGGATGTTTCTTGCTGAGGAAAATAATTCAGTGATATTTCTCCCATTTTCTTTTGAAAGAAGAGAAATATGACTCTGTTCCGCCCGGCTCACCGGTGGTCAGAGTTTAAGGTTATCTCTCTTGTTCCCTGAACATTGCTGTTATCCTGTTCTTTTTTCAAGGTGCCCAGATTTTATATTGTTTAAACACACATGCTCTACAAACCATTTGTGCAGTTAACGCAATCATCACAGGGTCCTGAGGAGACACACATCCTCCTCAGTTTACGAAGATGATGGGATTAAGAGACTAAAGTTAAGACAGGCATAGGAAATCAAAACGGTATTGATTGGGGAAGTGATAAGTGTCCATGAAATCTTCACAATTTATGTTCAGAGATTGCAGTAAAGACAGGCATAAGAAATTATAAAAGTATTAATTTGGGGAACTAATAAATGTCCATGAAATCTTCACAATTTATGTTTTTCTGCCATGGCTTCAGCCGGTCCCTCCGTTCAGGGTTCCTGACTTCCAGCAACGTTTTAACATGTATCATAAGATTTTGGACTGTCCCGAAGAAATAACAGCACCAGTAGATAAAGGCATATTTATGCATGAGACATTGAATGCAAAGCTATTCCGATGGCAAAAACCTGGAAACAAAGTGAACGCCCTTTAGTAGGCAGATGGCTGGATCAATCATGGTAGCACATTCCCACTGTGGGTTATTATTCAGCCATTAAAGACTATGAATCGGTGGTACCAGGTTAGCCTAAGGATTTCTACTAGGGACAGCTGAATGGGGAGAAATGCTGTAAGGTAATACACAAGTCAATAGGAAACTGGAAAGGGACATCCACAATGTTTTTGACATGAGTCACCCTGGAAGCAAAAAGGAGGAGGGAGAGGAGAAGAAGGCGAGGAAGAAAAAAATAAATTATCATCTGAAAATTATTTAAAATAAATACGTTTTTAAAATGTTGTGTGACCACATGTGCGTATTTAAATGAAATGATGTATCTAAGTGGGTATGTGCACAAATAAATTAAAAGTAATTGTAAAACTTGGACACCTGAAAGTCCCCCAGCCTTTTCTGCTGACCAAGGCCATGGGCCTGGCTCTGTCTCTTCCATGGCTCCCTCCCTCGTGGTCTCTCCTCTCTCCCAGGCAGCAGAGGCCCTACTCTTTGGCAGGCTTGCTTCACTGTTTCTAGGTTCTCTCTGCCCAACCCATGCCCTCTGGACTGTGCCTTCTACCCTCTTAGTTACTCTCCTAAACAGAGTTAGTTCACTCCCTAAGAGAAATTATCCCACTAGCTGACAAAAATGAGCAGTTGACTCACCCTGCCCCTCAGTCTCTGTGTGCCTCCGTGTCACTGTTTGGAAAGGGAGAGATTAATAACAGCCATGTTCTGCTGTGGGGAGCTAGAAACACAGTCCACTGCCTGTCCTAACAAAGTCCTGGGACACTGGGCCTGACCCCACTCCCTTCACTCCCTCTTCTCTCCTCAGCTATGCATCTCCCACAGTTTGTCAGGATGAGAGGCCTTGTCACCTGCTCCCAGATATCAGGTCCTCCCCGGCAGCCTGTACCCAGCATGTAGTTCCCACAGAGCCCACCTCCACCACTACCCCCTGAAATGCGCAAGTCAGCTCCCTGGGGACAATAATCGCTGATCAGCCCGTGTCTCCCAGCTTTTTCTAATCTCCTTAGCACATCTTTTTAAAGAAATGTATTTAAAACTTTCTACCAGTAACTTAATAATTCGAGGCCTTGCCTTCCTGAGGAATTTGCATTTTAATGAGAGGCAGTGCCCTTAGCCCAATAAACAAGGTGAGGCCCAGCCTGGTCACCTCCCAGATGTGGAGAAGGAAACATGGGGTTCACATGAGGAGTTTCAGGACCCAAACCAGCAAATGGCGAACCACACCACTCACCTGGGCCTGGCTCTGCGGTATAGAGGCTTGGGATCTGCATTTGCCAGACCATCCAGAAAGCCGGCTTCCTCGCTTTCCCTTTGTTTTTCTGCTCTTGTAGCTTATAACCCGTCTTGCATTTGCCTAAAGGGCTCAGAGCTTTCTCAAGGTCATTAACTCGAGTCATAGCCGAGCTCACAGGGACTGGAAGGACCATAGCCACACAAGGACCCCCTACTCCAGCCCTGGTCCCCAGCTCAGTCCTCCCAGGAGGAGCATCAGGCTGTCCCAGGGCTTCTTTGAGGACTCCGGGGTTATGGGAGGAGCCCTGGGCTGAAAGTCAGGGGATGAGGGCCCCATGCATGGTCTTAGCCCTAACTCTCCCTGAATGTGCAAAGCCCTTTTCCCTGTCCCTCCTAGTCTGTGAAATGTGTAAGGGTATGGGCAGGTGACACTGGGTCCGCAGGTCCCCAGGCCCCTCCAGCTCCTGTCTCTACAATGCACCAGGGACGGGAGCGCTGGAGATGCTCTGAATCAAACCTAAGCAGATCTATGAGACAACCCGGTTCACTCCTCAAAGGCATGGCCCTCCTTTTTACATGCTTAAGACAGCAACCAGCCCCTTCATCAGTGAGAAGAAACTGCCCTTTGAGGTTTGAAGAGCAGGGTCAGGGTCTTCCACCCTCAGCGCACCCATTGGGCGAGTTCAGTGTCTGCAGTGCAGCGCGCCGCCGGCAGGGGGCGGCAGACGCCAATCCACGGCGTTCGGGACGCGCCAGAGATATTGGGTCCGTGCAGGTGGCTTGGTTTGGGGACCTCAAAGATGCATCCTGCTAACCCGGATCTGATTGCGCGCGCATGCACCGTCTCACCGCGTACTTCTGCTCCCTGCACCCTGCCACAGCCACAACCAGCGCCTGGAACGCAGCTGCTCCTTATTTGTTGAGTGGATGAATGAATGAATGAACGAATGGCGGTGGAAGTCAGAACACAATTTGGTGTGAATAAGGAGTTCCGGTTGAGAATATCTGAAGATGCCCCTCCTACCTTGCTCTGTGGCCCTGCGCAAAAGCAAAACCTCCCTGCCAGGCCATCTGCTCCGAGCTGGCGTCCGGGAAATCAGGGGCCCCTCCTATCTTGCGCTGGTGTCCAGGTACACCCTCACTCCTCCACTACAGGGTCCTTCTGTTGGAGCAGGAGGGAACCGCAGCCTGGAAGGGTGGGTGTGAACCATGAACCCAGATGACCAAGCCAGTGGAGGTGGCACAGGCAGTCCCCAAGGAAGGGGACACGTGTGTCCCGAGGTCAGAACTGAGAAGCTCTTCAACTGCCACTGCATGTTTCTAACTTCTAGAAACCATCAGGATGGATCTAATTTCTCATGTGGAAACTGGGGCTCTGAGCAGGTGAGTGGCCTCACCCACAGTCACACTCAGCTCGCAGCCCTCCTTGCCGTCTTCTATTTGCAGGGAATTTTCTAGGGAGCAGCAGGATGGACATTCACCAGAGGCGCCCATGGGGGCCTGGACAGTCCCCCCAGTTACCTTACATCTCCACTCTCCTGGGAGGAGCAGGCAGGGGCCACTGAGATCCATGGCGGTGGGTGGGGCTGGGTGCTCAACCCCATTTTGGGGAGGGCAGGATGTGGGGAGCAGGGAGCAGCTGGGGCTCCAGGCATTGTCTCAGGCACCTCCATTCCTTTCCCCACATGCAAGGTCATCTTTCTGTTGAAGTCCCTGCATGAATGAGCAGGACACCTCCCTACACAGAGGAGACACAAGGGAAGACAGGAGCCTGCTCACGGGAAAGGAGTGGTTTCCCCACCATCCAGACATGTGGGTCCTGGTGAGCTGTTTGCATCCAAAAGCCAGAGCTCTGCAAACAGCTCACCGGCTAGACAGCAGAGCACAGATGTGGCACATTCAGGTCAGGGCATACACTGATTGCCATCCTCTCCCATCCCTGGCTGCCCTCCACCTCCACACCACCCTTCTGGTGCCAGCTTTTCCTGTTCCCAGTCTGGGGCCTCTTCTCTCACCTCCTCACACTCCATCCTCAGTTCCAAATGCACCTCTATGTGGACGACCCCTAAATGCTTACCTCCAGCTGAGACTTCCCCCTTAATGCCATTTCATGTTTCCAGTCTGTCTGTAACATCTCCACCTGGGTGTCTGTAGGCTTCTCTCACCAGTCATATGCAAAACAGCATCCGGGCTCCCCATCCTCCCCCTGACCTCAGCCTCCCTGAGGACTCCTGTGGGCACCCCCAGCCTCCTTTGGGATACCTGTGACATAAAAATACTAAGAAAAAAATGCCTTTTCACTCTCACTTTCTCCCAAGTGGAGCTTTCTGGCACCTCCATGACTAATGGAATGGAACGGTTGCTTTGTATTCCTATTTTTTAAATTCCTTTGTTTGGATTTCTTATGTTAAACATGGAGAGACATATACACAAAAGTTCCTTGTCCCCTCAATATTTTTAAGAACACCAAGTGCAAATGTTTCAGAACCACTGTTTTAAATCCCATCATCTTCCTTCACCTTCCAGCACTTTCCTTCTCACTCAGAGGAGAGATAACCCAGCACCCTGCAGGAGCCCAGCAACCCCCATGGCCTGTGTCCTCTGCTTCTCCTGCTTTCGGCCTGGTTGAATGCATCACTGAGGATTTTCTATTGGTTCCTGGAATTTAGTGTGATTGTGTCTACCATTTGTGGTAGACTGTTGCTTGGACAGTTATCCTGTGGCATGTCAGAAGAGTCCTGGCGTCCAAAGATGTGACTAGGAGCAGAATAATGTTTTCCAATGCATGGACTAAAACCCTTACGATTTGAAAGGCAATGGAGTTGTGATATTGTGACATGTGTGTTTCTTCATTATGCATTAAATACAACGAGATCCAGCAGAATGTGTAGCAAGCACCGTAATTTCATTTTATTTTATTTTATTTTTATTTCACTTTAAGTTCTGGGATACATGTGCAGAATGCGCAGGTTTGTTACATAGGTATACATGTGCCATGGTGGTTTGCTGCACCTATCAACCTGTCATCTAGGCTTTAAGCCCCGCATGCATTAGGTATTTGTCCCAGCGCTCTCCCTTCCCTTGTCCCCCAACCCCGACAGGCCCCAGTGTGTGATGTTCCCCTCCCTGTGTCTATGAAGCACCGTAATTTTAAAGCACTGGTGAGAAACCATATTTCAGAGTATCTGCCGTAACTGTAATTGGATATGGAACTATCTGTGATTTCTCTTGGTGACAAAGTCACAGGAGCTGGTAATAGCACTGTCACTACCCCTAGGGCAAGTATTAAGGACAGTAAGCATACCTTCACTGCCCACCTGGTGGGCTGGAGCCAACTGGAAACAGGCCAGTTTGATAGAAAATGTGTATGTGTGTGCATGTACATGTGTGTCTCTGTGTGTCCACATGTGTGCATGTGGGTCCATGTGTATGTGTGTGGCTGTGGGTATGTGCATGAGTATGCATGTGTATGTGCATGTGTGTGCATGTGTGCACATGTGTGTCTCAACTCTGCCACTGGTGAGGTGCACTGGAAACTCTGGAGCCTGGCATGCAGCCACAGCTGGACTCCTTCCCACCTACACACCCCCTCCATGGGCAGCTTCAAGTGTGCAGAGCAGACACATTTACCCAGAAGGACACACCAGGGACAAAGAGGAAAAGAGAGACAGGCTTCCTGACCCTCCAGAAGGAAGGGTTGCACGGGAGGAGCAGGGCCACCACTTGCCCCAGGCAGGTCTGGAAGGAACCAGGTCTGAGGGCTCATACCATCCCTGCTCCTCATGTCATCAGTCAGTCATAGCAGGAGAAGCCAAGGCCTCTCTCCCAATTCTGTAACTCCAAAAAGAGCTAGCTCCAGGTTCTCAGGCCCAGGCGTGGAGGAAGAGAGCAAGAGAACAGTTTCTGTACATCAGCAGTTCTCTGTCCTGCTCATCTGCTAGTCTTCACCCTAAAGCTTGGGTCCTCAGGGGCGGCTGGGCCCTCAGGAGAGACTAGCAGTGCCATGAGGCAGGCTACTCCCAAAGCCAGCCACCACTTCTTCATGACTCCTCCTGGGACTAGTTAGCTTCCATCCACAGAGGGCTGTGAAGTGGGTATGAACAGGGCATTACTGAGACTCTGTGGCCACCTGTCCCCTCAACAAACCTCTCCCATGTTTATTTCCTATCTCAAATTATGCTTGTGGTATGTGTCAAGTTGGCTAGACCATGACACCCAGATGTTTGGTCAAATGCCGGTCTAGATGTTGCTGTGAAGGTATGTTTTTAAATGAGATCAACGTTGAAACCAGCAGACTTTGAGTAACGCAGGTGACCCTCCACAGTGTGAGTGGGCCTCATCCAATCGGCTGAACATCTTCAGAGAAAAAGACTCAGGTCCCCCGAGGAAGAGGGAAGTCTGCCTCCAGACTGACTTTGGACTCAAAACTGTAATATCAACTCTTCCCTGAGTCTTCAGCCTGTTGGCCCGCCCGGCAGATGTCAGACTTGCTGGCCTCCATAATCACATGAGCCAATTCCTCTGTCTATAGATAAATATAGATAGATGGACATCGAGATAGAGCTGGAGAAATACAGATACAGACAGATTTCTACCACCTATTGATTCTGTTTATATGGACTACTACAGATTTTAATACCAAGGATGGTTCTAGAGGAACAGAATCTTAAGCATTTTGAGAATCCTTAAGATCTTAAATCTTCAGGAGCTTTCTGAATTGCTTCTGGGGTTTCTGGAATTGGCTCTCTAAGCTGATTACCTTTAAAGGCACTGATGACTACTCCTAATAGTAGAGAGAATGCAGATAGTCCATGGTGTGATGTAACAGTAGAGTTAGGTAAAACATCACTGTTGAATACTCATAATCAAAAATTTATTAAGAGCCAAGGATCTGAGTGGTCATGCATATGGTACCATCAAACATTTTTAATCAAACTAACAAGTATAATGAGATTGGTTGACTGCTCCTGATGTCACTGGACAAAGCGGGGAAAGAAAAGGATGAGCTCGGGAAATCAAATGTTCAGCTCAAGCTCCGCATAAATGACCTGAAAGCTTCTATCCCTGCCCTGAAAGAGACCCTTATTTTCTGTAGCTGCAGAGCTGAGATTGCTGAAAACCAAAACTATAATTGAATCACACCCTACAAGTGGCTGAATTACAACACAAATTGAATTGGACAACCAAGCAGGATGTCTACTCTTAAAATGAGAAATTGATTGGGAAGAAAATGATACTGAAAATTGGTATGGGTGATACAGGAGTTATTACCGAGGCATTACTGAGACTCTGTGGCCGTCTAAGAACAAATCACTTAGGCAAATAGTGAGGGCATGGGAGTCCTCGGTAAGATTTTGTTTTTAATGAAAAGCAGCCCCAAATCATTTTCTAACAAAGAGCAGCCTGTAATGTTGAGCTGCAGACATAGACAAGCAGGCTGGGAGCTTGCACGGGTGAATGCCGGCAGGAACTAGGGACTAGACATGTTCAAGATGGCGGCTCCAACTTCCCTTCTTTGCCAGCCACCTGTACAGTAAGGAGCAGACAAGATGGCTGCTGGCCAAGGGGAGAGTTTATTTGCCTTGTAAGACTAGGGTGCGGTGACCAGCCTTCCCCACACACCATGTAAACGTCATACCTGATGGAACCAATCTGTGAGCCCTACGTGAATCAGACACCCTCTCCTCAAGCCAGACTATAAAATCCCACACATCCCCTGCCAGCCAGTCTTTCCGCTTGGAAGTCCCTTCTTTCAATAGAGAGAGCTGTTCTCCTTTCTCTTTCTTCTGTCTATTAAGCCTCCACTCCTAAACTCCTCATGAGTGTTCGTGTCCTAAATTTCCCTGGCACAAGATGACGAACCCCAGTTATATACCCCAGACAAGGTAGCCACTTCATGGGGACATGTGGGAAGACCCTGATGAAACTGGAGACATTGATCCTCTGTGTTCTGGTAAGTCTTCCTTGCCAGTAGAAGCAGCCTCTCCAGCCCTGACTGAGGGGATTAACTCTGCATTGCCTGGGGAAGCTGCAAAGGCCTCCCCTGAGGCAGCTGCCATGCAAAACAGTGCTGATTCTCCTTGGGACCCAACCCCAACACCCCTTTTTGCTTCTAGAGCTAGAACTAGACCAGAGTCCCAGCATGCCTTTAACAGTAAGGATCAAAGTGTGCCCCATGAGGAGGTGTGCTGCACTCCCAAAGAACCACTTTAGCCAGGGATAGTGGCTCATGCCTGTACCTGTAATTCCAGCACTTTGAGAGGCCAAGGTGGGCGAATCACTTGAGGTCAGGAGTTCGAGGCCAGCCTGGCCAACATGGTGAAACCCCCGTCTCTACTAAAAATACAAAAATTAGCCAGGCATGGTAGTGGGTGCCTGTAATCCCAGCTACTCTGGAGGCTGAGGCATGAGAACCACTTGAACTGGGGAGGCGGAGGTTGCAGTGAGCTGAGATCACACCACTGCACTCCAGCCTGGGTGACAGTGAGACTCAAAAAATAATAATAATAATAAAAATACTTTGGTTTTCTAATTTATACAGACAGAAGTCTGGGAAGCATGCGTAGAAATGGATATTAAAGGTGTTGGATAATAGTGAAAGAAACATAAAAAGTTGGATTGGATCAGGCTGAATTTATTGATATGGGCTCCCTAAGCAGTGATTCTCTATTTAATGTTGCAGCTCAAGGAGTTAGAAAAGGTTCTGTTTGGTTGGTTGACTGCAACACGGGCCAGAAGGTGGCCTACAGTAAGTGAGCTTGAAATGATGGACCTGCCTTGACATGCTATAGAGGGAGGGATTCAAAGACTTAGGGAAGACCGGGCGCGGTGGCTCACGCCTGTAATCCCAGGACTTTGGGAGGCTAAGGCGGGTGGATCACGAGGTCAGGAGATCGAGACCATCGTGGCTAACACGGTGAAACCCCGTCTCTATTAAAAATACAAAAAAATTACCTGGGCGTGGCGGCGTGCACCTGTAGTCCCAGCTACACTGGAAGCTGAGGCAGGAGAATGGCGTGAACTCGGGAGGCGGAGCCTGCAGTGAGCCGAGATGGTGCCACTGCACTCCAGCCTGGCTGACAGAGCAAGACTCCGTCTCAAAAAAAAAAGACTTAGGGAAATTAGAATGTTCAAGTGGATTTATCATTTAAGATCTGCTCACCCTCCTGGGAGGGTACCTACACACCCATTCTCTTACTCCAATCAGGTGGCACCACCTACCATCCACAGTCCTTGAGAATCCCAGAAAAGAAACAGAGGAACGATATTTTCCTGACCTAGTCTATGATGTGAGCCATAAGGATTTGCCCAATAGTCCATGCCTGGTCTCTGCTCAGATCAGTACTGGGGTGTGGCTGCTGTTTCTGGCTGCTCTGAACTTGGAATGGACAAGAGAAACACATGCAGGAAATGGCAAGGCAGGATGTCTGCCCTGGAAAAGATGGAGAGAGACACAGAGAGACAGAGAGAAAAAGACACAAAGAAAGACACAGAGACAGACACAGAGAGACAGAGACAGGCAAAGAAAGAGAGAGACAGACAGAGAGATTGAGAGGAAAGAGAAAGAAAAACAAGATTGAGAGAGAAGAGAAGGAGACAGGGAGAGAGAAAGAGACTAAGAAAAAGAGTGCAGATGGCAGAGTTCTCCCAGGAGATCAGAGAAGCAAAGTGCAAGGAAAGGGCAGGAGAAGGTGGTCAGGTGCATTCCAGGACCAAACTTCACCTCAGTGTCCCTCAGACCTCAAGGGATGTGGCAGAACAAAGAGCAAACAGGGTGCCAGGGCTAGACCTGCAGGGTATCTCCTGGTTACCTAGGGACCACAGCCAAGGGAGGGGAGGGAGGAGCCCAGCATGGCCCTACCTACTGTAAACAGGCAACTACCCCTTTCTGAAAGGAGGGCAGAGCCAAACACTTCTGCTCCCCTAAACAGGAGCCAAGACTGTGCATGGATCAGTGATGCAATGGGAAGGAGTATCTCCTGGTCCCTCCCCATCTCTGTTTGTCTGTATCTCTCTCTCTCTCTCACATACACACACACACACACACACACACACACAGAGAGAGAGAGAGAGAGAGAGACAGAGAGACACAGAGACAGAGAGAGACAGAGAGACAGAGACAGAGAGAGAGAGAGAGAAATGCCCATTATGGACTAAAATTCATGTTAGAATCCTAACCCCCAAGGTGATGATATTTGGAAGTGAGACCTTTGGAGCTAATTAGGTCATGAGGGCAGAGCCACCATGAATGGGCTCAGCACCTTCATAAAAAAGGCCCGAGAGCGCTCCCTTGTCCCCTCCATCATGTGAGGACATCACAAGAAGGTGACCGTCTCCCAGCTGGAAGCAGGTCCCCACCAGTCACCCCACAGTGCTGGCACCCTGACCTGGGGCTTTCAGCCTCCAGAACTGTGAGAAATAAATTTCTACCGTTTATAAGCCACGTCAGCTATTGTATTCCATCATATGAGCCCCAGCTGGCTGAGACGGTGCCCCAGCCTCTCCCAGGGAGTTTAACTTAACTGCTTTTCTCCACTTATTGCCTGGAGCACTCCCATCCCTGGGGCTGGGTTCTGGATGAGAGGCCAGGGATGGCACAGGTGCTCAGTGCCTCTCCTCCCTGCACATTGGAGGCTGCTACTGGAGGAGTCATGGAGTCAGTTACTTCTCTACCTGGGGTGAGGGGGCTTCCAGGCAGCCCCATACAGCTCCACTGTAGGGTATGCCCTGCATGTGAGCAGGGGATGCGGTCTTCTCACGTATTCTCCACAGCCCCTAGAGACGTAGAAAGCCGCGGCCATTCAACATATGTCACTGGGCAGGCGGTGCCTCTAATACTGGTAATGCTAGAGGTGATGTTTTTGGTAAACAGGCGGGGTAAGATTTGCCGAGTTCCTTTTACTTTTTTTAACCTTTCCTTATAAGCATGCCTGTGTTGGGTTAACAGTATGGGTAGCACCGGTTTGTCTAAAACCAGCCACTCTCTAACCCTGAAGCCCTGGGAAAGTCCCTTCATTTCTCAGGAACAGTTTCTCCCCTGGCAGGTGGAATAAGTCATAATAGAACCAACTCAGACCTCCTGGAGACTGGGAATTTATAGGGATATTAGCATAATAAGAAACAAATTTGATCTTGGAAATATAAGGAATGGTAAGAATTCAAAGTGACCATGTGATGAATGAATAAGCATAATGAATAAAATATGATATGATTTTCTATAACGACTGTATCATCCCTCCCCAACCCATCCCCAGCAAGTCCATGGTATGCATTTGTGCTAAAATAAAGCATGTTACTAAAATAAAATCTTCACCCTGAAGGATTTCCAATTTCTCCTGTCGTATTACTGACTTACAATGATTGACTATTTCTTTGTTATTATTATTATTTTAGGCAGAGTCTCACTCTGTCACTCAGGCTGGAGTGTAGTGGTGCCAACACAGCTCACTGTAGCCTTCACCTCCTCCTCCAAGTGATCCTCCTGCCTCAGCCTCCCAAGTATCTGGGACCACAGGTGTGTGCCATCACGCCCAGCTAATTTTTTTTTTTTAAGACAGTGTCTCACTCTGTTACCCAGGTTGGAGTGCAGTGGTGCGATCTCGGCCCACTGCAACCTCTGCCTCCCAGGTTCAAACAATCCTCCCACCTCAGCCTCCCAAGTAGCTGGGATCACAGGTGCACACCACCACATCTGGCTAATTTTTTGTATTTTTGGTAGAAACGGGGTTTCATCATGTTGCCCAGGCTGGTCTTGAACTCCTGAGCTCCAGGGATTCACCCACCTTGGCCTCCCAAACTGCTGGTATTACAGGCGTGAGCTACTGCACCTGGCCTCAGCTAATTATTTTATGTTTTGTAGAAACGGGGTCTCACCATTTTGCCCAGGCTGGTCTCGAACTCCTGGGCTCAAGCAATCCTCCCATCACGCCCAGCTGACTATCGCTTTAAAACAAGTGTTCCATTGGTTAAAACTTGGAAATTCTTATATATTTTTCGGTTTACAGTACTCAGAGAATTAAAATGGGGCATGATCATACTTTAGCTTTCCTTTTGGATTCTGATATAATAACTTAGTGATTAATAATAGATAACATTTTTGAATATTTAATATGCACAAGGAACTACTAGGTGCTTTACATGCATTATCTTATTTAATAAGACCATATCATGTATTATTACGACAATAATAGTCATCATTTGTTAAGAGCTTACCTCTAACCACAATCATCAAGCAACCCTTCAATCCTGTGGACCTGATGATCCCCAGGCTCAGAAAATTGTGTCCCAAAGCAAAAAAGTAGGAAATGGCTCAGCTGAAATGTGAATGCATATTTCTAACTTCAAAGCTTTTTCTTCCACGACTCATTGAACTATCACATTAGCTTTCCTTCTCTTCTGAACAACTTTTTGATTTGAACTTCTTTTGAACAGCATTTATTATTCAAGTATTTTTCCAAATATGTTCTTATCTTTTCCTTTCCTTAATGATTTCTTTTGAAGCAAAAAAGTTAAGACGAAGTCCAATTTATAGTTTTTGTTCCTTTACAAACTGTGCTTTTGGTGTTATATCTAAGATATCTTTGCCTAACCCAAGGTCTCAAAGATTTTCTCTTAGGTTTTCTTCAAGATTTTTATTTTATTAACCCTTAAAGTCTATGATACATTTTGAGTTATTTTGGTATACAGTAATGAAAGAATCTAAGTTTATCTTGGCTGGCAACTTCAATAATGTTTCATAATTTTCAGTATACAATTTTTGTACTTCTTTTGATAAATTTATTCTTACTTATGTTATTCTTTTTGATGCTATTGTAAGAGGTATTGTATTCTTACTTTCATTTTCAGGTTATTTGTAAATAAAAATACAATTGGTTTTTTTTTTTTTCTTTTGAGATGGAGTCTCACTCTGTCACCAGGCTGGAGTGCGGTGGTGCCATTTTGGCTCACTGCAACCTCCACCTCCTGGGTTCAGGCAAAATACAATTGATTTTTATAAACTGATCTTGTATAGTACATCCTTGTTATACTTGATCATTAGTTCTAACAGCCTGTATGTGTGTATATTTGTGTGTGTGTATATTCTTTAGGATTTTCTACATGCAAGATTATGTCTTCTGCAAACACAGTCAGTTTTACTTCTTGCTTTCAAATGTAGATACCTTTCATTTCTTTTCTTTTTTTTTTTGCCTGATTGATCTGGCTAGAACCTCCAGCAAGTTTTGAAAAGAAGTGGCAAGTGTACACATCTTCGCCTGCTATGAGTTTAGGTTTTTTTGTAGATGACTTCTATCAGGCTGAGGAAATTCCCTTCTTTTCCAAGTTTATGGAGAGTATTTTGTCATGAATGGACGTTGGATTTTGTCAAATACTTTTTCTGCATCTATTGAAGTGACCATGTGGCATTTGTCCTTTCTTCTATTAATATTAGTTGATTTTTTGAATGTTAAATCGACTTTGTAGTCCTAGGATAAATCCCTCTTGGTCATAGTGTCTAACCATTTTTAGATTTTGCTGGATTTAGTTTGCTAGTATTTCGTTGATAATTTTTGCATCTATATTCGTAAGAGATGTGGGTTTGTAGTTTCGTTTTTTTGTTGTTGTTGTTGTGGTATGTTTGACTGACTTTTGTATCAGGGCCTCATACAGTCAGTTGGGAACTGTTACTCTTTTTTCTATTTTCTAGACTAGTTTGTGAAGAATTGTTGTCAATTCTTCTTTAAGTGTTTAGTAGAACTTACCAATGAAGCCATATGGGCCTGGGCTTTTTCTGTGAGAAGTTTATAAATTACTAATTTAAGTTACTAATTAAATATTTTTACTTCTCATAGTTCTATTCAGATTTTTAATTTCTCCTTGAGTCAGTTTTAGTAATATGTGTCTGTCTAGTAATTCATCCATTTCATCTATGTTGTTGAATTTATTGGCATAAAGTTATTTTTAGTATTCCCTTTTAATCCTCTACTTTCTGAAAGATCAATAGTAATACCACTTTTTCATTATTAATTTTGATGATCTGTGTCTCCTCTTCCTCTTTTTCAATAATAAAAAGGTTAGCCAATTTTGTTGATCTTCTCAAAAAACCAACTTTTGGATTTACTGATTTTCTCCATATTTTTTCTATGTCTATGTCATTGGTTTCAGTTCTAATCTTAATTATTTAGTTTTCTCTTATTTTTAGGATTCTTGAATAAAATCCTAGGTTGTTGATTTGGGATTTTTATTCTTTTCTAATATTTCTTAAATTTTCCTTTGTTATCTTTACTAAATATTTAAGTCATTTTCTTGGCACTAGCTTTGAGGATTACATTACATATTTTAACTTAATCTTAACTTTATTGCAATAGTATAGAGAAACTTGACTTCAGTATAGTATCTTCTCTCCCCACTCCTTTGTGCTATAATTGTCATATAAATTACAACTTTATACACTAAAAGCTTATAACACCATTTTGCAATTGTTTTTTTCAGTTGTCATTTAAAATCAGTTAGGGGAAGAAAAGAGTTTAAAAATATATCTTTATACTATCTTTTGTCTTTTATCTTTTACCTGTACAATAACCTTTGCTGGTTTATTTCTTCATGTGGATCTGAGTTGCTAGTCTAGTGTCCTCTCTTTTCAATCTGAAAGACTCTCATTATATTTCTTATAAGTCATGTCCCCAACAATGAATTATCTCAGTCTTTGTTTATCTGAAAATGTCTTTATTTCTCCTTCACTTTTCAAAAATAATTTGATTGGATATAGAATTTTGAGTTGACAGTCTTTCTTTCAACACTTTCAACATTTTGAATATGTCATTTCACTGTCCTCTGACTCTCATGGTTTCTGATGAGAAGTCAAATGTTAATCTAATTGATAAATCATTTTTCTCTTGCTGTTTTCAAGATTTTCTCTCTCTCTGTCTTTTTTTTTTTTTTCTTTTTTTTTAACATGCTCTGTCGCCCAGGCTGGAGTACAGTGGTTCAGTCTTGGCTCACTGCAACACCCGCCTCCTGGGTTCAAGCAATTCTCATGCCTCAGCCTCCCAGGTAGCCGAGATTACAGGTGCACGCCACCATACCCAGCTAATTTTTGTATTTTTAGTAGAGATGGGATTTCATCATGTTGGCCAGACTGGTCTTGAACTCCTGACCTCAGGTGATCCGCTTGCCTCGGCCTCCCAAAGTACTAGGATTACAGGTGTGAGCCACTCCACCCAGCCGAGATTTTCTCTTTGACTTTCTTCAGTTTGACTATGATATGTTTACATTTAGATCTCTTTTTGTTTGTTCTACATAGAACTTCTTTTATGAACTTTTTGGGTGAGTAAATATGTTTCTCATCAAAATAGGAAAATTTTCAGCCATTATTTCTTCAAATAGTTTTTTTCTTCCTCTCTCCTTCACCTCT
Organism: Homo sapiens; assembly: GCF_000001405.40. Classification (NCBI taxonomy): domain Eukaryota; kingdom Metazoa; phylum Chordata; class Mammalia; order Primates; family Hominidae; genus Homo; species Homo sapiens. Next base: position 45,247,528 of record NC_000007.14, on the reverse strand, counting down.
CCGTCTGAAACTACCATTATGTTGGTATACTTGATGGTGACCCATAGATCTCTGAGACTGTTCATTTTCCTTCATTCTTTTTTCTTTCTGTTCCTTGGACTAGATAATCTCTAGTGGTCTTTCTTCAAATGCACTAATTCTTTCTTCTGCCAACTCAAATTTGTTTTAATTTTTTTACTGAAGTTACTATATTTTACAACTCCAGAATTTCTATTTAGCTCTTTTCTATTATTTCTATTTTGTACTGATATTCATTATTTAGTGAGACGTAGTTGCCATACTTTCCTTTAACTCTTTAAACATAGTTGCCTTTAGTCCTTTGAAAATATTTATATTGGATGTCTTCTTTAGTTGGCAAAAAAAAAAGAGAAAATATTTAAAACAGCTGATGCAAAGTTGTTGTGTACAAAGTCCAACAACTGGGCCACTCAGAACACTTTTTATTGGCTGCTATTTATTTTTTCTGTGCATGGTCCATACATTCCTTGGGCTTCTTTTATGTCTTACTTCTTGTTGAAAACCGGGCATTTTAGGTAACATATTGTAACAACTCTGGTCAGATTATCCCCTCACCCCAGAATTTGTTGTTGCTGCTATTTCATTGTTCTTGCTCTTGAAGCTGCTTATTTTAATAACTTTCTAGGATTAATTCTGTAGATTCTATATTCCTTGCAATGTGCTGTCATTGAGTTCTCTGCTAGAGTTCTTTTAAGTTTTTATTTTTATTTTTAAGCCTGGATCCCTAAAAATTACCCTAAGTTCAGTATAGTTTAGCGGTCAGCCAAATATCAATCAGAAAATGTTCTTCAATACCTTAAGCCATCCTTTGCCAAGGGTGTTTGTAAAGCACACCTTAAAATTGTAGGCAGCTTACAAAACAACCTTGGTTTTCATTTCCTGCTTACACAGGATCTTGAGGTCAGCCAGACATGGTCTTCTCATTTCCCAGATCTTTCCTGAGCATCTCCTCAGACTTGCACACATCCAGGAATACGTCAGAGCTGTGGGAAGTTCCCTATGGTCATCTAGCTCTTCAGGTCTTCTTTTTAAATGTTTGGACAGGCTGTTTTTGTCCTAACTGAAATCACAACCTCACCTAGCTGCAATATTGCCAGCAAACTGCTATCGTTTTCGGTAATGGGATAGGGCTTTTTTTTTTTTTCCAGAGCTAAATTCTGAATCAAATCAAGGAACATCTACTCCATGGGAGAAATTTTCCAAGTTGCTTCTAGTTTAGTTGAACTACTGACTCTATTCTGAGGATGGGGCTTTTAGTAGGGCTCCCAAAATAATCATTCTTTTCACTTGGTTGTGAGGCTGCCAGCTGGGTGTGTGTGCATGCGCCTGTGCATGTTTGTGCATGCATATGTATGTGCACATGTGTGTTTGTGCATGTTTGTGCATGCATATGTGTGTGCATGTGTGTCGTACATGTTTGTGCATGCATAGGTGTGTGTGCATGTGTGTTTTGTGTGCATGTTTGTGCATGCATATGTGTGTGTGCATGTGTGTGTGTGGCTATCATGCTCATGCCACTGAGCTGGGGAGGAAGGACAGATGAAAAGAGCCTCAAGTTAAGCCACTACATACTCTGCTGTTCTTACTGAGGTTCAGTGGTTTATTTTCTTGAATGGATGCTTTTTTTAGTTTGTTCTGTACCTCTAGGTAATTTCCAGAGTTCTAAAATGTATTGGTTTCTATTGTTTTGCCATTATTTTGTTGATTTGTGGGAGAGCAGGTTCACAATATCCACTGTTTTAAAAGTCAATCCTTCTCAACAGCCTTTATTTTTAAGCTGCCTTGAAACCTTTTAGTAAGTAGTTGAAGTATAAAGCATTGAAAGATATTGTAACATATATTATAATCCTATAAGACTTAATAAAACTATCCTTTAGAAATATTAAGTCAATATATTAAAATATTTGAGAGGGTTTCCAGAACACTAAGGTTAGAACGTTACGAGCTCCATCTTCAGCCTGCACTATTGTACTTTAAATGGTTCTAGTTTTCTCAACAGAATTTGATATGACATTCAGGATAATATACACTTCTAGACACATCGGAGACTTTTGTCTGTGAATAGGACTCAACCCCTTAAAACCTCATCAAGAGGCTACTGTCTTAAGATTTCCTCCATATGACAGAAGCAAATGCTTATACACAAAGATCCACCAAGCAATGTAAAAGCAAATGCAAGCCACTGATAAATCATGTCTGACTAAAGTAACAGGATAGAAAATCTTAGCACACCTGTGTCTTAGAAGCCACTTTTATCAAGATGCTTAATGAACACTCTGGTGGAACTAACTCTGCATTTCCTTTTAGAGGCCATTAGAAATAGAAATGAAAGTCTGGAAACAGCTGATAAGCAGACTCTTACTGTTCATATAATTCCGTTATTATGACTGGCAATTCTGGATATCTCCAAGATGATGGACACGTGGCATTCACAAAGCTTGCTATTTGCTTCTGAGAATTTATAAGGGGTGACAGCCCAAGTCAAAGGATTTGCACATTTCCAGGACCAATATCCATCTGCCACTGGCCCTCTGTTGCTGCCACTTAGAGTAATGATTTGAAGGATTATTAGACTCTTGATATTGTTCACAAAGAAAAAAATGGGTATCTGCCGGGCACGGTGGCTCACGCCTATAATCCCAGCACTTTGGGAGGCTGAGGTGGGCAGATCACTTGAGGTCAGGAGCTCGAGACCATCCTGGCCAACATGGTGAAACCCCATCTCTACTAAAAATACAAAAATTAGACAGGTGTGGTGGCGCATGCCTGTAATCCCAGCTACTCGGGAGGCTGAGGCAGGAGAATCGCTTGAACACGGGAGGCAGAGATTGCAGTGAGCCGAGATCATGCCACTACACTCCAGCCTGGGCTAGAGAGTGAAACTGCATCAAAAAAAAGGAAAACAAAAAGAAAGAGAAAGAAAGAAGAAGGAAGGAAAGAAAGAAAGAAAAAGAGAAAGAAAGAAAGAAAGAAAGAAAGAAAGAAAGAAAGAAAGAAAGAAAGAAAGAAAGAAAAGAAAGAAAAAGAAAGAAAGAAAGAAAAAAAGAAAGAAAGAAAGAAAGAGAGAGAGAGAAAGAAGGAAGGAAGAAAGGAAGGAAGGAAGGAAGGAAGGAAGGAAGGAAGGAAGGGAGAAAAGAAAAAATTGAGTATCACCAAAGATGAAGAGGAACTGGAACCTAAAATTTATCCAGCCAACAGGAAATTAGAGTCAGACCCAAACAGCATTTATCAAGCATGCTCTCGTCTGTGTCACTTCATTAATTCCAAGGCTTAGGGCAGTCAGGAACCTCCAGGTGAATGGTCAGGTCATGATCACTCAGAGCCCAGTCTGACCTTTTCCCACCATAGCCGCTAAGACTGTTTGCATTCCAACTATGTGTTTTTACTGACCACAGAGCAGGCACTAAGGCCTAAAAGACTTCTGCTCCTCTGCGGGATCCCCTGCTTCCTGGCTGCTTTTATAGCTCCTGTGTTATGGGACTTTAGTTCTGCTCTCCATTCCTAGATCCCTGTTTATTTATCCACTTACAGAAACATTTACCAAGTACCAGTATGTGACACACACTGAGGATAGAAAACTAAGAGTGTGGCAAGGGCAGTTTAGCAGGTATTCGAGAAAATGTGAATTTGAAGTTTAATTAAAAACCATAACTATTTTCTCCCTTGACTGAATTCCTGAGTTATGAAAACTCCATTCATCCAACATTTCTTCATGCCTGCTCCATTGCTGTTTCTGCTCAGCCCTGACATCTAGCCCTGGTCCAGTCAGAGGGAGGTCAACACACATGCACAGTGACAGCGGGGGATGGGAATAAAGTCATCCCAGGCTAAGGAAGCAGGTGAATTTTACTATGAGGATAGTGTGCTGATTTAACACAGACTGGATGTGGCAGGAGGCTTGTCAGCTGGAGAGTTTACTTATAATCCCAAATGTCTGCGTCCAAGTCCTACATACAGAGGCATACACGCACATGCAAAGCACACACAGAAACACGGAGGCATGCATGTATGTGGGCACAGACACACAGATGCACATGAACATGCACTCACACACACACACACAAAGACACACACCATGCTCATGCACAGACACAGATGCACGCAAACATCCACACAGAGATACACCCAGACACACGTACACAAAAAAAACACAGAGACATGCATACACAGACACTCAAATACACACAGACACACATGCACACACATGTGCACACACACATGAGGAACCTAGTATCCCTCAGCGCCTTTTCGGTAAGGTCCCGGGGAAATGTGAGTACAGCAGACATTTGTCCTTCCTAGGAGGTTTTGGATCAGAACACTTAGCTCAGCCCTGTGAGCCTGATGACCCTCAGGGGACACTTGCCCGGGCACAGTGACAGAGGGTGTAGAACCAACCAGGACAGGTGGCCCCCTTTCTTCCGTCTCCCAGGCTCAATGGGCTCTCTGCACTTTACCACTCCAGTGACAAGAACAGCCTGTCCAAAAAAAAGCAAACAGCTGGAGGGTAACACACCAGAAGGTATGCCCTTACCTAGAGCAGAGAATGGGCACCACCTCCTGGGCCCTGCAGGACACAGGTAGGTAGCTGCAGCCTGGAGCCAGCACCCATTCACCACACCCACAGGGCTGAGCCAACCAGGCCCTGTTCAGCCTTGCCTGTTGTAGAGACCTCAGCGCACTTCACCAACCAGCACTTCAGGGTCTTTGCCCAGGCTGTGCGCCTGACAAGCATACCCTTCACCTTCTGAGCTTTAGGTCTGGCCATCAGTGTCACCTCCTCAGAATAGAGTCCTGGACATTTTAATATTATGTCATCTAGACTCTAGATCCCCCTAGAGGATGCTGTTTTTTGTTTGTTTGTTTGTTTGCTTGCTTGCTTGCTTGCTTGCTTGCTTGCTTGCTTGCTTGCTTGCTTGCTTGCTTTCAGGCAGCCAGTCCAAGCGGCTTCCAGCCATCCGCTCTCCTCACTTCCTTCAGTGGCTCTGATCTCTGCTCAGCTTGCAAAGCCTTTGCTCTGTCTTACATACGCACAGCTCAGAGGTGAGCCCTGGACTGCAGCCCTCCACAGAGGTGAGGGACCCTCCTGCCAGGGCTCCTTTTCCTGGTTTGGCTGAGTGGAGAGGGCAGGGTTTCTTTCAGAGCTGTAACTGCTAACATCAGCTCAGCACAAAGCTCCACAGCTCCAGCAAAGAGGGAGAGCAAAGATCTTCCGCATTCATGGGAACTAGAGGCCCTATCCTTCTTCCTTTGGCTGGAAAGACGGGGTTTCTGTTGGAGTTTTGGTCTCTGCTGCCACTGCACATTTCTGCACCTGGAACCAGCCCTTGGGTTCAGAATGAGAGAGCAAAGAAAAAAACATGGGGAACTAACTCACTCTGTGGGTCTCTAAATCAAGTTTTGACTATTCCACATTCAGTGGCTTTGTTTACTTCTCTGAGTCCTTGGGTAATTGTACTTTTATTTTGCCAGTGGTTTCTGTTGCAATCAGCATCATAGGGAGGCAGTGGTGGGGCCTCACCAGCTAGGTCCAACCAGGAACCCCAGCAAGTGGCCATTCAGGCAGGCTCCATGGTGATTCGAGGTGGCTGAGTGGACAACGAGGGAAGGGGTTTGCTGTGCTCAACAGAGAGACAAGCAAGGCACCTGCTGGGGCCAAACAGCACTCAGAGACTGAAGGGAGACGGAAGAAAAAGCCACAGGGCAAGCTTCTCAGAAGGCGGCTCCACACCCCTCCTCCATCCTGCTCACTCCCAGAGCCATCCTTAATGTGTGGACCCCAGTTCTCAAGGCATGGGGTGCCCCACCTGCTCTCCATGCCAGGGTGTCAGGCACCTCCAGGCAAAATTCCTTCCCCGCCCCTGCTCCCTTAAAGTAACTTCTTTTGTTCCTCCAAGGGCTTGGCCCACTGGTCACTTGCCACCAGGGATCACCAGGATCCACTTCGCCCCATGCTGGCCCTTATAACCATTTCCCCGGCAAAGACCCAAGAGCAAGTCTTTCCATGTCCCTGGAGTACAATCAAAGACTGGAAGCTCCCTTCCCCTCCACCGCCCTTGGGCAGGGTGTGGCCCTCCTATCAACTCTGCTGAATCATCCCTGCCCCATCCACACCACCTGGCCTCCACCTCGCACTTCTGCCTGCCTTCTCAGGGATGCTCCTTCCCCGACGGCTGGACCCACTCCCTCCCTAAGGCTGCTCTCTCTTCACCTTCTGTTCACACATGCCTTGAACACTCTCTATCCCTGCCTGCCCCTCCAAGCCCATCAGCATGGTCTGATCTCCAAGCTCACCTCTCTGTTCAAGCATCCTTGGTGGTCTTCTTCTTACCAGCAAGCTCCAAACCTGTCCACATGGTCTGGTCTCTGTACTCTCCTCTCAGCTCCAGCCCCTCTGGGACACCCTCTCTTCCCTGGGCATCCCACCTGGGCATGGGGAGACTCTCCGAGGGTCCTTGCTCCTGTCAGGCTCACCCCAGCCCTGCTGCTGGGGCTGCCCGAGTGCCATTTCAGTCATGAGCCTTGCTCACCTGGATGGTGGAATTCTATTTCACGTCCTGAATTGTTCACACTGCCATCGCATCATGTGTACTTTATTATCTGCTTTGTTTAAGGACAAATCTTGGGAAGAAAGATAAATTAAGAGGTAAAGACTAGAAACCAATAAGCTTAGTGTCAAAGATATTAATTTTTCCCAGAAATAAGACTTGGGAGGGATTATCCAATGCCATTTTCCCGCTATCATAGGAAGGCAGGCTGTCTCCCCTAGTGAATGCACTTACCCTTCCCCCACGTTGCTCCCCTTAATTGCTGGGGGACATTCTCATTTAATAATTTTTACTCTGGTGGTTTGCATATCTCTAGAAAACTGCAGCTGAAATAATGAGATAAACAAATGAATTTCAGTGAGGTGGGGCAGGGGAGTGTCTCTCTAATTCTGAACCAAGCGGAAGGGGAGACTTCCTTTCCTAACTCAGAAAAAAACTCTTAAATGGAATGTTGTATAAATTGTAGAAACCTTTTTTAAAAACAAGCTAGCAGGAAACTGAGGAAGTTTTGCTTTTAATAAAATAGATATAACAATAGAGCAAATAACATTTATATCTACTGGAAAACCGCTAAGGGCGGGGCCCCCAGGAAATGAGACAGGAGTTGACAGAGACAGCCTTGGGCCCAGGAGTCCCGCCCAGTGAGGGGTAGTGGCGGCTGCACTTAGATGCGATTATTGTGCTTACATAGTGAAGGAATGTTTAAGTAATAATTTTGTAATAATTTTGAAATAATATTGACTAACACCCAACTAGACCTCCTCCTCCATAAATTACTATATTTAAAGAGCTCACAACCAAATATGAGAACATGACTTTTCAACATTTTGAAATTCACTCCTTAAAAAATAAAAATAAGAAAACATCTTGACTTCTAAAAATATGAATAAAAGAACTATTGACTTTATATTTTGTGTGTGCAAAAGGAAATTTTCTTGTGAATATCAAAGAAACAAAATATTTTCCCAGCAGTGCTTGGACTATATCTTCTTAAGCAAAGAAAAAAGAGAGTATACATTAGCAGTGCAAGGGGGCCAATTTAAGAAAGAAGTTGAATTGTGCACAAAAAGGTTGTCCACTTTACACTTCCCTCTAGAAGTTAAGACGTGTTCTTCCCTGCCTGGCATCCCCAGTGCCTGTGTCCCGAGGGCTGACCCCATCCCCTAGCTCAGGGCTGTGCCCACCATGAACTCCCTTCACTCTGAATGGTGGCTGACTCAGGGATGAGCCTGTAGCCCGTCCGTGGCAACTGGCACCACTCCCAGACTCTTGGTGAAGCTGTCAGGCAGGAGAACCCACTCCACGGGAATGAGTAACCAATGGAATGTATCTCTTCTGAGATGCTGAAGGCATATTTGCCCAGAAGAGGAGGCTCAACCAGGCCAGGGCGCTGAGGGGGCTAGACCAGTCCCCATGATGTTCCCAGCAGCAAGACACAGCTGGGCCCACAGTTCACTTTCAGCAAAAAAGGTTGTTCCCTGTGGACTTGTTCCAGGAACAAAACTGAGTCCGGCTGAGTTTTCTTATGGCCCAGTAATGAGAAGCAGACAAACTAGGAAAGAAGGGAATTTATTGCTGTAACCAGCTATAGGGAGAAGGCCAGAGATAATTCCACCAGACCAACTCAAAGTGTTACAATTTTCTTAGTGCTTATACAGGTTAGGGTCATGTGCCTATGAGCGGTATCACATTTGCCTAAGTCTACAGGTAACTAATTTTGTTTTAACTAGAAGGTCAGAGGCCAAAAAAAAAATGCTTTCTAAGTCTGATCAGGCTGTGAGGGCCCTAGTACCTTCAAGGCCTGTCTCCTAAATTCTAATTAGTGAGGACTGTGGTACCGGAGTGATTATTTCTAGCTATCTCATTTACAGCTTGGTCAGGACAGCTGCCTTCAATTCTCTAATAAATCTATTTAAACAGCTGCCTGTGTTCCCTTGACTCATCTCAGATTTTGCCGACCTGAGACAGGTCCTGGCACGAGGAATGGAAGGCTGTCTCCGTTATTTTGACTTGCTCCAGGTTAGGGAAAAGTCTGTGCAAGGCTCCTACTGACCATATGTTTCCTTTCTAGCTTTGATGTCTGGGCATCAGTTTCCCCAGGTTTAATTATTTGCTCAATGTTAAGGCAGTGCTGTGGAAATTTGTCTGTGTAACTGTCGGAGAATTGGCCTGCCACAGACCGACACCTCCCGAGAGCCTATTTACAGTGGAACCTGTGGGGGGTGAATTTTTCATGGAGCCTCAAAGGTAGAGAGAAGAGAGAGCCAGGGCAGAGGAGAGAAATGTGCAGCAACGATGGGGAGAAACCTAAAGAACAAAGTCTGAAATCACAAATGCAGGTCACTGCAAATCCAAATTCGATTCTTTTCAGTCCTCATGAACAATGAATGCATAGTTTGAAACAAAAATGGAAATACTGGATAAATACAGCTAGAAGGTAGAAGGTAGGTAGGCAGGTAGATATGTCAACCTAAATAACAGAAAAAGTCTTTAAAAGAAAAGATATTTGAAAGACCAGAACTCCTTAGTGAAATGATTTGAATAGTGGAAGAGCCTAAGGAATGACTAGCAAGGATGGACATCAGAAATGGGCATGAGCACGGGACAGTGGGTGAACTCGGTGGGAAAAGAGCAGATGTGTGTCTGTCGGGCCTCATGGAGGGACTCCTTGGTGCCTGATGGAGAACTGGTCTGCTCGGAAGAACACCTTGTTCTTAAAGAAGAGACAACAGAGAAGGCTGAAGGAGACCCAGGGAGCAGTTGGGCACAGCCAAAGCTGACAGCTGTGATTACCTGGAGGGCTCAGAGAGGAGGAGCGTCATCCAAATGGGTGGTGGGCGTGGTTGCCTTCCAAGCCTCTCCCACCTGGGCATCCAACTCTCAGGAACATCTGACAAAAACGATGTGTGCTGGAGCATGCCATGTGGGGCCAGACCTCAACAAATGGGATATCTGAGGACCAGCTGACAGCTCTCCAGACCACTTTGCCCTCTGAAAGGCCAGGAGCTGAGTCACCCAGCACGGTGACCTCCTGGGTCGGGTGAGGCCGGCAGTAGAGGAGCAGAGCCACACTCCTCCACCAGGCTCCAATTTCTGTGTCGCTGCAGCCACACGAGAGGCTACGGTAACAAGGGGTAGAACTCTCCTTCCTGTAACAATAATTTCTTAAGGACAACAATGCTGTTTTTACTTCTTCCCAAATACAGAAGCAAATTGATTTTTACTGTGTGAGACCTTAAACTTTGTTACTGAATTTGTAAACGCATGACGGGAAATGATTGAGACTCACCTTGAAATGTACAACCTTTTATCACGTAGAAAAAAAGAAAGGATGCTGAAAAATAAAGCTGTGAGTTTAGACTCTGATACTCACCAGCTGGGACACCAGAGTCTCTCTGAGCCTGTTTCCCTACCGACCTTGAGTTGATTGGAGTCACATGAATAAATGAAGGTGCTTGTGATTCATTTAAAAAATCTATAGCGATGATGCTAGCTATTATTACTTCTAGTAAAATCTATAACATCAGCAATACCTTTTTACAAAATGGCTTACATTTTTTTTCTTTGTGTACATTTAAGGGGTACTGGTGCAATTTTATTACATGCACATATTACATGTAGTGAAGTCCTAGCTTTTAGTGTATCTATCACCAAATAATGTACATTGTACCCACTAAGTAATTTCTCATCACACTCCCCACTTCTACCTCCTTACCCTTTATAAGATTTATAATACTTATTATAAAATATTTTAAAAATACGAAAGGACACAAAGAGAAAAAAACAATTTTGCCATCCAATGTGTTATGAACTAAATGTCTCGTGTCCCCCAAAATTTATATGTTGTAGCTCCAACCCCTAAAGTAACTGTATATGGAGAGAGGGCTTTTAAGGGGTAATTAAGATTAAATGAGATCATAAGAGTGGGGCCTTGATCCAATAGGATTAGTGTCCTCATAAGAAGAGACACCATGAGCTTGTGCTCTTGCTTTCTCTCCATGATGTGAGGACAGACACAATGAGAAGGCAGCTGTCTGCAAGCCAGCATGAGAGCCCTCGCCAGGAACTGATTCAGAGGTCACCTTGACCTTGGAATTCCAATCTCCAGAACTGTGAGAAATAATTGTCTGCTGTTTAAGCCTCCCAGTCTGTGGTATTTTGTTATGGGTAGTTGAGCTGACTAATATACAATAATAGTTACCATGATTCCAAAGTCCATCTCTGCATACATACATATGCACAGAAGTAAGACTAGAGAGATATGATGTCACAAAAATGGAAATATTACATAAATACAGCTAGAAGGTAGAAGGTAGGTAGGTAGATACGTCAACCTATAGAAAGTCTTTAAAAGAAAAGATATTTATTTGGGAATAGAGCATTGCAATTGGAATACATAAGACATAGTAAACTACATGCATATTCAGGGAGGTAAAGGAAGACAAAAGTTTTTAAAAAAGAAAAATGAAGAGAATTACATAATTGTTTTGAAATTATTATCCTTGGCTACAAAGATCAATAACAAGGGTGATGCCAGTCCAAAGTTGGACAGATAGTTGCTAGGCAGAGGTCCTTGCAGAAGTATTTTTTGTGTAAGGTTGCGATGGCATTTGTGCAAGGTTGTGTTTTTCTTAGAGTCTTTTTTGTTATCAGGCATATAAATGTGAGAACCCTCTCTTCATGGCTTTCCCTGTCTCTATTTATAGGGGTTTTCTTAACATTAGTGATTCTATTTTGATTCTGATAACCTTCACAGATAAATAGATGGTAGATAGGTAGATAGATGATAGATAGATAGATAGACAGATAGATAGATAATATAGATAGATGATAGATTAGATAGAAGTTAAATGATAGAGATAGAAGATAGATGATAGATAGATAGATAGATAGATAGATAGATAGATAGATAGATGGATAGATGATAGATGATGGATAGATAGATGATAGATAGATAGATAGATAGATAGATAGATAGATAGATAGATAGATAGATTGTATTAAGATGGAATCATCCTAAACATACTAACTTTAATTTTAAAATGTTTAAATTGAATTTACTTGCAATATATCTTTAAAAGAAACTGGGGTGAAACAATTAAATGCTAAGTCTCAAATAAACATTTATTCATCAGAAGAGATCATCTGGATTTCTAAAAGATGTTTTAAATACACAAAACATTAAGAGTTAAGAGTGATGAGAAAATTAGTACTTACTCCACCTATCTCCACCTACTTATATATTGTTTGAAAATGTTATGTTTCGTCCTGGATTAAGGCATTTGTATTCAATTCGATAACCAAAATGTCCCATATGAATTATGTTCTCTGTATTCAATATACTCTTCCAGTTATTTTGTTCATTTTTATATTCTTATTCATCTTTTTGTTCATCTTTCATTCATTTTTACTTTTTATTTTATTCATTTTTATTCATCTTTTCTACATTTTTATTCATCTTGTGTGCTGGATTTCATGGTACCTTTTTTTAGGAAAGGTACATGGGTGATCTCTTCTCTGAGATTTGCTCACTTGAGAATGTCTGTCTATGGCCTTAGTATTTGAAAGAAACATTGGCTGGGTATAAGGTTCCTGGGTCTGCCTTCCTTCCCTGGCCACTGGTCAGTCACCTCCAGCCTTGAGCACAGCCCCAGCTCATCCACTTCTGCCACTTCACTCACCTTGGAGTCCACTGCCTTGCTTCACAGGACTTGCTTTTTAGGAAAGCACTCATTGGTCCTGTATTTCTTGAGACCTTTAAGAATGCTATTGCTTTTATAGCTATTAACTTTTATAGCTATTGCTTTTATAGCTAATAATAATTTTACTGGGTTTAACATTTAAAGGTAGCAGTTTAATTGCCCCAGATATTTGCTCAGTTGTCTTTCGCATTGAATATTATTAATATTACTAAGAAATATGTGGTCAACCTGATTTTTTTCTCTACCTATATTGCATTTTTTTCCTCAAAACCTAAATACTTTTTTCTCTTAAAGTTTAATAATTTTTTTAAAAAAATGTTATCTTAATAATACAACCATTTAATAATTTTTTCTAGGGTATTTCCTAGTTGTACATCTTCAGTCTGTAAGATGAACCTGAATATAGATTTATATATATTCAGATCTGGTGTCACCTTATTATTGATCCTTGTAGCCTAGGATAATTATTTCAAAACAATTCTGTAATCCTCCTCATTTTTCCTTTAAAAACCTATGTCTTCCTTTACCTCCCTGAATGCACACATGGTTTATTAAGTCATGTGTATTCCGTTGCAATGCCCTATTCCTGAATAAACATCATTTTCTTTAGAGAACCTCTCTCTGTTGGTTATTTAAGTTGACCGAACCCTAAGTAAATTGTTGGAAATATCGAAGAGGCAAGTTTCAAAAGTGCCTGTTCAATGTACTATTTCACACTCACATATACATTTATATTCAGGTTCATCTTATAGATTGAAGATGTGCAACTATAAATCTATATTCAGGTTTCAATATAAATTCAATATAAATCTATATTCAAGTTACCTTAATTTCAAGAATTTTTTTCTATTACACTTTGAAAACACTTTCTATTCATTGATTGGGTTTTCTAATTCAGGTTCATACATTTTAAATTTTATTTATATTGGATCATCTATGTCTAATTATCAAATCTGTTCTGTTTTTTCAAATTGCTTTCATATCTCTCTACAACACCTATGTGTTCGCAGTAATTTCAAGCCTTTCCTCTAGAAGAGTTGATTAAATTTTAGCCAGATATAGTCTGTTCCTTGTGTATATTTTTAGTTATATAAGGGTGCTGTTTTTTCGTACTCACTTGATATTATAAGCTCTAAAACTTCCCTGCTGTCTTGTTCTGTTAGGCTTTATTGGATTTTCTGAGTTCTGCTGTCTTTTCAGTGAAATTGCACTAAATGTCACTCTGTTACTCAGGGCAGTATCAACTTCATGGTGGATATCAGTTTGGGCATTTTCCTTAACTCAGTGTGCAGTCCCAGAAAATGTCAAAACCTAGTACTTTTCCTGCCTTTGCAGAGGTATTGAGACTCCACAGGAGTGGGTAAGAGCTCCTACACCTGAAACTTCCCCATGTCCACTTCTCCCGTGATCGGAGAACACACATGAGAACTGTTAGGACTGTGTGGCTGCTGCTTCTCTTCCCCGTATGGCCTCTGAGGAGCTGTGAAGGAGTTAGATGCTGTCTGAAAATCTTCTGTTTCTTTCCTTGGCTACCATTCTTGAATGCTATGGCATGAGTTTACACCTCTTTACTTGATAATGGAAATTTTGCTAGTGTTTCTACTGTTTAATAATTCCATCAGGAATTGAGGGAGGGAGGTTCTAAGAACTGGGTTCATTACACCCTCTTTACTAGGAAGTCTCTCTAATTTGTTTTTTAGTAAGCTAGAGATTTAATCTCAGAGGAAATCATGAGAACACAGGAGCACCAAATGTTAACCTGGTAAATCCTGTGACACTTTCTCTTCCTTTTGGTGCTGACAGAGGAACAAAGAAGATAAATGAGAAATTATGATTTATGAAAGTAACTTAATGAGATGACTGAGGAGAAAAGAAGAGGCATGGCACCCTCACTACACAGCTCCATGGTGTGAACCATGAAGTAGCAATTGCAAATAAGACCCAAGGCATCAAACCGTGACTGTTGATTTAGGCATGGGGTGAAAGTGTCCATTCTCAAGCCAGTCAAAGAGCACCCACTATACGAGAACTGTGAAAGGTATCAGAATCAAAATGGAGCCACTCGCGTTTAAAAAAAAAAAAACTGACAAATAGGGCCAGAGAAGGCTATGAAGACAGGGTTCTCATGCTTGTATATCTGTTAAAACTACCACAAAAGACTCTGCAAAAACCACAACCTTGCACAAAGTCCATCACAACCATACACAAAAAAATACTTTTGCAGTGACATCTGCCGAGCAGCTGTGTGTCCAGCCTCAGATCTGATGTCACCTTATTATCGATCCTTGTAGCCTAGGATAATTATTTCAAAACAATTCTGTAATCCTCCTCATTTTTCCTTTAAAAACCTTTGTCTTCCTTTACCTCCCTGAATACACACACAGTTTATTATGGCATGTGTATTCCGTTGCAATGCCCTATTCCTGAATAAACATCATTTTCTTTAAAGAACGTTTCTCTGTTGGTTATTTAAGTTGACCGAAACAAAAGTAAATTGTTGAAAACATATAGGAGAGACAAGCTTCAAAAGTGCCTATTCAAGGCCCGGGCGTGGTGGCTCATGCCTATAATCCCAACACTTTGGGAGGCTGAGGCAGGCGGATCACCAAGACCAGCCTGACCAACATGGAGAAACCCCGTCTCTACTAAAAATACAAAATTAACTGAGTGTGGTGGCACATGCCTGTAATCCCAGGTACTCGAGAGGCTGAGGCAGGAGGATCACTTGAACCAGGAGGTGAGGTTGCAGTGAGCCAAGATCACACCATCGCACTCCAGCCTGGGCAACAAGAGCGAAACTCCATCTCAAAAAAAAGCGCCTATTCAATGACTATTTCACACTCACATACAATTTACTCCACAGACTAATTGAATCAAGGCCAGCCTTGTTCAAAATCTGCAGCATGGCAACTTTCCATCCCAAATGCTTTGAAGTGAGAGGCCCCTGGTCAGAGAATGGCCTGAGGACACCTCCCACAGTGGGGTGCACACTTCCATGCAGGCAGAGCACCCCCATAACTCAGCCAGGTCTCACTCTCACCTTGTGACCCTGTCTTCAAAGTCCAGGTAAAAGGACGAATCCTCAGAAAACATTTCCAAATGTTCCTGTTGAGACGGCCACACTCTCTCTGTGCTTCTAGAATACGCACCTCCACCTCCTCAGAAGTGAAAGATGGCCAGGCCAGGAGCCAGATGAGATGGGGGAGATGGGAAGGTCTTTGACTGGAAGGTTAGAGGTTTCTCAATGATGGCAAGCAAGAGATCAGTTAGAAACACAAGGCAAAGGGTGGTCACCTGCCTAGAATCATCCTGAGTTGACATTCAAACTCCTGACAAAGAAGAGCCTTCACTCCAAACCAAGTTTAATTCACTTTTAGAAAAGATACAGTTCAGGAAACAACACAGGAGAGACACCAGCAGAGAGCAGACACGTGAGTCCCAGCAACAGCCTCCAATGTCCCCAAAGCACTCCACACTTGAGATGCACCTGGTCTCCACAGGGAGACTAGGGAAGCATGGGCCATCTTAGAGCCATGGAAAGCTATCAGCTCGGGGCCCACAGCCTTCCCACCTTGCTGGTGATACACTCCCTCCAGGGTCCCTGAAGCTCTCATCCTTCAGTCCAGCCACACCTCATCAGCACTCATTCACCATGAGATTTGGGGGCTTGGTCTGGGAAAACTGGCTGGATTCTTATTCATCTTAAGTTTGGCCTCTCCTATAAATTCATTGAGTTAATATTGCAAGGGTGATACTAGGATGGGTCAAAGCCCCCAGACAACAGTGTGTAACTCTTCTCCTAGAGGGGATGCTGGTATAAAATCCCTAGCCCAAGGCTCCAGCTACAACATCGAAGTGACAGGCTTAGGATGCAGCCACTTCAAAGCAGGGCCCTAGGTGGAGGGACTGGTAGGACTTGTTCTGACTAAGGCTGTCAAAAGTGGATGTAGCTATTCTATTTCATAGAGAAGGGAAGAATTAGCCTCCTCTGTGTTCCTGGTTGCTCCAACATCACTTTGTAATGGTTCAGTTTGCTTCTAGGGAGGGACGCCTCAGGGGACTTGGTTTATTACCTCCTACAAAAGTGGCAGAAATTGGGAGGTAGAAAATAGGAACAGGGGGCCCTAAACAGGAAGCAACATTTTATCCCTGGCTGAGGAATTCATCCTGGGAGTGTGGGCTCCTTCAGAGGCTGAGTTGCCTTGTCCAGGTCCCCCTGCACCCCGACTTCTTGCCTCAGGTGTCATGGTCCTAAGTGGCCTGACAGGGTAGAGCTCTCTGGATGGTACAGAAGCCTGAACCCCAGGCACGGTCTTGCCCACAACACTCTGCAGACCTGAGTCATCCCCTCATCCCCTACTCCGGGCTGGCAGGTGACCAATGTAGGGGGCCAAGATCCCCCAACTGAAGCCAAGGACAGATTTCAGGGGTCTGCAAATTTTGGACAGCTCCCTTGCTCTTGTTCTTCTCTCTTTCTCTCTCTGTCTCTCTCTCTCTGTCTCTCTCTCTCTCTCTCTCTCTCTCTCTGCGTGTGTGTGTGTGTCCCCTTTTGTTGCAGGGAAAAGACTGGGGTTAACATAAACTCTAAATGAAACAAAACAATAACAATCATTACAACAATTATATTTTGTGTTTTTTTCAAGCAAGTATCTATTTAATTCACCAGAATGGCTTAAGGGAAGGTCTTAAGATTTTCATTTTCATCTTCATGCCATAGGGGATCAATAGTTGATACAATGAATTTAGAGTTTGCATCTACAAAGCAAAGGTTTGCAAAGTGGCAAATTTTGGACTCAAATACAAGCCTGGGTCTCACTGTTTTTAGTGACAATGCTCAATTTAAACAAATAATTTTGCATTGTCAGTTGATATAAAGGAGAATTAAAAGATGACAATGTAGTCTCGCTGAACTGACTGTGGAACTCAACCATCCCCACATCCTGTCCTCTCTCCGGAAAATGTTAATGTGTTTACGCCCATGAAGAGCTGCCTCCAGCATTCCCCAACCTTTCCAAATAAACATCCAGGAATTCTTCTTCCCTTCGCCGACCCAAAATAACAAGAGTGATATTAGCTATCTCAGAATGCAATAATAATTAAAAGAAAACATTCCCACAGCTACATTTTTTTATCGAGATGACTACAAAAAAAATTTAGTGACATTAATTAAGCAAACTTTTTTCTTAGTGAATAATGATCCTCAAGTTAATGCAAGGGAAAAAAAAGAAATTGCTTTTGTGCTATCTACACACCCATAAGGAAAGCAGAAGCGATTGTGAATTTTCAGGGGACAATGGAAATCATAGATGTAATCAGACTACTGTCTTTATGTGATTAAAGTGACACATTTCAAGGGCCTTGTAGCATAAAGACCAGAAAGTGACCTAAAAGCTTTCAGTATGGTCAGTAGTTTATGAAAATGTCTGTTCTATGTATTTGCGTTGTCCCTCACTGAGACACCCCTCCACTCTCTATCTCCCAGGAGGTGGCGTGGTGGAAAGCGGGGCTCACGGCCAAACCTGCACCCACCAACTTGCTTATCAGTTATTGCAGCTGTGAAAAGGAGATGATTAAGCTAGCCTTGCAGGATTGGTAGGTATGGGGTTTATAATTAAAGTATGTGTGGTAAATGCATTGACCCAGACCTAACTTCTTTAAGGGAAAGGGTCTGGCCACATCTCAGTAGCTCTCTGAAAAAAAAAAAAAAAAAAAGAGGCATGGACCTCCAATTCCTGTTAGGAAGGAGCAGTTATTGGCAGAAATGCTTCCACTGAGAGCAGCTGGAGCAAGAGAGCAAATTACAGCCATCACTGACTTAGGGGCGTCCATGAGCTATGAAGGCAGCAAAGACTCTGGGTAAAATCAGGAGGAAGTCCCAGAGGTAAGGGGTGGCTGCCTTTCCCCAGGCAGAGGCTGCTGCTGGCGGCAGAACCAGGGCAGAGCTTTTGGAGGTCACATGTTGCTGAGTGCAGCATTGCATACAGGGCTGCAGAGTGCAGGGGCTGCTTACCCTGGAAATACGCTGCATGCTGAGGCCACGAGGCTGCACAGGCTGGGGCTAAAGAGCTAAGGAAAGTCTCTAAGATGGACAGGGTTTCTCCTGGCTGCAGGTGCCAAGGAGACAGACCCGAAGGGCTGTAAGAACAAGAGGCAGGTGTCGAAGCCCTGGAGGAAGTGCTGATGAGCATGCAGGCTTGAGGGCGTGTGGTGACCTGAGCATGGCTCAGGACCAACAGGCCAGGAGGGGCTGCTGTTTAAGGCAGAAAAAGCAGTGCCCAATGGTTGACAAACTGTAGATTTCAGGACCATTAAACACAGCCAGTCTCTCCCCACATTCTGAGGCTATGGGGGACGGAACATTAATAAGAAAAGCTTAAGACCTTTAAAACGGAAAGAAATAATGTTTGCAATTTCTCTGTGTCGAGAACACAGAGACAGGTTTTCAGTGGAAATCCCTGGAGAATCATGCCCTACAGATTGGGGTAGTCCAGAGAGAAAATTATTTTTACTCACACTGCAGCCCAGCTCAACCCAATCACCAAATAGCAGAGTGGACAGTGGACCCAGGGTGTCCCACTTCCCCCACAGACCCTGTGCCTCATGCCCTCAGGGCCTCGGTGTGCCATGACTCACAGGTGCAAAGAGGGGCAGCCAGGGTCGAACAGCCCTCGTGGTCTCCCTGGTCTCCCGTATAAGCCTCATAAGCCTCAGAGAGGGCGATTTTATGGAAATGCTAATGTAGGCTGATTCTCAGCCTTTTCTGAAGAGCTCTGCACTTTAATAACTGCTCCCAGGCATAATAGAGAAGAAAACTGCAAATAAAATAACAAATGCTATAATAAATCTCCAAAAGAAAGGGGATCACTTAGAGTTGTTATGTCTGTAAGAAATGGCATTGCCAAAAGGGACCTCTGGGTTGCTGGATTCAATAGACGTCTTCAGCCTCACCTTACCTGGCCTCTGGGCAGAAGCAGATGCTGTTGCTGCTTTAGCAGCTGGAACTGCTCTGGGTTCCAGGGATCCATCCCCCCTGGGCCTCCTCCACCTGCCACCCTGTCCTCCTCTCTTCTACCTCTAAATGCCAGAACCCTACAGGGCTTGATCCCATGCCCACCTCACTCTCATCTGTACCTCCACAGGGGACCTCACCCCTGCCACATCTCAGTAGCCCTCTGAATGCCAGCTACCCCAAATGTGTCACCCTCTGAGCTGCAGACCGTACCCTAGCATCACTGCCGGGAGCTCCACATGCGTCTCAGACTCAGCATGCCGGGCTGTGGGGCGGGTGGGACTGGACCCCACCTTCTGAGCCATGGGTTCCTCAAGCTGGGCTCCATTTTCAGTTCTTCTACTTGGAATTTACTGGTCTCTTGAGTCTATGGGAAGGCATCTTTCATACATTCTGGAAATTTCTCAGTTATTATCTCTTCAAATGTTGCCCTTACTCCGTTTTTTTCTTTCTTCTTCTGGAATAAATTTGAGAGGTGTTTCAGGAGTTCAGTGGGCTCAACTTAGTAAGGACATACAAGTTCCCCACTGTGACCAGCGCAGAAGTCCCTAAGACAACACAGAATGATTTTGCTTAGCAAAGCCTCGGCCACAGGGGAACCTAGTGCATAAGCTGACTGACCAGGCACACGGTCCAATAGCAAGCATGAACCAGGCATCTAGCTGTGGGCATCTGTGGCAATGAGACTGATCCACCTCTGCCAGCCTAGCCAGGACAGTCTGGACCACCAGGGATACCACACAACCCTGCTGTACAAGTCCCTGAACTGCCCTTGGAATGCAGCAGGGCCTGGACAACGCTCTCGCTCACCTCGTCCTTGAAACCAACCTGGACTAATAGAAGATATAATCTGCTCTCCAGAAAAATTGCCTCAGCTCCTCCAACCTTAAATACAAAGCTCCCAAGGAAAAAAACACTACATGCTAGAATCTTCAAGCAGGAAAGAAAACCCTCTCAGACAACGTGTTGGTTCCCATTCCTGAAGAGTTACATGTGCTGATTGTCTGCTGTGCCTTTATGACAGACATAGAACTGGGAGGATAAAAGCATATTTCAGAAAAAGGTTTGGGTTATTTTTCTTGAGCTCAGATAAACATGGCCGATTTCTTTTCAAATCTCCCCACACCCTGAAGTCTCTGGGTGGCTCTGCTGCAGAGTGGAACCATGGAGTGAGTAGAGGGAGGCCCAGAAGCACCTCTCAAACAGGGGTGGAAGGCCACATTCGTTCGTTAGTGTTCCTAATGGTGAGAAAGATGGGACATGGTCTGACCTGGAATGTAAATCAACATGCTGCTTCCTTCACCAAGGAAGCTCTCCCCATGGCATGCCAGCCAGTGTCAGGGGCATACGGCACTGGGCCGCTCACACTGTGAGGTGGGCTCTTTAGGATTCCCCACCCCACGGAGCAGGCCCTTCTCCACGCACACCCTCCCCAAGCTCCATGACAGCCTCCACTCTCCTATCCACTGAGGCAGGACGGTTCATATCAGAACAAACACAAGTAGGAAGTCCTTTTGACATGGAGTTGTTCTTATTATGCCACTATTTTAACTTCCAAATTTGGGGATTGATAAGACTTGTCATGGATAAATAGTCTGAAAATGATTTATAGTTTTTGTTCTCCTCTTGAAAGTAGTTCTCAGTAAAGCCTAACAGCTTGAAATAAGTCAGAATCTGGCACATACAGCTCTATGCATAAATATAA
Organism: Homo sapiens; assembly: GCF_000001405.40. Taxonomy (NCBI): domain Eukaryota; kingdom Metazoa; phylum Chordata; class Mammalia; order Primates; family Hominidae; genus Homo; species Homo sapiens. The sequence continues at coordinate 45,226,549 of NC_000007.14, read as the reverse complement.
TATACTCTTTTGCTATATTGATTGATGCGATTATTTCCGATCACTCCTGTTACCCATGACCTGTCCTCCCAGAGAATGCCTAAGGATTTCCACCCTCGCTGACCCAGGCAAACACAGAGCATATGGAGGACGTTCAGGCTTCTACTTTTCTAGTATTGAGAGAAACAAGCATTTCAGTAGCAAGATCTAGACTCCTTTAAATATCAAAAGATAAGGGTTTGTAACACCTTACCTTTCCTGCAAAAAGGGACAGGTGAAGAGGGGACAGGCTAGTCCAGGGAAGGAGAGGACCATGGTGCTCCTACTCCCCAGCAGGGATGGGGAGAGGGGCATGGGAGATGGCCACAGAGCCCTGGGAGCTGAGGCAGAAGGCTGGCCTCACTCCAGGCAGGGCTGGGGAGCATCCAGCTTTCAGACGTCCTCAGCCCTGAGTGCAGGATGAGGGCTGGCAGCATGGCATGGACAGGTGGGCTGGGCAGTCCTCACCCAAGCCTCAGGCAAGGAAGGAGCAGGGAGAGACAGGGCAGGGGAGGAGAGAGCAACCCCCAAAGGCCAGGGCAGGTAAGGACAACAACATGTCCACGGATGCTGCCTGGGTGGGGGGCAAGCTCAAGAGGGACATCTGTGCCCCCACCACACGTGTGTGCACACACCACATGCACACACCCAGTACACACACTTGCACGACCATTGAACACCTGTACACACTCTACACATGGGCGAAAACACACATCCTCATATGCGTGCATGCCACACATGTGCAGTCACACACTCACACACACACACACATGCACTTACCCTCACACTTACCCATGCACTACACACACTGACATGCCCCCCATGCTTTCACATGCAAACATGCACACATGTTCACACACATACACACTCACATGCACACACGCACACTCCATCCCCGAATACAGAGGTCCCATGAGTAGATAAAAGGGGACACCCGCATAGGCTGATGTGACAACAAACCCTCACAAGATACAGACAGGGACAGCCCTTTCTCCACCCCGCCAAATGAGTCCACACCCCACATGTGTCTGAGGAGCCCAGCCCCAGTAATGAGTGAGGCCTGGCCTACAGGATGCTGTGACAGGAGCTGCTCTTGGCCCCGCCCTGAGGATCAGGTGACTCTTCACTGATGCCCAGGCCTCCACTACCCTCCTGGCCTCTTTCCCCAGCTCAATTTTCCTCATTTAGCTTTTCCCAGACACTTTCCTTCCTCCTCAGACACCCTTCCTGCCTCCTCCATCCACCTGCCTCAACCCCATGCAGATTCCCAGCCTCCCAGCCCACGGTCCCCCTAGCTGGGAAAGCAGGGAGTCCTCTAGGACCCTAGGCCATGAAATGGCAAGGTGGGAGGTGGCTCTGCTCCTTGTCACCCCTGCCCACAGGCATGGAGAAGGCCACACAGTACAGAGGCTTCAACAATGGGGAGAGTTGCAAATCAGACAGAAAGGGGAGTGCAAGGCAGGACCATGGACAGCCACCCATGTGTAAACTTGAGGCTGGGGTGCCCCGTGGTGAGGATGGGGATGCCGTAAACTGAGGTGACCAGGGGACAGGTAGTGAGGAGACACACGTGTTCCCCTCAGGACAGAGGATTTCAGGTGCCCCCCCAAGACATCTGGTGGCCATGTCCAGGGAGCAGCTGGTGCAGGATTGCAGTGCTCCTGGGGGTCTGCAGAGCCACTGGCCTGGGTGGTCACACTATCCGGGCTGCCTCCCCTCTCCCCACACCCTACCTGTTCAGACCCAGGGGAACGGGAAGCTGTGCTCTGGGGAAGAGGGTCCTTTCATGAGCACCCGGTCACCCCCTGACAGGAAGCTGCGCTCTGGGGAAGAGGGTCCTTTCGTGAGTACCTGGTCACCCCCTGAAAGTCGGGAGGGAGAGCTGCAGGATGGGACAGAGGGCTCTGAGCAGGCAAAGGAATGCAGCACCAGGGGGAGTGGATGGCCATGGAGAGCCTTGGGCCCTGTCCTCCCTGCCACACCCTCTCAGGCCCCAAGGGCTTTGGGGCAGGCAGGACCCCAAGGCAGGCTGAGGCCAGAAGCCCACACCAGCTCTGCGCACTCTCTGGGCTGAGGGGTCAACCCAGAGCCAGGGCCAAGCTGGCAGGAGCAGCAGGCTATGGGCCAGGCCTGGGGGCGATGGAGAGCCGGCTCCTCACCCGACTCCCTTCTCTCCACCTGACAGATGGGGAATGTGAGTCTCGGAGAACCTACGTTGCAAAGTGGGCCCCAAGTCATGCAAGTGACAGAGTGGTTTGAATGCCTCGCCCATGCATCCACTTCGGCACTTTAGGACAGGGTGGCAGGGCAGGTCCCGGGCCTTCATGGGCCTTCATTTGATGCAAAGCTGGAGCCCAAACCTGCCATGAGGCCCCCATGGGAGAGGACAGCATGTCAGCCAGGTGGTGGGGTCCCCATGAGAGGCCCATCTGAAGTCCAGGGAGCGTGCATGGATAAAAAGGGGGTGCCTCCAGAGCATTCCATCTCCAATAGTACAACAAAGGCCAGCTGGACCCAGACTCTCTGCTCAGAGGAAAAGGGCACTCATCTGAGTCTCCCAGACGACCTGGGTCCTGCCCTGCTCTGCTTGGTCCCTGGGGGTGCTGAGCTATGAATCAGGGGCCCAGATGTGCCAGCTCCCTTCCCCGCCCCTGCCCACAACTCACTCCACCCTGAGCCCCAGGTGCCACCTGACCGCTGACCCCTGATACCCTGGCCTGACCAGCACCATGGGAGGAGACCCCTTTGTGGCTAATTTAAAGAAAACTGTCCTTGGCATTTAGTGCCTAAATACATCAAACCATAACTATAATTATCTCAAAGCATACATTGTTATGGATATTGGAACTTCTGGACGTTCTGTTGTCATAGAAGTGTGTTCTTGCAAGTATCGGCAGGCTGTTTCCTTGGCTTTGCACATCTTATGACCATGGGTCGTGACTGGCAAGGAATGTACCTCATTAGTCTCAAGATGGAGCTGAACTTAAAATGTCATTACCCTGGCTCTCCCAGGCTCCTGCTTTTCTAACAGGGGAAGCAGGCAGGGGATTTCCGGGGGATAAAGGGACTCACTGGAGCAGGATGAGTGCAATCAATTTTGATCAAACATATTTGCTATTTGGGCATTTTTGGCTTCTCAGCAAATCAAGTAACACCCCAATCTTCAGGGCCAGCTGAGATACCTCAGCTTCTTCAGGAAACAGACCCTGCCAACACCTGCATTGCACAAGTCTCTGCTCCTTGCAGGAAATGTACAAGGCTGCACCATAGCACAGGGATCATTCAGTCATTCAGCACATTTTAATGAGCACCTACTAGGAGCCAGGCCCTATCTCAGGCACTGGGGTTACCCCAGACAACAGACAGATAAAAGTTCTCTGCTCCCTCCAGAAATGGCTTTCTAATTTCTGTAAGCAAAATACATAAGTAAAGATATACAGCATATTAGGTGCTGTTGAGTGGCTCCAGAGAGAAAACAACGAGATTGGAGGATAGAGTCTGGGAGTAGGGGCAGATGTCATGATAAATGGGACACTCAGGGAAGGCCTCAATGACGTGAAATCAAGCAGAGACATGAATTGTTCAGGGAGAAAGCCACCTGTCAACCAAGAAGAAGCAAAGGACCAGACTGCAAAGCAGTAAGACAAGGAGTGTTTTGGGGTCTTAGGAATTGGCATTCAGGAGACACAGATTCAGCTAGAAACCAAACTGTGTTCTCAGGAGAGGAAGGGGAGTAGGGATTTTTAAAAGTACGCTGAGGGTGATTACACACGTTGTTTTGAAAGGATAGTCATTGGTGCAGGCGGCTAGCATAGTACATGAGTCCGCAGATCTTTGGTTTTCGCTGTTCAGGAGTCGCAGTGCGGTGGCAAATTCAGTTGTTCTCCAGGATGTTATGGTTGTGGCCGGGGGGCCCAGAGCAAAGGTTCAAGCAAGCTCCTGTTTGGCAGGGTTGCGGCCGTGCAGGTAGTCCTTCTAAGGATGGCTTCTCAACCCCATTTTAGCACTCTGAACCAGAGTAACACCATTCTATCACATTCCACACCCAATTATTGGAGTAAGAGGGAAGAGCCTGTGCAAAGGCCCTGGGGTTGGGGCAGACCCTGCCTGTTCAAGGAACAACAAGAAGCCTGGTGCAGCTGGGATGAAGGGAGCCTGGGAGGGCAGATGAGGTCAGGGAGAGAACACAGGGCCAGATGGTGGCTTTTATTCTTAATGAGTTGGGCATCTGCTGAAGGACGACCTGGAAGAAGCCCAGGAAAGAGGAAGGCAGCTTGGACCAGGAGGTGGCCATGGAGGTGGTCAGCTGTGCCTGGACTCTGGATATGTTTTGAAGGTAGAATCAGCTGCCTTAACTGGAAAATGTGGCTTTTGAAAGAGAGGCATTATGACTCAAAGGTCTGTGATCAGAGCAACTGTAAGTACTGGTGCCACCTTCCCTGAGCTGAACTGGAGCGACCCGCAGTGCAGCAGCCAGGATGAGGCACTCGGTCTGGGACATGAGTGCTCAGTGCGGAAGCAAGGAGGCCAATGGATAAGGGAATGGCAGCTGAGTGGTCAGGCTTGTGGAAAGGGACATGGCAGCTGTTTTATGGCCTGGAAGGGAAGTCCTTGCAAAGGTGTTGTAGTTTTATTGTCAGAAACACACCTGGAAGATCTTATTTGCCATCATTTCATAATTTTTCCTGCAACATTCAGAGGCATAGTCTGTTGTTGGTGGTTTTTCAGACATGAGCCACCACACCCAGCCTGTTGTTTGTTGATGAATTAAATAAAATTTTGACAACTACTCACCAGGTATTCCAAAGAGAATTTTGTTTGTAACCACTAGAGATTCCACAGTAGAAGGCAGCCTTGGTCTCTGGCTAGGGTGACAGACCCCAGAGAGAGGGACGGGGCTTCCTGGCCCAAGGGAGCTGGTCACTAGGTTTGTAAAGGAATCTCATGAGCTCATGGGAGGTGGGCCTGGACCCATTCACTCCTGCAGGAAAGATCAATGCTCCCCACTGAAAAATAAACTACACATCAATTGCCAACCCTGGAGTCTGTTTCCCTGCAGGGCCCTTCTCGGTGATTTTCCATGGCAGGGGCTGTTTGCGGAGGTATCTGTGTCCTGGTTTCTTTTGCAGATCTGTGTTTCTAGAAGTGAGAAATCGTTTCCTTTCCAGAGAGACAGTGGTGGGTTGGAAATTATGAATCTGTGCCCGTAGCCATTAGCCAGGCATGGGGACTGGCCAGAAGATTCTATTCAAAAGACGGGTCCACTGCCCGCAGAGATCAATAAGCCTCTCGACTTTAAAGGTATATCTATTTTTATTGGTTAATAGATCCTAGTAGGTACTTATATGATAACTTTTAAAAGAAAAAAAAAGCCTTCCTAAAGCTTTAAATTTAAATATGCTGACTCTTTGAGAAGAATTCTCAGTGCTGTCGATGCGAAGGACTCCATCTCAGCCAGGGGAAAAACTGAATTGGACCCACCACCAACCAACCGTGAATTTAGATGTCGTTGCTAAGCTACAGGATAAGAAGGAAATGCAATTTCATGCAGTTAGAACTTCAAAGGAAAGGGCTGTAAGAAGCCTAAGATACTAAGACCTTTAAACAAGATTTAAAGAATGTTAATGTCATTCCAAAAACATGGGTTCTCCTTTATACAAGGATTACCAAAATAATAACAATTTGTTTCATATTTCACATCACAGTTCATGTGGTTTGATAATTTTGATATAATAAATTATCTTTTCCTTTAGTGTATCACAGTGTATTAATAGAATATAATACAAAGCAAGCTTGTGTTTATTTTTTCTTAATAAATCTAATTAATTTGAACTGCTTAAATCTCCTATTCTGATTTTATGAGTCACTAGCATTTTGGAAATGTTTAGGGCTATGAGAATGTAATCATGTGTTCAACCATACTGAAATTATAATCACTAATGTCTTTATTTTGTTTTTATCGGTTGTTATTGGTGTCACACTGTGCTGGGGACCCACAGCCACTTCTCTGACAGAGTTGTGGTGTCGGCAGCCAGCATGTGGCCTTCCAGGTCAGCTTCAATATCATTTCCAATACCCTTAGTTGGCTTTAAGTCCTTGAATAGTCCTTGAATGACCTTTAACTATCTGCTAAATTTTCAAAGAAATTACAAGTTCCTAGAAACAGAGAGAGGAAAAAATACCAGGAACCCAGTTATTTCTTGTTCTCTGACGTCTGAGGTCTGGGTGACCCCCACTCAGTTGGTGATGAGGAAGAACAAGAAAAAGAGACAGAGTGCCTGCAAACCCAGTGGTGAATCCAAGTGACCTGCTGACTGAACACAGCTGGAAGGGCAAGCGTGCCAGAAACTGACCCGTGGAGGTCTGCAGATGGTGGTGGCTGGTGGGGCTGGGGAAGAGGGGGCTGGGAAGTTTCAGGAGGAGTGGTTGGAAGCCCCGTAAGACAGGAGAGGGATCCTCACAACAAAAGCAGCCTGATGCAAGTGAGTCCTGACCACGGTGCAGGCAGAGTAGAGGCACGCACAACTGGGAGCAACGGGAGGAGGCTCCACAAAGGCCAACGTGTGGACAAGTTGTAGGGGAGCCCTAGGGAGCCACTGCCAGGACAGAGAGCAGGGTGGCTGCTGGATCCAGAGGGAGAGGCCCTTCTGCAGAGACAGGACCTCAGGCACAGGAGGCAGATGGGGGAGAGGCTACAGTGATTCCCCCCTCCCTCTCACTTCCCACACCCCCACACACAGACCTCAGCAAGAAGCCGGGGGCACCACATGCTGCCAATGTCTCCATGCAGGACATCTAAAGAAGCCCCCGCAAGACCCCCAGCCCTGGTGATTCAAACACAAATCTAGGCACTACTGCGAGGGGCCTTGCGAGTGTAATTAAGCCACTAATCTGCTGACTTTAAAATAGAAAGATAATCCTGGATTATCCAGGTGGGCCCAATAGAAACCAGAAAAAAAAGAGAAAAGAGAGGCAGGAGAGACACCGAGTGTAGGGGGAGTTTGAGATACGCTGGCTAGTTCCGAGGCACAGGATCACACGCATGGGCTACAGACCAGCCTCCACGGCAAAGAGCAGCTCTGCTGCGTCTCAGAGGACACCGGCCCCGGGCCGGTGCCCACAAGGAGCTGCACGGTGCCAGGAGCCTGAGTGGGTCTGGAGGCGGATTCTTCCGAGAGCCTCCAGGGAGGAACACGGCCCAGCCTGCACCTCTGCTTCAGACTGGTGAGACCCAGAGCAGAGGAGCCCCTGAGCCATGCTGTGCCAGGCTTCTGACCCACAGGAACTGTGGGTCACATAATAAATCTGTGTTGTTTTAAGCCACCATGTGTGCAGTAATTGGTTATGACAGTAATAGAACACTAATACAGGCCCCCCAGAAATCTGAGCTGGATCAAAATGAAACAGCAGGATTGCATAGAAGCAGCACCAATGCCTGAATCCACACCAAGACAAGGCTCATCCTGTGGGTGTTGAGAAGGGAAGACAGGCAGGGGGCGGTGGCTCACACCTGTAATCCCAGAACTTTGGGAAGCTGAGGCAGGAGGATCACTTAAGCCAAGAAGTTCAAGATCAGCCTGGGTAACATAGCGAGACCCTGTCCCTACCAAAAAAAAAATATATATATATATAATATATAATATATAATATTATATATAAATATATATATATTTTAATATTATATATTAAAATATAATAATATTATATATTAAAATAATTATAAATATATAAAATTATATATTATATAATATTTATATAAATATTATATATTATATATAATTTTATATATTTTATATATAATATAATATATATATTAGCCAGAATTGGTGGTGCATGCCTGTAGTCTCAGCTACTCAGGAGGCTGAGGAGGGAGGCTTGCTTCAGTCCGGGAGTTCAAGGGTGCAATGAGCTATGACCCCACCACTGCACTCCAGCCTGGGCAACAGAGTGAGGCCCTGTCTCAATAAAAGAAAAAAAGAAGGAAGACAGATGTCACATGCATATTTACACAAGAAACCATTCCCCACAATAAATGCACAATTCTCAAGTTAGTGTGAAGAATAATTCTTCTCCAAGTGCATCTACGAACACATGTCAAATTTTGCTGTAACTCAATAAGAGAACCAACATAAAGACAAGGAAGAGGATTAAGGAGCATTTGAAAAACAAAGGCTTATAGTTAGAAATGTCAAAACAGTCTTGCTGAGTTAGATACAAGATACTATAGGATTGATAAATATGCCATGTTTATTAATCACCAGTATAGACAGCATGGAGTTGTCTTCTCTTCTCTATTTTTGCTTCTCTAAAAAGCAAAAATCCAACACAGCTATCATTTCCTCAGGGATCCCTTGATCTCACAAGGCTTTATAACTTCTGGGCCCTCATTAATCAAAGTTACCTCCCTTCCCCCAAAGGGGGCTTACAGAAAATGCTCTGGCGTGGAGGACTCTCAAAATCCTTGTTTCAAAGTTTGGAATAAACTATGGTTCTTACATTATATCTATGTCAAGCAAGCCTATTTTGTAAGAAGTGGTATTGATGCGGTTATAGGTGTGAGGAGAAGTTCCCATTCTAGGCATCAGGGGTAGCATGGGGGTGGGGACAGGGCACAAAACCACCTTCCAAGGGACCCCATGCTGATGAGAGGATATCACCCAACTTCCTCTCCCATAGCTAGACCTAAATACAAGGACATAAAAACTCTTTCCAGAATTTGTCCCACTAGCCCCCAACCTTTTTTCTTGTTCCTTTCAACTATGCATTCTTTGTTTGGTCTTTCCTAGAGACAAAATTCCTCAATTTTTGGTGCATATCTTAGCCTACCCTTAACCTCACCCAGAAACTGAACCAGTTCCTTTGGCTCAGTCCAGCTTTCCCCAGCAGCACAATCCCCCTACTGGAGACAAGAGGCAGAAGCCAGGGAACTCTGAATCTCAGTGCAGCTGGGCAAGCAGGACTGGCCATGGGAGGGGGCCCAGCAAACCAATTGGCCAGACAGTCTCCCAGCGTGGACGGGTGCTGCCCCCCTGCTGGGCACAAGGAGAATGTCCAGTGAGAGCCCGCCAGGCCCCGTCAGGGCAGTGGGCTCAAGGCGAGCTGGCCCCAGAGGGTAGGAGTTTTGGTCCCAACTCTGCCGCCAGCTCACTAAGAGATTTGGGGAAAAGCTATTATGTTGGTGCAAACATACTTGCAGTTTTTGCCCTTGGCAGTAATATCAAAACCACAATTACTTTTGCACCAACCTAAATACATTGTTCTCTGGGCCTTAGCCTCCCCACCTCTGCCACGAGAGGAGGGTGCGCCCATTTCTGCTGTGGTTTTCTAGGATGCCAACAGCTCCTCCTTTGCTCCCTCCACAGGGAACCCTCACTGAAAGGCACTTGATCACTCCTTCCTGGGGTTCGGGCGTGAGCCCAGATCCCCTCTCTGAGCCTGGAAGCGCTTGCTGGCGTAGCTTAGAGGCTCCCAGGTGTTGCTCATCATGAGCCAGGTGTGAAGGAGTGTGCTGAGCCCTCCAAGGGCTGTGAGATGCTGGCCAGATGCTGGAGGGGCAGAGAGAAGCTGAGTTTCCATCGTGCTCACACACGATGGAATGACCAGACTTTTTGGCTCCCGGGAACTCTGTGGCTCAGACCCTTTTAAAGCTGCCAGGAAAGAGCCCTCAGTGCCCGGCTCCCTGGCACCAAGCACTTCCCACCGAGGAGCCAAGGATGCAGTCATTTGGGGTGGTGGGTGTGTGGGCACGATGGAAACTCAGCCTCTCTCTGCCCCACTGCCCTGCATCCCCTGCAGTGGGATCCCTGCCTCACCCTCAGAGGCCCACTGAGGCAGGTCCTCACTTTTCCGGTCACTCTCAGATAACAAAAGTCACACTGGTCCTAAACAGTCCATAGTCATGAAAATGGCCGGTCCATCAAAATAACCAAAACGCCCTGAGTGGCCCTGTGTGGGGACCACCTGCAGCGAGAAGGCTGGCGCTCAGCTTCCTTCTTCCTTCCAGGAGCCGCCAGCTTCTCCAGGCTGCAGCCAGCAGGCATGCAGGTGGAGGGTGTGGGACAGGCACTGCCTTGCTCTCCTCTGGCCAGGCAGTGCCTGAAGCAAGTGAGGATGCTCCCCAGGTCCTCCCTGAGCACAGCGTCCTCAAACAGCAGGAGGAGCTCATCAGGCTCTCCGTGAGTGTGAGAGAGCGAGGAGCACCACTGGCTCTGACCCTCTGCTGTGCATCCAGTCCCTCACCTCCCTTGGCAAAACTGACAGGGACACATTTCCATTCCCGTGTCCTGTGCTGTAGGATAGTGCTGTGGACTGAAGAATGTCCCCCAAAATTCTGGCATTGAAGCCCTAACCCCTAGTGTGATTGTATTGGAGATAGAGCTTTCAGGAGCTAAGTAAGGTTAAATTACGAGGTCATAAGGGCAGAGTGCTAATCTGATAGAATAAGTGCCCTTATCAGAAGAGAAAGAGGAAGATCGCGCACTCTCTCTCTCTCTCTCCACCCCCTTCTCTCTCTCCCTCCCTCCCCTTCTTTCTCTCTCTCCCTCTTCCCTCCCCGCCCATGTGAAAACACACGGAGAAGGCAGCCTGAGCTAACACAGATGGCAAAGCACGTGGAGTGCGCCTGGGGTGGCCCTGCCAGCAGATGTGCATCAGCTATCAAGGAGATGGTTTTCTAAGTGGAATTAGCATCCCCTACTCCCAGGCAGGCTTCAGCAATAGCACTGGGAGCGACACACACAGTGCTCCCTGTGTGCTGGCATCACCATGTTCACCCTCCCAAAGGCTCCTGATGTGGATGAGGGAGCCCAGCCCCCACCTCCCAGGAAGCCAGAGAAACAGAAGTGAACCCAAGTTGGTGCTGAAGCAGGTGGTTTGGACCGCTCACTGAGCCACCTCCTGGTTTGCTGAGTACTGTCACAGACATATCATTTCACACTCAGTTCAGCAGCTTTCAGAGACAAATCGTTGTTGAGCTACTTTTGCAACCCACATGCTGCGTGAATGCTGAGGAGCCAAGGATGTAGGAAGCAGACACATCCCCTGCCCTCCTGGGCTCAGTCCACTACAGAAGATAAGACCCCATCAAACCATCACACGAGCACATGTAAACCTGCAATTGTATAAACCACAAATTCATACCAACCTTCGCAAAATTCCAGCAGGGATTTGTGAAGAATTTGAACAATCTTTTTCTGTAGTTGATATGGGGCAAGAAAGATCTGCAGAGAGCTCACCACACTTTTGAAAAGGAAGAGCAGGGAGGACTTACTCCTCCAGGCACTCAACCGCTTCAACCCTTTAGTGACAGCAGCTTCTCCGGGGTTCAGGACAGACAAGGAGAAGACCCAGGTGGATGGGGAGCTTGGAGTAAGACAGAGACACCGTGAGCAGAGGAGAGAGGACAGCTCCAGAGGTGGCACTGGGGAAATCACTCCTGAGACAAGCAAAGCCTGACTCTATACATGACACCACTTACAGAGGTGGATGTCATACGAATTCAAGACTGAAAATGGAGAGGTACAATTACAAAACCGAGAAAAAAAATCGAATCTCAGGACCCCAAACTCACTATGCCAAAAGGAGAGTTAAGCTTGGGATCTGAGTCACACGATACAGTCTTCCTTTTGTTCCCAAACAGATCGCTGTAATTTCACAACCCTGTGTCATAGCCTCATCCATAAGCCAGGTTCCCACCAGATGGAAGGCCACATATCTCCCCAGGTGGCCTCCCTCACAAATTGCTCACAAGTAAATTCCTCGTGAACCCCTCAGTCTTTCGGGATATATGCCCCTTTCCTGTAAATTAGCCCTAAAGCTGAATTCTGTTGAATCTCACCCTGACAATATCAGTTACCAGCTTATCTTCACAGGTGCGAAGAAAGACGAGAAATCATCCCTCTACCTACCCTGAGAGGAAGGCATAATTGACTTTTTCCTCTACTCCCTCCTTTCATGTGTGAAATGTGGATTTACTGAGCACTAATGGGAGCCTCACAAGAAATAACCATTTGCCTCACTTCTACCCTCCCTCCATTTTTTCCTCCTGCTTGCTCTTTCCTCTTGAAATACTCCCAAACTCTCTTTGGAAAGCAAAGGGCACAGATGCTCCTGTGACCTGTGTTTTTCTTGTGCACATCCTTAAACTTTGGCTAAATAAACCTCTATCAATTGAGACACCTGCCTCAGTCACTTTTTGGCTTACAAAACCATGAGAAGAGCCTGTCTTTGTGACTAGGGATAAAGTCTTCTTAAATAAAATGATCAAGGCACACACCATAAGGTGAGAGACAAATGGATTTGACAACATTCAAATTAGGGACTATGGGCCAGGCATGGTGGCTCACACTTGTAATACTGTAAGGGGTGAGTGTATTGCTTGAGCTTAAGACCAGCCTAGGCAACATGGTGAAACCCCATCTCTACAAAAAATACAAAAATTAGGCATGGTGGCATGTGCCTATAGTCCCAGCTACTTGGGAGGCTGAGGCAGGAGTATCACTTGAGCCCAGGTCGGGTGAGTCTGCAGTGAGCCATGATTGCACCACTGCACTCCAGTCTGGGCAACAGAGTGAGATCTTGCCTCAAAAAAAAAAAAAAATTAAGGAGTATGGTTCAGTGAAAAACATCATTTGTAAATTAACAGATGACAGCCTTATCTAAAACTGACAAAAGAGTAAAATCTGGACTATCTGGACTATATTAGTAATTCCTATAAATGAATAATAAAAAGCCAGGTGATGAACAGGCACCTGCTGAAAAGGAAGCCCAAATGGTAACAAGTATATGAAGAAATAATCACAGTTACTAGTAATAAGATAAAGAATAACTTTTAGTGAGGTGCCACTTTATACCCAACAGAATCCCACACACAAAAAAACTAGAAACGTGTATAATACCAAGTGTTGGCTAAGATGTGAAGAAGCAGGAATCCTCCTCCCCATCAAGAGGAGAGGGAACTGGTTTCAGCCATCTGGGAAAGCAATATGGTGGCATTCAGCAAATTAAGGAATTCAGCTTCTGGGTATACATCCTAAAGAGACTCTCAGAGAGCTTCACTCAAATGCCCATAGAGGATGCTGCTCATCACAGGATTAACTGCCCTAGGGCACTGAGCACAGCCCAGGTCAATGATGATAAAAGGAGGAGAATGGCCAAGAAAAGGCACTCTAGGCCTGTGCAACAGGACTGGTTGATGGACCCAACACTCACTCCCATCCCCTTATCTACCTCCATTGTGGCACCTGGAAAACATAAATATCCCCTCTTTCCAAATGCCCATGAGGGTGGGGCGGCTGCCGAGCCTGCTGAGAAGTGTGGGGAACCTCTGCTTCCTCCAATGGCTGACAGCACCCCCTTCACCGCACACACAGCAGCAGCGAGACGGGGTCCCGGGCACTGGGGACAGCCACAAAAGGGAGAGCGTTCACATTCAACCCTTCAACTGGATGTTTTTGCTCTCCCTGGCATTTCATTTTTATGATCTCTTTCTTGTCCTCTGAACGCCTGTTCACAGGCATCCTGCTCATTTGGATGTGACGTCTGCTCCTGCCCCGCCTAGAATAGCCCTTCTAGTGCTGCTACTGCTGTCTGCTTTGTCTGCTTCAGTCTCTGTTGTTCAGTTTGGAGGCTCTCCTTGAAGTCAGCCGATTCTTGGCTGAATGTGAATATTTAAGGGGAGAACATTAGAACACTGGCTGGAAGCTCCCCAGGAGAGGGCGGGGCCTGGGCACTGAGGTGCCATGGATGGGACAATCACATCCTGCCCCACAACCTCCCAGGGGAGCCCCAGAGGGCAGCATCCACAGCTCTGTCCTCTGAGTTGATCAGTTTTCTCAGCGTAGGAAGGGGGATTTTCCAGTCTGCATATGGAGGAATGGAACATTCTAGAAGCCCAGCAAGAAAAGCAGCTGGAGCTCACCTTTCACAGTCTCACTTATTCACCTTCCACCCCAGCAGGTCTCCTGTAGGGTGGGACAAGGCTCAGGGACTTAACCAGCCCACAGCCCACCTGGGCCAGCGTCCTCACTTCCCTCCAGTTCTGAGCCTCTCTGGGGTCTGGGGCCCCATGGCTTGCTCCCCACTGGCCCACCCAGGTTTGTAGGTCTCACCTTCCCTCACTCTGCAAAGTTCAGCCACTTTCTGTCTCCCAAAATCTTGCTGACATCTCTCCTTGGCTGTCATTCCCTTTTTTATTCTCTTTGTCCTTGTATGTTCCTTCTCTGTTCATTGAGTGGAATTTGGGGAAATGAATGTTACTCCACCACACTTAACAAAATTCCCATCCATGAGTTTCTACCACCCGCCTGGGGTTCTCTCCCAACTGGGGAAGAAAGGGGAGAAGGACTGGGGTCATACAGGGCAATCTGCCAGAATCTGCCCATGTCTGCACCCTCTGTTCCTATTTCCCCTTCTTCGTATCATGCCCTGTGTCCTCAGACCTCCAAGCTCCACACAAAATGGGAGGTGTGAAATTTCTACCTCCCTGTCCTAGCACAATGGAGCCTGGCCTGCTAGACTCTTGCCTCACTAGAAATCCTAGTCAGTCTCAAAACTCAAAGCCAAGCAATGGCATTTGTGTCCTACCCACCATCTGAGTGTTATTAAATCAGTAGGTGGGAGCCACAGGACTACATGATCTGGGGAGAAATAAAAATTCATTGGTTTAATGTTTTGAATGGCCACCAGTATACTTCATGCTACAGGGGGCATGTGAAACAGAAGACTTTGGGCCTATCAGCTTTTCTGGGGAGGTGAGGAGCTCAGAACGGGAGGATGAGATGTTAATTAGGCCAGAGGAGAAGGAAGGAGGAAACCAAATGAGCAAATGGCCCAAGACAGGTGACTTCTCAGCACTCCCACAGCAGCAGCCATTCCCATGCCAGTCCTCAGTCTGATGTGTCAGATCTCAGGGCTTCTACTCATTCCCAGGGCAGAAAGTATGGCCATCACATGAAGCAATGGTAGGCATCCAGGACAAATTTGAGGATTTTACATTCAAAATTCATGTCCTAGAATGGCTCCGCCTTGACTTGTAAACACCAATGTTTAAAAGTCACTACCCTCTCAGGCCCTCAGTCAATCCCCGGGCAGTGCCAAGCTTTCTCCTACATCCAGACATCAGAGCCACACAGAGTGAAGGCACCAGGTCAGACGATCATCTGAGCTTTCCCTCAAAGCTGCTGCCCACACAGCCCAAGCTGACCTTAGTGGGGATCACACAGCAGTTGCGTCATGAGTGGACACTTTTCAAATGAAAGCTCTTGGGAACATCTCAGGAGACAATGGAGGGAAACCCACCTTCTTCTAATGAGCTTCCTCTCTGTCAAGTCCTGCACGGTGCCAGGCATAGGTGGGGCTTCCAGGATAATATCCTTTAATTTTAGGGGAATCACATGTAGTGTGGCCCCCTGGGCAAGAACAGGAAATCCTGCTAGATATAACTTGGTGTGTTTTATAGCTCCTGCAACTGTTTGAGAGACCAATATCAAATTGAAGGTCTGGGAGCAACTACACCTAACAATGAGACTCTGTCCCAGAAACAACAGCTTCCACTCTGCAGTCCCAGACAAAAATCCTGTCATTTCTGGTAGCCACGCATTAACTCAAGCGCTCAAGAATGCAGTCACAAAATGTACCTAATGACTCCCACATCTAGCTCTTGGCCTAAATCTCTCACCTAAGCTTCAGATTTAGATGTGAACCCAACATACCTCAAACCTAATGTGTCTAGAACAGAACTCATACTGGTGGGAGGAGGTCAGGGAGACTTTACAGATGAGGAAATCTTTAAATTGGGCCTTGCAGCAGAGTAGGAGGCAGAGATGGGAAAGAGGATGGAGAGAAGGTGGGAACACATTTGAGAAAAATTTAGATGGTAGAATCAATAGGGTTTGAAGACTGATTGGATGTGGCATTGGGGGAGGGCTATTAGGGGAATTCAATAGGTTTCAGCAACACATTTTTAAATACTCATTTTTGAAATAGATAATACATGTACATGGTTTAATATTCAAGGACTACAAAAAGGCATATCATGAAGAGTGGGTATTCTTTCCACGCCCATACCCCAGGCATCTGTCCCCTCACTGAGTGGGTCTAGGAGGGGCCACGAAGCATAACGTCTCTGCACCTGGGTCTTTTCACCCGATAACACACAGGGAAGACTATCCCCACTCAACACGCATCAAATGGACCACATTGCATTTGTACTTAACTAGAATTCGGTTCCTGAACATTTAAGTTGCTCTCTAGCTTTTGCTGCAATAAATATCCTTACAGATATATATGTGCAAGTGTATCAGTAAGATGAATTTCTTCAAGTGAAATTGATGAGTCAAACGTATATGCATTTCCAGTGGTTTTTGTTTTTTGGTTTTGGATTTTGGGTTTTCTTGAGACAGCGTCTCACTCTGTTGCCCAGGCAACAGTGGCACGATCACAGCTCACTGCAGCTTCAACCTCCCAGGCTCAAGCCATCCTCCCACCTCAGCCTCCTGAGTAGCTGGGACTACAGGCATGTACCACCATGCCCAGCTAAATTTTTTTTGTAGAGTTGTGGTCTCCCTACATTGCCCAGGCTGGTCTCAAACTCCTGAGTTTAAGCAATCCTCCTGTCTCTGTCTCCCAGAGTGCTGGGATTACAGGCATGAGCTACTATGCCTGGCCTCCAATGTTGTGCGATAGATACTGCCAAATTGCCCTCCACAAACAGTGTCCCAATTTATACCCCCAGCAGCAACATATGAGAGTAACTTTTTCCTTGCACCTTCCCTGACACAGTGTATTATCACACCTTTAGACTTTTTTTTTTTCTTTAGACAGAGTTTCGCTCTTGTTGCCCAGGATTTAGTGCAATGGCACGATCTCGGCTCACAGCAACTTCCGCCTCCCAGGTTCAAGCCATTCTCCTGCCTCAGCCTCCAGAGTAGCTGGGATTACAGGCATGCACCACCACGCCCGGCTAATTTTGTATTTTTATTGGAGACGGGGTTTCTCCATGTTGGTCAGGCTGGTCTCCAACTCCTGACCTCAGGTGATCCGCCCGCCTCAGCCTCCCAAAGTGCTGGGATTACAGGCATGAGCCACCACACCCAGCCACCTTTAGACTTTTGCCAGTCGGATAAAGAATAATGACAACTTCATACAGTTTAAATTGTGTTATTTCTTATTTTAATGAGGTTGAACATCTCTTCACCTGTGTAAAAGTTATTTCAATAAAATAATCCCATTGACACCTACTATATCCTAGGTATTGGGCTTAGTAGAAAGGACAAAAATCAGAACGACTCCTGTTTCTGCCTTAGCTAACTTGGTGGATGACTATGTCACTCACTGAATACAAGAAGAGGCAGAATCTCAGTAGAGATGTGAAGGGGTTGAGAAGAGAGAACAGGAAGATGTAATAGTCCAGATGAGAAAATACACTGGTCTAAACTAGCCCCGTGGCAGAAGGAACAAAGAAAGAAAGGATTAAAGCCGTAGAAAGAATAAACTTTGGGGACTACATGGGTGTGGAATCTGGGAGAGGGAGGAGTCATGTATTATTCTTCAGCTCTGGGTTAGAGAGTTTAATAAAAGATGGATCCATTTCCTGAGAAAGAAACACAATAGGAAATGCAGGCATTGAAGAGGAGATTATAAGACTAGGATATATGCTGCAAGTCAAGGTGCAGTGACAGGAAATGTAGTTACCTGCCAGTCTGAAAAAGCAAGAAAGGAAAGGAAGAAAGGAGGGAGGGAGGAAGGAAAGGAGAGACAATTTATAAAATACAACCGTTTTCAAAATATTGGACATCAAATAATGAAGGACAATGGTCCCTGAGAGCTGGAAAACAAGCAAGATGAGCCCTAGGATGCCCCAGCTTCCTGTCTTAGGAGAATTTTCAGGTTGTAGAATAGAGAGGGGGAGTTGAGAATACGGAGCTGAGAAACTCAGGGGACTAGAGTTTTCAGGACATGTTACAAGATGTGATACAAGCTGCACAGAGAGAGAGTTCTGAAGATATGCAGAGGGTTCTCCTTGAGTCTTCAGTTAAAAATGATCAGTACATGCATGAAGAAACTACCCAAAGCCAGGAAAAGAGCCATTTCAAAGGGTTAGAGAAAATAGGATCCAGTATTTACACTACCCCAGTACCACAGAGCTGGTAACAGTACCTATTCCCACCAGCCAAATTGGAAAACCTTGTAATTCACAGTTCACTGAATCAAGTACTCATAGGGTCTAACTTTAGCAGAGGGGAATAATTAGCCCTAGACTACACATTGTTCTGGTACAGCCTAGCAAACTTTAATAGCAGGACCTGAAAGATTCAAATGATTTCTGTGAAGATCACTGCATCCAAGAACAGGACTCTGGATATTTCTATCAACACAAAAGTACCCAGCACAAACAAGAAAAAATTCACAATACATGTTATTTAATCAAAAATTATAAGGTAGGCAAAGAAGCAGGATAATACAATTTATAATAAGGTGTAAAATCAATCAATCAAAAGTGACCCAGAACGGACCAAAATTAGCACACAAGGACATAAAAACATATAAATAATTACTATAACTATATTCAAAAAGCTAAAGGGAAGATTTAATACTTTAAAATAGTAACACAGAAGTATTTTTAAAACCCCAAGGTAAACTTCTAGAGGTGAAAACTGTAATAACTGATATGAAATATGCACTGGATGAGATTAACAACAGGTTAGACACTGAAGTAGAAAAAGAATAGTGAATTTGAAAACATAGCCATAGAAACTATTGAAAATGAAGTGAAGTAAAAGTGAAGTTTTCACTCAAAAACATAAAAAACACCAGTGAGCTGAGGAATAACTTCAAGCGACCTAATAAACATGGAGTTGGAGTTGCTAAATCAAGATCATGTAGGAGGGTTAACAGGAAAAAAAAGGTCTGAAAAAAACAGGGCCAAATATTTTTCCAAATTTAATGAAAGCTATAAGATCACAGATCCAAGAAACTCAAGAAGCTCCAAAGAAACATGAAAAAATACACAAAGGCATATTATAACCAAAATACTTGCAACTAGAAAATCTTGAAATTAGCCAGAGGAAAATGGCATGAAACACAGAAAGGAAACAAGACAAGGATGACAGCAGAAACAAGGCAAGCAAGAAGATAGTGAAGCAAAACTTTTAAAGTACCATACAAAAAGTGTAAACTTAGACTCCCATGCCCGACAAAAATATCTTTCAAAAACAAAGGCAAGCACTTCTGGAATGGTGGCATGAGGAGCTCTGCAAACGTTATTCTCGGCAAAATGACAATAATTGGCGGAGGAAAAAAATTTTTTAACAAAAACAATCATTTAAAATTTCTGGAAATTGTCCCAAAGGCATACAGCAAATGGAGAAACACTATTCAGGAGAATCTGAATAATCTCAAAAAGAACGGTAACGTACTATGGCATCTGAGGACCAACCTACTCTTTCAACAAACCCCTTGTGTGATGAGACCTGTACTCTGGGCAGGTGGAGTCAAGAAGATGAGGCTCCTTCTCCCCCTACTTTCTGATCTAGAATTATAATTATTCGCTAGGAGAGGCAAGACACCAACATTTCTCATTCCCCCACCTCAGCTCTGTGTTGAAGAATCTCTAATTCTGGCAAATGTGGCTGAGAACTCTTGGGATCTCTTCTTCCACCCAACCCCATTCATAGGGCAGAAGCTCTACACAGGTACAGCAGGGTGAAAATTCTGGGCCCAACTGTCCTCAAACCAGCTTGCTTATAGGATGGAGATTCAATGCCAGGATAGGGAAGCCAAGAAGACCAGAGTCTACTGACTATGCTCATCACCCCAAGGGTGGAGCAGGGTGTTACTCCAAGAGAAGCAAGCTACCATCCTGACCCCCAGCTTCAGAGCAGTGGCACAGAGCTTCTCAGAGGGAGAGAAAATCAGTAAGGACAGAGAGCTCTATAGCTCTCCCCAGTGGAACTGACTTCATTTAGAATAGAGCATAGGGAAATGCCTAAGGGCATGATCAAAGACAGTTGAGATTTTCATGATCAGCAATTAACAGTAATCCCGGCACTTTGGGAGGCCGCGGTGGGTGGATCACCTGATGTCAGGAGTTCGAGACCAGCCTGGCCAACAGGGTGAAACTCAGTCTCCACTAAAAATACAAAAATTAGCTGGGTGTGGTGGTGGATGTAATCCCAGCTACTCAGGAGGCTGAGGCAGGAGAATTGCTTGAACCCAGAAGGCAGAGGTTGCAGTGAGCCGAGATAGTGCCACTCTACTCCAGCCTGGGTGACAGAGCGAGACTCCATCTCAGGAAAAAAAAAAAAAGTAAGCTGGTAGCTCCATGATGGCAACGAGTGAAATAGGATCAGCTAGAAATTCAACAGAGAGAAAAAGAGAGCGAGAGCTAAGAAGAGTTCTCCTGAGGCTGTCAGTAAGTCTCAAAGACAGCTTCAAAGAAAGTCCTGCTAAGCAGAAAGACATTAATTGGATCAGACTAGGGGACAATTTATTCTTCAGGGCCTGACAATAAAAACAGCAATCAGCTGGCAATTAGTGGAGGATAACACCTGGATGGAATACTAGAGGCAGGGCAGGTAGAAGTTCAACAGTGATATCAGAGAAACAGACAGTCAGAGACCTCCACCAAAAACATGGTTAACCCTAGAGGAGGAGAGTTCAGGTGATGTCCTATGCCTTCAGGGGAGCATTCGGGGACTGCACACTTTGGGGGATATAGACTTCACTGGATAATACAGCTAAGCCACTAAATAAATGACCTAGCAGACAAGAAAACAATAACAAACTCCTGAGGAGTAGAGATCAGTACCCAGATCTGCTATTACCTAAAATGTCCAATTTTTCACAAAAGAAATATGAAACTTAAAGAAAGGAGTGTAATGCACACCCAGTGAGGGTGGGGGAAGATGCAGGCAACAGAAACTGCCTTTGCCTTTAAGGGCTTCCAGGTGTTGGAATTTAACAGACATAAACTCAAAGCAGCTATCATAAATGTGGTCAAAAACCAAAAGGAGCCATGTTTAAAGAATTAAAAGAAGGTACAATAACGATGACTCACCAAATAGAGAACATTAATGAAGACATAGAAATTAGAAATAATTTGTAAAGCTAAAAAGAGCCAAATGGAAACTCTGGAGTTGAGCGCCATAGTATTTTACTGTTCTTACTGATAAAGCTAAGGGAATTCAGCACTGGCAAACCCACCTTACAAGTAGTATGAAAGGAAGTTCTTCAGGCTAAAAGTAAGTGACACCAGAAAGTGATCTGAATAAACAGGAAAAATCAAAGAGCTCCAGTAAAGGTAATGATACAGGTAATGATAAAACAAAAACTAAGTTTTTCTGTATGCCTCCTCTTAGCTAATGTAAAAAAAATTGCATAAAATAGTATCTACAAAATTGCATTATTGGGCCTGTAGGGACAAGAATGTAATATATTTTACAATAACAATACAACAGAAGGAGTGGAAACGAAAGTGGCAAAAGGGGTAGAAAAGGAAGTGGCATAAGAAAAAGAGAGCAGATAGTAACTCAGAGCCATAGGAGGAAATGAAAAGAATCAGAAATGGTAAATAATAATGTTACTATTTTTAAAACCCAATAAATCCATTTGTGTTCTTTGGTCTCTTGGCTTCTTTAAAAGACATGAGATCATATAAAGCAATCATTACATCAGTGTATTGTTGGGTTTGTAACATACGTAGATGTCATATGTATAACAGTAATAGCACAAAAAAAAGAGGGAAGAGAAGGGAGCAATATAGGAGTAAGTTTCTATATCTTATTGGAATTAAGCTAGTATAAATCTGAAATAGATTCCACATTAAGGTATATATATATAAGTCCTAGAGAACCAAAAAGAAAATAACTCAAAAATACACTTTTTTAAATGAGTAAAGAAGTTACAATATTATATTTAAAACATCCATTTAAGACAAAAGGAGGTAGCAAAGGAGGAAAAAGAAATAATGCAGTAATGAGACAGAAGAAAGCAAAGAGCCAAAAGGCGGAGATAAAACCTATCATATCCACAGTAACACTGAAGAACGAAAAGCAGAGAGACCGAGTCAGGGAGGAGCAGGGGCTGGGTGCGGTTTGGTTTTCTCTGGCCATTTTAACTCCCAAGAGCCCTGAGGAGCCTCTGCCCCAACAGGCATGCCCTGAGGCTTCATACACATTTACCTCTTGATGGGTCTGGGGAGAGACATTTGCTTTCATTATCCTTGGGTAATATTCTGAGTGCTGCTTTTAGTTTCTATTTCTCTTGTATAGAGTCTAGTTTCCAAGAAAGCCTGCAGAACTTTCTGAGTCTTTAGTTTCTGCATATGGTTGCTGTTCATAAGTACACTTCATCCTGAACTGGAAAGTCTGATGATGCAATCTTCAACCGTCTTTCCTTAGCTGGAAAAGACACAAGGCTTGGAATTCAGTTTGATTATTTGTGAAACCACTCCCCTTGCTTTCCAAGTTTCCTTCTTTCTCAAGCCAAATATTGGACAGAGAGTTCTTATAACAGCTTTGGCCACTCTATACTGTCCTGAGCCTCAACCTCCCTATCCCTGGGGAGAAAAGTATACCCTGAACCAGAGCTGGGACCTTCAGGGACAGACACATCAGTGTTCTCCTGCTGCCTCTTTT
The DNA here is from genome assembly GCF_000001405.40 of Homo sapiens. Taxonomy (NCBI): domain Eukaryota; kingdom Metazoa; phylum Chordata; class Mammalia; order Primates; family Hominidae; genus Homo; species Homo sapiens. Next base: position 45,203,897 of record NC_000007.14, on the reverse strand, counting down.
GGAATAGAGTGTCAGACTAGGGTCCCTAGCCAAGATTTTCCTCTCCTCCTGAGACCTATGTGGATCCCTGTTCCCATGAGTGGGCTGCTGCTGCCCCTGGACAGTGGGGCTTTGAGAGAGCTCTGGGTTGCGGCACCTGGCCCTACATGGGCAGACCCCAGACACTAGGAATGACAGCAGCCAAGCCAGAGCGGCACGCCTTGGCCAGAAGTTGCTCTGGAACAAGCATTATGGAGTGCCAATCAATAAAGGGCGGGAACACTGATATTGCCCGCCCAATCTGGGCACCAGAATCTCGCCTGTAGCCATCAGACAGGACCCATCCTTCCTGACCAAGCTTCCAGACACTTCCTGGAAGAGCTCTTTAATTTGGCTCAAATGAAAACAACAAAAATGTTCCCCGTACAAATCCATGCTGTGAACTGAGCTCTATGCAGTTTACCACACACAGTTAACGTAACCAAGATTATTTTCAAAAACCACAGGAAAGGTAGAGTGAGATTTCTCCCCTATCAGAGTCACTGGAACACAACACCAGCCATGACTACAGAACTGCGTGGGTCCAATCCAGTGGGAATTCCTCTTCTGGCCTCCCCTCCTTCTTGTTGTTCTCATTCCCTGCTTGTCGGTGCTATGTTTGGGTCTCCTTCCATCAGCTCCTCATGGTCTGCAGACCACTTAGAGCGTTTACACCGCAGTGGCCCCGAGTTTTCTGTAAGCACCAAAGTCTGACCTGCTGACACCTGAAAAGGCTGTTTTGTGCTGAGGCCCAAAATGCCACTTGCTGATTATTCATCCCCCAGAGGACAAGATTAGGTGACAAAAGTTTAGGGAGAACTACAGCTTCCTTATCATTTTACCATGTCTATATATTGCTTTAAAATTTAAAAATAACTTACTTAAGAAGAACAGATGGGAGCAGATGGGGACGTCCACATTGCCTCTGAAAGTCACTTTCATGTATTCCTCAGATGCTCATCGACCGCCCACAAGCCAAGCTTGTCCAGGTTCAGAGATGGATCAGACACAGTCTCCAGGCATCTTCCTCACAGGCAGCTCATCACAGGAGTCCCTGCCTGGATGGAGGCTGTGCGGGATGTCGGGGGAGGGTCCCCCTGGTGGGGAAACAGCAGGTGGGGCTGCAGGGAGGGGGAAGGCTTGAGTGAAGGCTCTGGGGAGGAGGAGGCCTGGGGCCTGCAGGGCCTGGGTGACCAGAAGCACCAGGTAGCCGGAGGAGCTGGTGCTGCTGGGGCTGGGAGAGCAGAGACAGAAGGCACAGGCACCAGCACCTTGTCCAGTTGACGCCATAAATCCAGGACATCTAAGCACAGGAGTGCCTTGGCCACCCCATGATATATGGGTGAGCTGCTGGGGCCATTCTCTGCTTCAGCCAAAGGCACAGGCAAGGAGCCAGGCCCTGGACCTGTGGAGCCGGAGAACTCCTTACACCACTGCTGCCCATCCTCCTTCCAGGACACTGCCCCATGCACCCCATGACACCTGAGCTCATGTACCCCCCTGATATCAACATCTAAGGCATCACCCAGCAGAGACTGGACACCACACTCCCCACTCCCCTGACCCACCATAAGCCAATGTCCTGAAGTGCAAAAATGTCCTAAAATGGCTTTTCTTTGAGGGCTTATTTAGACCATGCCTTTCCATCCCAAACAGGGACTTTTTAAAAAATCATAATAGATTTAAAGATATGGTGTTGGTAAGTCCCTGGACTTCCCTCGGCCCCAGTTTCCACCTCCCCATCTATAGCGTCCTTAGAAGTAGGGTGGAATCTACCAGTAATCAAAAAATGTCCTTCCAGCTCTGACAATTTGGGATTCATTGGTGTTGAGGAAGCAGCAGATTGTCTTTTTAGATGGGGCCCAGCCCATCTTACCTCTCAGACAACTCAAGGGTTCCAACTGGAGCTCACAGGATGAGAGGCAGCATGTCCCCAATAAGCCAGGGAGACTGAGGGCTGCCCACTGCCCTCCTGAGAGAAGGAGGGTCCCTGAAGAGGTTCACAAGTCCAGGCTTCCACTCAGTAACAAGAGCAAGTACAGTAGCCACACAGATACTCACCTTTGAACTGGTGATGGAGATGAATATTCTGCTCTAAACTGAATACCAGACCAGGCACAGTGGCTCCCACCTCTAATCCCAGCACTTTGGGAAGCCGAGGCTAGTGGATTGGTTAAGCCCAGGAGTTTGAGACCAGCCTGGCCAACATGGTGAAACTCCATCTCTACTAAATATATAAAAATTAGCTGGGCATGGTGGCATGCACCTGTAGTCCAAGCTACTCCGGAGGCTGAGATGGGAGGATCACCTTAGCCAGGAGGTCAAGGCTGCAGTGAGCAGTGATTGTGCCACTGCACTCCAGTCCATGGTTGGGAAAAGCTAACCTAGAAGACTTAAATGATATGAGAAAAGAGGCCATGTGTTTTAGAGAAATAGTCCTGCCCTGGAAGATAGGGCACCAGGAGCAAAGTTCAAATCTGCCTGGGCCTAAAGTGGAGAGAGCCCTGCCTATTGAAACCACCTTTGCAGAATTGTAAGTAAAGAGAGAAATCTAACACGAATGACTCCATCTTGCTTCTAACCTCACAGGCTAAATTGGTTTGTTTGATTGTTTGTTTGCTTGTTTTGCTTCTTGTCATGCAGAGGCCAAGATAACTATGAGAAGAATTTCGTTTATAGTTAAATTTGAGGCAAGGGAAACTGATCCTCCTCCTTGTTTAGAGACTGAAGCTGCATCCGTACGACAAGATTAGAATTATGGTAGGGGATTGAACTTTGCTAAAGAATAGTCATCATTAACAATGACCTGCCATTGCTTAGTTTGTTTTTCTACAGGTTGCTTCCTGCCCCAGAGTCACACAACGAGGGGTTGCAAGATTTCTAACTTCTCCAGGTACTCCTATAGAGAACATCACTATTGTGAAACCTAAAGAATCACTCTTAAGCCGGGAGCTGTGGCTCATACTTGTAATCCCAGCACTTTGGGAGGCCAAGACAGGTGGAGCACCGGAGGTCAGGAGGTGGAGACCAGCCTGGCCAACACAGTGAAACCCCGCCTCTACTAAAAATACAAAAATTAGTCGGGTGTGGTGGCACAAGCCTGTAATCCCAGCTACTCAGGAGGCTGAGGCAGGAGAATCACTTGAACCCAGGAGGCAGAGGTTGCAGTGGGCCAAGATTGCCCCACTGCACTCCAGCCTGGGCAACAGAGCAAGACACTGTCTCAAAAAAAAAAAAAAATTGCTCTTTGAGATAGTTTTCAGATTTAGCATTTCAGTAGACAAAGAGACACCTCCTGGTCCAGAGACCACCTTCCCTCCTGGGAAATGACTCAGCTGCACAAAGACAGTTTTAGCTGCCCCTGTGATTTCATCCCCAGCCAATCAATTGTCTCAGTTCTCCAGCCCTCTGCCTGCCAAAGTACCCTTAAAAAACCCTAGCCTCTGAATTCTCAGAGAGGCAGGTTTGAGAAGTTTCTCCCGTTCTCCTCGCTTGGCTGGCCCTGAGATTATTAAACTCTTTCTTTGCTGCAACCCCTGCTGTTCTCATTGGTTTTTTCAGGACAGCAGGCAAGAAGGACCCATTGGGCTCTGACACTATCTCACAGGGTTGGGAGAAGGGATCCCAAACAGAAAACTCATGCAGCTTTCTACCCACAAACGTTTACTGAGCACCTACTTTGTGTATTATACTCATTGCTGGAAATACAGAAATTAATCCCTCCAGAAGCTCACCCTCTAGCAGGCTCTGCCTTTGCCTCTTAAGAGTTTAGTGGCCTTGGGCAAATGGCAGCCTCATCATAGAAATGGAGGTAAGAGTAGAAACCTACCTTCTAAAGTTCTGTGAGGATTTAGGGAGTGAAAGTTTGCACAGCATGCCAGGAGCTCACCGCGGGCTGCTATGACCATCAGTGGGAATGACAGATGTTATCAACAGGTCCTTACAAGGGCTGACAGAATGTGTTGAGATGGAGCTGAGAGCCCTGAGAAGAAGGAGGGGTCTCCATGGAGGGCACAGGGGACACTTTGAGGGGGACTCTTTGAGGAGTTAAAACAAGAGAGGGGAATAGATACCATGTGTGGAGACCAGGCATGAGAGAGCACCCAAGTGTATGAGGTGAGAAGGGTCGTAAGGCTGGAGTTGGCCAGGGCGGTGTGGAGAGGAAGACTGGGCAGGTCATGGAGGACTCTGGACCATGCTCAGGCTATGGACTTCTCTTTGGAGGCCACTGAGGAGCCGGAGGGAACCTCTACACAGGGTTGTGACATTCTGAGACTTGAGTTTTAGGAAGCCAGCATCAGTTGCAGGTGAAAGATACGTACAAGATGCAGATCTCAGAGCAGGAGATGAGTTAGGAAGTGGAATCTGAGTTACACTCAGGTGGGACACTCTCTGAAAACCTCCCAGAACGTTTTCATTTGTGGTATGCGGGGAGTGGGCAGGAAGTCCCTAAAAAGACAACCGGATTTTTTCTACCTGTGAAGACTCAACTTGTGGGTGGGTGGGTGGGTGGGTTTGTAGAATGCTCATTGACATCACTGGGGCCCAGGTCAGCTGGTGAAGACACTTGATCAGCCCACAGAGACAGGTGCCTGAACCAGGGCCAGTGGGTTTATTCACAGTGACAAATGGGGCTGCCAAATGGCCGTCATGCCAGACCTCAGGCCAGTGCAGCCCATCCTAAGGGAAAGTCTAGGTGCAAGCCAACGCTTCCCAACTCAAGCTGATTGGAGAATGCAAAGCCAAGTCCAGGGAATGGGGGGGGGCCATGGCCACAGCCAGGGTCCTTGAGTGGCTGCCCAATCCTGGAGAGCTCCACCATGGGGATGGGCCTGCAAGTAATCAGCCATCCACTAGTTCCTACAGGCTGTCTCACCCCGAGGCCTCCTACCCTAAAACCCAATGAAGACGACTCCCTTTTCTGTTAACCATAAGGGCATTCCTTTCTGTTTCTACTTTGCTGAGAGTTTATCATAAATGAATGTTGAGTTTAGTTGCCACATCTGTCTGATATTTATCTGAAATTCTCTGAATGTGGTGACTGACACTGATTGACTTTTAAGATAAAACCAACTTTTCATTCCTGGGATCAAACCCACTTGGTTAAGGTGTATTATCCTTCCTATATATTACTAGATGCAATTTGTTAATATTTTGTTAAAGACTTTCACATCTATGTTCATGAAAAATATTGGTCTATAATTTTCTTTTCTTATAATTTCCTTGTCAGGTTTTGGTATCAAAGTTATGCTGGACCCATAAAGTGAATTTAAAAAAAATTCCTCGGCAGGCCACAGTGGTTCATGCCTGTAATCCCAGCACTTTGGGATGACAAAGCATCCAAAATAATAATAATAATAATAATAATAATAATAATAATAATAATAAGATACAAAAACATTCTTTCCTCTTCTGCTGTATTAGTTAAATAATGGTGTTATTTCTTTCTTAAATGTTTGACAGAATTTACCAGTGAAACCATCTGGCTCTGGAGTTTTCTTTCTAGGAAAACTTTTTATTAATTCGATTTCTTTAATACCGGCACCATTCAGATCTACTATTACTTCTTCTTTTTTTTTGAGACAGAGTCTCACTCTGTCTCCCAGGATGGAGTACAGTGGCGCAATCTCAGTTCACAGCAACCTCCACCTCCCAGATTCAAGAGATTCTCCTGCTTCAGCCTCCCAAGTAGCCGGGACTACAGGTGTACCACCATGACCAGCTAATTTTTGTATTTTTAATAGAGATGGGGTTTCACCATGCTAGCCAGGCTGGTAGGCTGGTCTCAAACTCCTGACCTCAGGTGATCTGCTTGCCTCGGTCTCCCAAAGTGCTGGGACTACAGATCTTTAGATAGAGGGTGTTGAGTGATTATCAAAATCAATATCTTTATCCTTACTAGAGACATAGCAATAAGTAAACAAGGGCTCTTTCTTATATGTCTCTAAAAAGAAGCAAATGTCTTCATACCAAAACACAAATCAGCCCCAGAGATGCTATTAATAATACCAGACAGTCTTGCTGGTCTGGCGTAATGAAGGTAGATCTTTGGATATCAAGAGGCATAGATGTTGCCTTCTAGCAATTCTTTATAAATATTGCATCTCTCAGCTACAAGTGGATAGATCTGGAGCTACAGTCAGTTCAAGATTGCTGGTCAGTCAGGGAGCCATATCCCAGACAGTTGGTCAAGCTTATGTCTTGCAGCCAGTGCAAGACAGTCACACATGGTGAGGACAGTCCCCCTCCTCATGCCAAGAAACCTGCAGACAGGGGAAGTGAGGTCTTAAACATGAGCTGCCTGATTCTCTTTGCTGGGCACCCTGAAAACAAATACCGTCCTTTCTCCCACTGCAAACCTTGATGTGAAAGTTTGGCCTCACTGCACTGGGTGAACAGACCCAGTTCAGTTCAATAACACCTCCAGAACTGGACTCATCATTCTGATCTCATGGAACACTCTCATCATTGGTGGTACTGGCTTCAGTTTATTTAGTGGTTTTGTTCTGTAGTTACTTGCTTTTAAGAATGTACTAAGCTCCACTCAGACCAAAGCCAAGTCCCTGCCGTGGTCATCCAGCCCCCCACAGCCTTCCCCATTTCTTTTTTTTTTTTTCTTTTTTCTTTTTTCTTTTTTCTTTTTTGAGATGCAGTTTTGCTCTTGTTGCCCAGGCTAGAGTGCAACGGTGCAATCTCAGCTCACTGCAACCTCCACCCTCTGGGCTCACGCGATTCTGCCTCAGCCTCTCGAGTACCTGGGATTACAGGCATGCACCACCACACCCAACTAATTTTGTATTTTTAGTAGGGACAGGGTTTCACCATATTGGTCAGGCTGGTCTCGAACTCCTGACCTCAGGTGGTCCACCTGCGTCAGCCTCCCAAACTGCTGGGATTACAGGCATGAGCCACCGCACCTGGCCTCCATTTTTTTAATATTTTAGGTTGATTGTAGTTTTTTGTTTTGTTGTTGTTGTTGTTGTTGTTTTACAAGCCAGAATGTGTGGTCCCTCCTGCTATTGGTCCTTTTCTTGGAAGCTGTATCCAAGAATTTACAATGTCAAGAGGAACAGGAATGCACCTTAGGACCTCACTGTGCACCCAGTTCACAGGGATGTACATTCTTTTAATGGGTCCAGCTGGACGCAAGCCCAACTCCTCAGAGGAAGGGAACCTGCATGGAAAGCCGCGCCTCAATAACCACGATGACAATAACCGAGATGTCCTCCCAGAATCAGCACAACGTGGGCACCCAGTAAATATCACCCAACACAGTGATTGAAACTGACTCAGTTCCACCCACATGGAAACCCAAGAATGAACAGAAGCCAGCCTGAGAAAGTCCTCTTGTGTCATACAGCCCTGCTCACCCCTCCACCTAGTTCCTACCACAGCACAGTTCAGTTATGAGTGGACATCACTGTTTCCCCTGCCGGAAGTGAGCCACTTGCAAATGGTAGACAGGTGGATAAATGACAATGAAGAGGTAGTGGCTTTTTAGGAAAAGTCCTCTCACACTCTTAGATAATACAGCTGAGGGCAGATACCAGCTGGCATATGATAAACCACTACCTTGACCTTCAAGCCATGATCTGACCTTCAGACCCTGCTTCACCATTTGGAGCTGTTTACCAAGGAGCTTAATTCCAGCAGAACATCTTCACAGACAAAACCCCCAGAAACGCTGCATTCTCCCAACAAGTTCAACATTACCTGATCATCAGAGATAGCAGTAAATCCTGTTGGGTCATCCTTACCCAGGGGCCAAGAAGATGACATCTTTATGATTTAAGAGAACTAACCTTAAACCATCTTTTTGTCCCTTTTGTACTTGAATACTTTTTACAATAAATGGTACCTTAGATCCATGACTACTGCTGAATAGGACTTGCTGGAACATTGTTCCTAAACCAAGCTTTGTCCCAGAAAAAAAATCATTTCTGAAAAGCTGCAACACAATAAAACATTCTTCAACATTGTTATAAAATTCTCAAGACCCTTACAAATGCACAAATGGGTTCCGGAAGCTTCAAAACTAGATGCCCTGACTACTTTTATTATGATTCAAAAAATGGTATGAAAATACCGCATTGGAGGTAGTTTTATTTTTGATTAACCCTAGAACAGTCAATCAACCATGTTACCCTAAACAGCACTCTGGAGTCTGAGGACCCACTATTAAATTTAAAGGTACAGATAAATGTCCAAACTATGGATGCCCAAATGTGGAATCTGAAGCTGTTAACATCATCTCTGTCATGTCCCCCTCTCATCATTTTTATTGTTGCAAAGTTAGAAGTAGGGTGAGTCATCTCCCTCCCATTCAGGGGCCATGTCCTCATCTGCAGCACAGACTCTGCGAAGGCATCCAGCAGGTGCTCTCTAATTCTGCTGGTCCTGGCAGAGGGAAGGCATCTCACCCTCCATAGACTGTCCACCCAGACCAGAAGTCATAGCACCCTGTGAGCTCACTGTGGGTCACCTGCCTTTTCACCAGAGCAGTCAACCCTAAGAGGAGGCTGCCGGTCCATTGCGCACACACTAGTCCAGCGGGCTGCAGCCAAGCATTCCAGGCAAAATGACAGCCAACTGACATCCTGAAGGGAGAAAGGATCTCTCAGAAATTGGGCAGCTCTTCTGCCCCCTCCCTCTAAGCCAAGCCCCCAGATTCACCCACTTCAGCCTCCACTCAAGAACAAGGGCCTCAGCCCCTCCTGTCCTGCTGGCTGCATCTCCTCTTCCCAGCCTCGGGCCTCGGCCCCAAGTGAGCTCTGTGCTCTTTAAAGCCCATGGCTTTAAATGTCCACATCCAGCCCAAACCTTCCCAAGGTCCAGACTCAGCGGTCCAACTGCCCTGCTGGCTTCCCTCACTGCCCTATGTCATCGCATCCTGTGGCTGGAGCACCTTCTGGACTGGAAGACTTCCTGTCTGGTCTTCACCATCTCAGAAAACAGTAAGGCCCAGGAGATAACCTTCATCCCTCCCTCCTCCACCATCAACCCACCCCTCTGCACCCCGCACTGTGACACCAGCACACCTGCTGGGGTCTCCCTTGGACTCCCTGAGATCCCCCCAACCTCCTTGCCCTGCATTGCATCCTGCATTCTCCACAGGGGTCACAGTGGTCTTCTAAGGTGGAAATCACAGAGGCTGAAACTTGCAAATGCTTCTCCCCACACCAGAAAAATCTTGCCCGCCCCACCCCATCATTCGCACACCCCTCACCCATTCCTCCTTCAAAGTCTTAACCCTCGCCCTCCTTTTGGGGACACTAAGTCCAGGGTGAGTATCGTAAGTCTGCAGTAGTTCTCAAACTTAAGAATCACCTGGGGAGCTTGTAAAAAATACCAACTTCTGGGTGGCTCTGCCCCAGACCAGAAAAGTGGGCACCAGCCAGGTGGAAACTGGACACCCGGCTGAGCTTGATACCTGCAGTCATGGAGCCTGGTCCGAGGCCCTGAGGGCCTGAGGGTCTAAGGGTCCTCAGTCTTAGTCCTACTAAAGTCACCTCAGGGGCACCACACCTGAGATTTTGACGTAGTTGGTCTTTGGGGATAGGGCCCCAGACTGGAACTTTTACAAGCTCTGCAGGTGACTCTAATATGCAACGAGGGCTGAGAACCTCACTGCTCTCGACCACTGGTTCCCAAACCCAAGCCTCAGAACCCCCTGGAGCACTGTTAAAATGACAAGTGCTGGGCCTGCCCCAGAGTTTGTGGTCCAGTGGTCCGGGTGGAGCCAAGAATCTGTGTTTCTAACAAGCTCCCCAGCAATGCTGCTGGTCCACAGACCCCCTACTTTGAGAAGTGTTGCCAAGACCTTTCCCGTTCAGGCTGCGGCTCACACTTGAGCTTCTCAGAAAGGCCCGGCCACCTTAGCTGAACATTGGTTTAGTTTCCAATCTGTTGCTACAGCAACAGTGCTGAAGGGAACATCCTCATACATGTTTCTTACACTGGAATATTTCTCTAGGGCTGCTGGTTTAAACAGAATGCCTCTCTTTTTCCATGGAGACTGCCAAAAGATTCACCAAAAAGTAAATTAATTTATAATCAAACCAGGACCATTTCAACACACCCCTACTGTATTAGCCTGTTCTCACACTGCTGTAGAGAAATACCTGAGACTGGGTAATTTACAAAGAAAAGAAGTTTAATGGGCTCATGGTTCTGCAGGCTGTATAGGAAAGCAAAGTGGCTTCTGCTTCTGGGGAAGCCACAGGAAACTTTCAATTATGGCAGAAGGCGAAGGGGAAGCAGGCACATCTTACATGGCTGGAGCGAGAGAACAAAAGAGAGAGGTGGGAGGTGCCACATGTTTTTAAACAACTATCTCCCCATTGACTGGTCAGAGCCCTTGTCGTGGTCATGCTGGGTGCTAGATACTTCACATACTAATCCCCATTGTGTGTGTATAAACATATCTCATGTAGTTTGATATAAGGCTGGTACTTTTCTTATAATTAATTTGTAAATAGTTTGTGGTTTCCATTTTTATTTCTTATTGAATCCAAGATTATATAGAAGGCTTTTTTAAATTTCCAAGTGAAAATGAAACCAGTCCAATTGTCCCATAGAACTGATGTTTTTGTTTTTTTGAATTAAAATAGAAATTGACTGTCCCAGTCTTAAAAATTTGAGAAATGTACATTTGTCTTTCCTGAGTTCCAAACATCAGGCTTCCCAGATAGTATCAAGGACCTGAAACTCACCAGATCACTGCATCTGGACGATGAGACACCAGACCCCTCACCCATCCTGATTGTTGATATGGTTAGGCTTTGTGTCCCCACCCAAATCTCATCTTGAATTGTAATCTTCATAATCCCCATACACACCACGTGTCAAGGGAGAGACCAAGTCGAGGTAATTGAATCATGGGGGTGGTTTCCCCCATACCGTTCTCGTGACAGTGAGTTCTCACGAGATCTGACAGTTTTATAAGGGGATCTTCCCCGTTCGCTCAGCACTTCTCCTTCCTGCCGCCTTGTAAAGAATGTGCCTTGCCTCCTCTTCACCTTCCACCATGATCATTAAGTTTCTTGAGGCCTCCCCAGCCATGTCTCACGTTAAACTGTGAGTCAATTAAACCTCTTTCCTTTATAAATTACCCAGTCTCTGACAGTTCTTTATAGCAGGATGAAAACGGACTAATATAATTGCCTAACTGACCACCTGCTTCCTGTTGACCAACTCCTCTTCCTTAACCCTCGCTAATTCCTCTTTTCCCACACATAGTCACATTTCTTCCCTGCTCTATAAACCCCGAATTTTAGCCAGTTGAGGAGACAGATTGGAGACTGCTCTCTCGTCCTCATCAGCTGCAGCACCCAGGTAAAGCCTTCTTCCTTGGCAATACTCCATTGTCTCAGTAATGGGCTTTCTGTGCAGGCGAGCAGTAGGACCTAGACCAAACCCCTGGTGTTTCAGTAACAAAAAGATTGTTTTCTTTTGCCTATTTGTCCAAGAATGTGGCCAGCATCATTTTAATTTTTTGTCAGTTTCTCATGGATATTCAAAAAGAATGAATATTTTCCTTTGGGGGTGTATTGACAGATAAATGGAGAGACAGATGATAAATATTAGATATATATTATATGAAGCTTATTATTCAAAACTTGTATATACTTACTTTTTCATGTGTGTTTACTTAATTCCTTGATCTTTTAATTCCTGAAAGAGATCTATTGCAAATCTCCCATGGTGATTATGAACTGGTGAATTTCTCCTCCTGTCTCCAACAATCCTGCTCTGAATCCTTTGAAGCTATGATGTTATATGCAGCTGCTTCTCTGCATCCTACAGTCCTACCTATCATCTAAGACCTGGCTTCAATGCCACTTCCTTTGTGGGCTCCTCGAGGGCGTGGAGCTGAGCCTAAACTAATCCTCCATGGACGCCCTCTCTCCACCTACCTCTCCGAGGGACTGGCCTCATTCTGCTCTTTAGGGAGCAGTCTGTGTACAAGTCTCATCTCCAAGGCTCCAAGACAGATAGCCCTTGAGAGAAAAGAGGGTGTCTTTATGAGCCTCTCCCCCTCACAAGGCAAGACACTTGTTTAATTAGTGCTAGGTAACTGAAAGAACATTCATACTTCCCAGATAGCTAATTGATCATACCTAATATCTATTTGTTGCTGATCCCTTAATTGAGAACTCAATCCTCCAACCGTAAAATTAAAAGAACGCCCCTAGAGCAAAGCAAATTCCTATAACAAAGAGGCTTCCATGAATGTAGTGTATTGTGAGCACAGTGCCTGACTTTGCTGGAAAAGCAATGATACGATTGTTTCATCTTGTGATTATTCCACCACCATGAACCAGTGCAGCTGTGGAACAGAGTCCCTTTCACATCCTTCTGAATGAAACTGCTTGGAAACAAAACATATGGAGCATAGATGCTTAAGGCAAAGGAACATCTTTCTCTCCAGTTGGATCCATTCAACATTTACTAATGTTTAATTTTAGGCAAACCCATGGAAGGCATTGGTGGGTAGAGCAGGAGGGTTGAGTGAGGATGAGTGGCTGCAGGCTGAATCCAACACAGTGCCTGGGGGCAAGCGGCTTGAGTGCATGGAAGTTTACACACCTACAGGAAGCTCCTAGCAGTGCCTGGTTCTTTGTGGGGCTCAGCAGATTTTAATAGAAATGTACTGGAATAGGGACATGTTTGATTCACTGAGGAGACCCAAAGGAATGTTCTGGGCCACTTGGGGTCAGCAGCGCCAGAAGCAAGGTATACAATGACATTGGCATGCAAGAGGAAGATTGTTGCCTCCGGTCAAGGTGGGAACAAAGCGTCCAGGCCCCTTACTGTCTTCCATTCTGAGTTCCACAGGCTGTCACAGCCAGGGACAGAGAAATACATTAGAAAACCTAACTGTGGACAAGCATGATCGCCCCCCAGGTGTCCATGATAGGCCTGCCGGCTCATTACCATGTTGATAATACCCAGAGGTCCAAAGCCCCAGGGGTCACTCTGCCAGTGAGTGTAGTTTGTGGAAAAGCAGCCACAGAGGATTCCAGACAGAATGAGGGTGACTCAGGGAAGGACAAGAAGGGTGGGGTCCCAGGATGCACTGAGGCCCCCTCGCAGATCCACTGCATGACTGACAGAGGAAACTGAGATGGGATAGGGGTGTGGGGGGATTTCCTGCAGCTCCTCAGCAAATCAGGAAAGGAGCCAGGCCCCAGTGCTGAAGCCAGCCCAGTGCACGGCCTCCCAGTCCTGCGAATGGCTGGTGGCCTAAGGCAGGCTCCTGTCAGGAGGTTCAGGCCGGTGGGGTCCACATGTGGCCAACGACATGCTTGGTACAGGTAGGTCAGAGGTGCCGAAACTGGTCTTTTCCGGTCATCTCTTCCACTTTCCTGGTCAGCTCCTTGACTAAGGCCTGCACCTTCAGGAGGCTTCTTCCTCCCAGTGGCCTGTCCTCGCCGCTTGGTGCTGACTGATCACCCTCCATTTGCCGGAATCATTTCAACTATATTTGAAGTTGAGTTAATCCAATTTTAACTGAATTTGATTTAAAAAAAAAAAAAAGGACAGGAAGGTTTTTTTTGGTTTGTTTTTGTTTTTTGTTTTCTTTGAGAAGGAGTCTCACTATGTGTCAACCAGGCTGGAGTGCAGTAGTGTGATCTTGGCTCACTGCAACCTCTGCCTCCTGGGTTCAAGCAGTTCTCCTGCCTCAGCCTCCCGAGTAGCTGGGACTACAGGTGCTCACCACCATGCCTGGCTAATTTTTTTGTATTTTTAGTAGAGACGGGGTTTTACCCTGTTAGTCAGGATGGGCTCAATCTCCTGACCTCATGATCCGCCTGCCTCGGCCTCCCAAAGTGCTGGGATTATAGGCGTGAGCCACCACGCCCACCTGGAAGTTATTTTCAACCAGCTCTCTCCTCGACCTTGCTTCCTTGGTAACCATGGCCAGGAGTGGGCCTCCTGGACGTCAGGCGGTTTTCTGGTGGGTAACAGTGCAGGCCCCATGCTCCTGCGGTCCTGCTTTCCTTCTTCCCTTCAGTTACCCCAAAGCAGGCTCTACATATTCGGCCCCCACTTCTGCTCCCTGGTGCCAGGTCTTGTGCGCCCTCCCGGGTGGCTGCTCCATCGCTGTGTCTACACATATGCCAGGCGTGTAACCAAAGCTGACACATGCATCACAGGCCCCCTGGCCGCAATGCCTGTGATGCACGAGCCCAGGCCAGTCCGAGCAAGGACACTGAGGGAAGGGCTGTAGGGGCTTGCAGGGAAGGGGGCACCAGGGTATTAAGACAGTGCCTTGAAATGCCAGCCGGCCTCTCTGTGTGAACAGAGATGGACACAGAGCTCACAGCCCTGGCAGCAAGGGGTCAGGACGGAACATTCTCCCGCTCAGGGAGGAAGGGTCACGCTGCCTCAACGGCCAATAGAGCAGAAACCACCCTGAGGGAAGCGGAGGCTGGCCCAGGGCCTGAAGGAAATAGAGATGCCTGTGTGAGGGAGGGGCCCTCCGTCCCCTGACAGACCGTCCTTCCCTGTCAACAGGAAGCCAGAGTTGAAGTGGATGCCCCCAGCTCCCCTCCACTGTCCCCACCCATGGGGTGAGGTGGGGCTGGTCCTCCTGCCCAAGACCCCTCAAGATCCCTCGCTTCTGCCATGTGCTGCTCCCATCATGTGACCTGCACCTCTAACACACCCTTCCCATATCTCCCATTGCTCTCTGTAAAACAGCCTGGGCCAGCAGCCTCTGGCCAGTCCACTTCACTCCTCAGCACCCCTCAGGAAAATCCAGGCCCCCACCCTCCAGCCCACTCCTCTCACCCGTGGACTCTCTCGCTTCCTGGAACCTTATCCAGTAGTCTCACGGAGGTGGGGGATTTGAGTGTGCCCTGGAGCTCATGGTCTGCTGTGCCAGTGGGCATCGAGAGGGCCAGGAGCTGCCCAGTGCGTGGCTCTCAGCAGGCAGGGATGAGGCTGTGGACAAGTAGTGCCTCGCCTTCTCAAGGACCATGTTGGAAGCCAACCCCTCGCTCCTGCCTGGAGCTCGGCCCCTGCAGCGCAGAGCTGCGTGGGGGTGAGCAGTGCTGGCAACCTGCTCCTCCAAGGGGCATCATGTCAAGATGCCTTGATTGGGAGCTAGAGAGAGAGAACCCTGTCTTCTTGGACTCTGGGTTGGGGGCGGGGGGGTGGGGCAGGTGAACCAGTCACAGCTCCAGTGCTACAGATGCTCCTGTTCTTACCCAGATTTGACACATTTTCTTTAATAAATGTTTCATTTGCTGTGTAGCCTTAAGACAATTTCCAGAGACTTTAAACGGTTGTCTGGGGTTTTTTTATGATTTGCACTAGTTATGGTTGTTTGGTCCATGAAGTTCTCATGTCATTTCGGAAGCAGTTCCTCTACATTGTTTTATATTCTACTTTTTCACTTTATATATATCAGAAGAAATTCCATGGGCTCTTAAAGCCTTTCCAACCCACTGGGGTCTTAAAAGTGAACAAAATCCCATCAGTTGAAAAATTCAAATCTATTTCATCAATAAATGCCTCCCCCAGTGAGTAAGGACAGGAGCACCCTGAGTGAGCATCACTGGCCACATCCTCGGGGCTGAGTCTCGGCGTGGACTTGAAGCCTGTTTTAGAGCACGCTGTACTCAGGCCTTCAGAAACCTGCCAGAGAGGGTCAGGAAATTTCCTTCTTAATTCCGCACAACCACTCTTCAGATGGAAGTCAGAGTCCTCAAGGACCCCGTTCATGATGCAGCTGCTCGGCCCCCACGTTGCCTGGACTGCCCCAGGTACCATCAGTAATTGCCAGGCCTGATGGAGAGGCAGGTCTGTGTTCTAGAGATCTCCCCTTTTGGCAACATAACTTCTTCAGGCCTGGATTTCTGCAGTCTGGCAAGTCCACTCCTCAGTCATGAGAACTGGCTTGCAGACCACACATGGGGCAATTTCAGGGAATAAAGGTCACCTGCTCCTTAACAAGATGCTCCCATAGGCTCAGCCTCCAGTGAATGAGGTCAACAGCTGCCACCACAGTGACCTCAGTGGCAGGTCCCATAGACCGGTGCAGGATATCCTCTGCCAAGGATAAAGATGGCTACCCTCTAATAGCTGCCCTCACTACAAACCCTGTGTACTCCCAGGTTTTGTTTGCTGAGTAGTCAGGGGTGAGGTGGACAAAAAGAATTCACACTTCCATTGATGAGCCGTTGCAACCCACTGAAGTGCCTCTGCTAAGGCCACTGTACAAAGAGTAGCTGTCTTGTTCCGTGTTGTGTTTTGATATGGAGAGTCTCTCCCTTTCCCTACAGGGCAGAAACAGCGGCTCCCTTCCCACTGTCTCCCAGAGCCTTGCATGGCGCCCAGTGCAGAGCGGTTCTGGAATCAGAATGGGCTGGAGGGAGCAAGTTACACAGAGGCCCCATGAGAGAAGCCATCAATGACTTAAATAATGTGCATTTGCAGAGACCTTCATCCCCAAACCGTCCCCTCCTGCCTCCTCAAATTGGGCCCTGCTCACACTTTCAGTCCCACCTGACCCACACAGCCTGGGCTCCACCCACACCATGTTCTTGCACATCTCTGAGCTTCTGTTCATGACACTCTTCTCCTGCAGTGGAAAACTCCTACTCACCCTTAAAGATCCAGCTTAAAAACCCTCTCCATCAACCATCAACCTTCCTCAAAATCCCCGGAGGAACCTACCTCTCAGCTGCCTCACTCACTGTGCACACTGCATTTGGGCCTTGCATATCTGCCTCTCCAACAAGTCGGGGAACCCTTGGGGGTCAGGCTGTGCCTTGTATGTCTCTGTGATCCCCACAGCTCTCAACACAGTGGTGCAAAAACCTTGGCAGATGAAATGATTAAAGACACAACCCAGCCACAACAGTCCCCAAGAGTTGCTGGCATTCACTCTTCTCACTTACGAGTAGTAGTATTTTCACGTGACAAAGGGCATGGACTGTGGCAAATGTGTACAACCCACACAGGGTTCAGCCATCATCTTGCTGTAGTTGCCAACACTTTGTACACACAGTCACACACACACTCAGGAATATACACTCACATGTACCCACATGCACGCTCATGAACATATGCTCACACATATACACACAAATATACACATCCACACACACTTATACACACACGCATACTCATGGCGGCTGCTTCCTATGAGCGGTCATTCCCACGTTAATTCTAATCACCTGTGACGCCAGTCCAGTCCTGAAGCTGAGCCACAGGGGGCCTTTCAGGGCTAAGGGTTGATTCCTTCTTCAAGGAGTGAAGCAGGTGGGGTCTTCTGGGTGTGTCCAGAAAGGAAGACCTGTGGACCACAGCTGGGTTTGCCCAGAGAACAGACTCGGGGATGAGTCCTCCACCCCCATGAGGCAGGGCTGTGGCTGCACTCCACCACAACCACCATGGTGACCCGAGTACTAAGGCTGCACCAGACTGACCGCCTGGGCCAGTCACCCTATTAGAGGACCCCGGCAGCCTTCTGCATGCCCGAAACTTGCCACAGTCAGGAAGGGACCCGCTCTGGCCAGAGGAAACCCATGCAGGTCCAGGGTCCAGAGGGGCTCCTCAAGGCAGTTGTCACCTCTCAGGGCTGGATTCAGTAGGGCAGCAGGCCAGGAAAATATAAAAGACCACTCTTCAGCAAGTCCCCTTACATTTCTGAGCCTCAATTTCCACATCTGCAAAATGAGACATTAATAATGATTGCGTAAACTGATGAAATGTAAGAGACTTTTAGATAAGGAAGCTCCTAGAATACACACACTATTGCTGCCTCCAACGCACACTCACATGTACACACCAACACACATACACCCTCACACACACGCTCACACACATACACACATACACACATACACACATACACCCACACAAGCACATTCCCTTTGTGGGCCTGGCACCTTAGACCCTTGGTGCCCTGGAGAAAACACATGGAGAAGTAAAAATTGAAAGAAGATTCCAATAGGAAACATGAATAGATATCCTCTTACTGCCTGAATAATTACTTCTCTTTCACCTGATCAAGGCTGAGTAAATGTTGATGTCCCTTCCTGCCTTGTGAGCCTCTGCAGGGTTATGTGGACAGGCCTCCTGGCTCCCTACCCAACTCCTCAATCTGCCCACACAGCAGTGTAGCTGCACCCACCGGCCCTGTCCCTGGTGAGGGAGCTTGAAACTCCTGCCGAGTTTGGAGTTTGCATCGCAGAAAAACTCAAGCTGTCTCCAGAGTGCACTCAGCAAGAGCAGCATCTGACTGAATTAGAGCCTGATGCTTTACCTAGCCTGGAAACAGTGATTGAGGGCCCTGCCCTGGGACCTCCAAGCCTCCAGAACACCCCTCATTGGACCCCATCCCCAGGAATCCAAACCCTCACGGAAATCTCACCAGGCCCCCCAGGACCTCTGTCCTCAGGGAGGAGGTAGCAGATCAGAAGACAGTGCCCAAGAGCTTGGGAGGAGGCCAGAGCATGACTCCAGGCTCACTCCCTACTCAGAGCAGCTTCCAGGGCTTGGGTTCCAGGGGACCCAGGAGGTAGCTGCAGGTGTCCCAGCCCCTTGTTGGGGGGTTCCCTCAGCACATTTCAAGCATTTCTTCAGGGATGCACAACCAGGGGGTGCCTAACACTAGCCAAGGGGCAGGGCTGCACCTCTACCATAGCAGCCAGGAACCCAGTGCAGAGTGGTTCTGGAATCGGAATGGGCTGGAGGGAGCAAGTTACACAGAGGCCCCATGAGAGACCCCAGGATCCACTGAACACAGAGCCACCACTGCAGGCCAGATGGCCTGACACCTGTGGGCACGCTGACCTCCCTGTCTCCACACAGTCACCTCATCGGGCAGATGGTGTCCCATCTCAGAGATAGCTGGCCAAGGCTCAGGTGATGGGGATCGCAACCTTTCATGCCCGGCCAAGGCTGCCCCAAGAACATGGAGTAGACTCAGATTCTGTCCCCTACACTGTGCCCCCAATGGGGTCAGGCTCAGGCCACCCACCCAGACCTCCGGTCCAGTGGCATCCACCATGCAGATCCCCAGTGCCAGAACCTGCCTGCCTGGGCATTGAAGGGGAGCTGGGCCTCTAAAGGCAGAGGAACTACCAGGGTCGTGCCTGCCTCCACTCACAGGGGTCCTGGGATCCAGCAAGAAGATCCTGGATCCAACAGCCCACATGCAAAAGACACAGGTCCACAGAACTGGAGCCTGGACAAGGGCCTGGCCAGAGGCCTGGAGATAAAGCCCCTCCACCTGCTCTAGGGACCCCCCAGGACCAGCATCTGCCTCCAGCCAGACCTGACCAGGGCCTCTCGGTCCCCAGAAAACCCAGGCAGGGGTCCTAGCAAGCCCAAGGCAGCTGCAAAGGGAAAACAGAAGAGAGAGAAATCTTCCCTGTCATCCTCAAACCAATGGGTCAGGGATGGGAAGTGCCCAAGGGGCTGCGAGTAGCTAGGCAAGTCCCTCCTCCTGTCAGGCCCCTCTCCTATTGTAACACTCTCTGAGCCCCCTAAGCGCTGACATTCTGGGATTCCAGAACCTCAGTTGTTCCCTATCTGTACAATATGTACAGGGGACTCATCAGTCCCAAGAGATGCACCGTCTCTCTGAATAACATGAAACAAAACAGGAAATTCCAGAAGTAAGGTAACTTTACTCAGATAAAACACAGATGGTAGCAGATAGAGGCCACAAGCTCATGGGATGCCATTCCAGAGGGCCCCTCACCCACAGAGGAGCCCCTGTAGGAAGGAGGCCCAGGCCCCATCCGCACAGCAAGTCCCGGTGAGGGGCTCTAACACACCCCCACTCCAGCCTCTGGTCATGGACACAGCCCATAGCGGGCACAGCATCATGATGGAATGGACTCTGCAGGCCACGCATGGCTCCTGGGAACCCCCAGCCCCTCCCTTCTCCTCCCAGCCTTTCCAGCTGTCTTCCCACCAGGAGGGCTCGGAGGTCACAGCACGGAACGTCTTCCAAGAGCCCCTGCCTATCTTTCTGCCTGGATGTAGGCAGGAGCTGGGGCTGGTGCAGGAGCCAGGGCAGGAACCAGAGATGGGGTCAAGCAAGGAGTCCTAGTCCAAGCAGGGCCTAGACTGCGGCTAAGGCTAGGCTGGATTCTGTGCTAAGAAACAGCATAGAAACCTGCGGGCAGAGGCTCCGGCCCAGCCTGCGGAGCACAGGATGCAGCAGGTGATTTCTGTGCCCAGCACACAAGCTCTGGCCTTATCACATTTTCCTCCACTGGCCCTAGAATGAGCAAAGAGCTTGGGCGGATAGCCTGAGCCTCAGCCAGGGAGCAGGCTGGCCTCGAGGGAGCAGGTCAGCCCAGGAAGGGAGGGGTCTGCCCATGACCAGGTGGGGTGTGGCCACAGTAGCTGGAGATTGGCAGCACCCACCCGCTCTCCCATCCCCAGGGAACTTTCTTCCAGCTTGCCAGGTGTGACCCACTCCATCTCACCGGGACCCTCACAGCAGCGTGTCGGTGCGTTTGCTGCGCCACACCACCAGGCCAGCCATGGCGACAGTCAGAACGACGGGTATAACGATCAGCGGGATGAGAACCTCGTCTGGGGGGTCCTCCAAGTGGACCCTGTCCACGGTGCAGTTGGAGAAGAACTGCCTGTGGATGCCGGTGATGAAGCCCTGGGCCAGGGGGTTGGGCCAGTAGCAGCCCACGACATTGGCCTCCATCTCGGTGCAGTTGGTGAAACTCTCATAGTACCTGCAAAAGCAGAGGGGGTGAAAGCCAGGCTCTCGCCATCCCCCCTCACACCTGCCCTGACCTGAGGCCAGGAAGATGGGTGGGGTGGCTTGGGTACAGTCCCATTTGGCCACCTATTCACAGCCCAGCCTTGGAAAATCCCCATTCTGGCCACAGGGTCATCTGTGCCCATGACCCATTCCCTGTGTCCCCTGCCCACATTTGCATCACAATGACCATGACTTGCTGCCTTTGAGGCCATGAGCTCCCAGGATCCAGGGTCTCAGCCCAGCTTCCCTGGACCTCTAAGCACTACGCAGGTCTGCCCAGAGGACACACCAAGCCATGCTTCTCCAGGGCCAAAGGGTGCCTGGATCACAGCCGCTTGGACCTGCAAAGCCTTCATCATCCAGGATACCCTAAGAGCCTGAGAGGAGGGTCTCTCTGAGGCCAGGGGCCAGCCACCTCCTAATCAAGTCAGCCTGCCCTCATGTGCCAGGTGGTGGCCAAGTGGGAGTCAGACCTGTGAGCCCCAGTCCCTGCCTCTTCATCTCCTACTCAGAAGTTGCCTCCTTCAGCCCCATCTAGCAGGACATGTGGAGCCCCCTCCTGTGGGTCCCCCTGTCCATGAGATCAAAGATGGGAAGGGCACTCAGCAAACCACCCATGATGCTCCATGACCGCCCAGCACAGGCTCTGGACAGTCCTCATGCTGACCAAGGGCTATAGCCACCAAGACCCAGAGGTCAACTCAGCATAAAGGACTTCCCAGCCACCACCTGTTCCAATGGGCAGCCTGTGGAGGTGATGACCTCCCTGTCATTGGGGTCTGCAAGGCCTAGAGTGGCAGCCACTCATTCAGGATGTTCTAGACGAAGCTAGATGGACTCCTGCCCAGATGCCACCCCCTCTGTGCAGGGCTAGCACTTCCCCACGTCTGTGCTGCATGAGTACAGATGCAGGAGTGTGAAGGGTCCTGCCTCGGCTTCCCCATGGGAAAGTAGCCCATCTCCTCCTTCCCGCGCTGTCCCAGGAGGGAGCCACTGATCTGGCCCATCAACAGGAAAGAGCTGCCTCCTGCATGGAACATCATCTGGGCGTAGATTTCCCAAAGCATCAGAAAGGGGTAGGAAACAGGGACTCTGACCTACTCCACCCAGGGTTCTCCTGGTCTCCCAACCCCATGCCCCAGGAAGGGTCTGGGAAGCCCAGGTACAGTCACTCAGCCCAGCTCCTGACTGATCCAAGGCTGGCTCTCAGCACCTTGGAATGTAGGTCAGACACACACCTGTGCCTTTCCAGGTAGTGTCAGCAGAGAACAGCCAGAGCAAAAGAAACAGCCTCGAATCCAAGTACAAAGCTGTTGGCTCTCCTGGGCCTCAGCCACAATGCAGCACCTGAGACATGCCCAGGCATTAGAGACACCTCAACAGCTAGGTCCATGGACAAACCCTCATCTTCCCTGACCTGCTTCTCCCACAGGGCCTCAGATTCAGTAGCCTGCTGTCCACCCCAACCCCCCGCCAGCTGATCCAGGAGCTGGGGAGCCGTCTAACAACACCCTGCAACAGCCTTCACCTTCAGAAGTTCCCAGCATCTATGTGTGTGATGAGAATCACATGCGGTAACCTCTGTGCCTCCAAAGTCATTCCACTGAACTGCTACCCAGGAATGCCACCCCCCAACAACCATCCCCAGGGCTGAGATGAGCCAGACAGACCCTGGAGAAGACCCTCTGTGGACAGCGAGTCTACAGGGCAAGAGGAGTGATGTCTAGCCCCAGAACCGTCCCAAGAGGAGGTGAGGCAGGGCTGAAAGCCCCTGCTGTTCCCAAACCCCACTCCCAGCCAAAGCTAGGCCACATGGAGAAGCCCACGGAGCAGAGGTAATCCCAGAAGACAGCATGGACAGTGGCTTCAGGCTCAGGTTGCAGAGCCAACATGGCAGGGCCTCTCCAACTCCAGCTCAGCCACTCACCATCTTTGTGGTATGGGCCATGTCATTTATCCTCCCTGGACCTCAGTTTCCTCATCTGTAAGTGGGTTTAATAACACTTATCCTATCAGGTGGTTGAGAGAACCAAATGAGTTGAGGTCCATGTGCCCCAGCAAGTGCCTGGCACAGAGGAGGTCATGGGGTGAGCCCACCCCAGCTGTTAGGTTTGGGGCAGAGCTGAGCACAGCACCCATCTCTGTGGATCCACAAAATCTGCATTTTTGTCACATATCTAGAGAGGTCCACATTCAGTGCTTCTCTAGAAAACCGGGAACTACTTATGATTTATTCATCCCCTGGATAATCTGGGGCCTCTCCACTCCTCCTTCAGTCAGGCTCCCCAGAGCACTCTCCCTAAAAAAGATGCACCACAACCCAGGATGGGAAGGAGAGGAGCCCAGCAGGCTGGAAGCCGGGCAAACCCCCCAGTCAGACTCCCTCTCCCCCCACCCACCTCTGGGGTGTTTGCCCACCTTCCTTTATGTTTCACCACCTGAGTGTGTTCCCAGGCAATATAGTGTTGCATTTGGAAATCCCATAGCAATGCTCCTTAACTGGGTACAGAAGGAGCCCATTGCTGCTATTGGAGGGAGGTTCCCAGGAGAGGACACGCTCTGGTTGCCCCGAGGGGCAATGAGACTCCTCCCCAGGGAAGGCCACAGGCAGGCCATGGGCGAGTTTGGGGAATAGGGTCTTCCCAGCCATGACTCGACTCCTGATGGGGTCGTCATGTGGACCAGTCCTATTGAGGGGAGCAAGCCACCTCTCCTCTAAGCTCACCAAGGCCCACCCTGCTTCAGTGGGGACCAAAGCAGAATGAACATTCAGGGGAAAGAAAGGAGTGTCCTTCATTCTTGACTGAGCTGGGCTGCAGGGCATGGGCAGGCAGTCACCATGTCAGGTAAGCATCAAGTGCCCTCCACCTGGGCCAGGCTGCCTCCACCCAGGGTGTACTGCCACGCTGGGGCACCGCCCTCCCTGGGGCTTCCCTCTCCTGCCTTGGCTCCGCTCCCCAAATCTCATAGCTTCTTTTGTCGTGGTTTGCTCCACACCTTGGCGCACAGCCGCCAGAGCTTGAGAAAGGTATGTGGGAATCAGATGCTGGAGGTGCCACACGTCTGACAGTATTTTCGTTTCTCCCTAATTAGTGGACAAATTGGCGGGAAATAGCACACTAGCTGAGAAATCACAGTCCGAAATTCTCAGGTCCTTGCATCCCACAGTCCTCGGTTTCCAGGGCTGCGGTGGGGGAGCCTGAAGGCCTCTGATCCCCTCATCTCCAACCTAGAGCTCATTTTTTTCCTCCTTCTGGATAGGTGTAGAAGTTTTCCTTTGTTTCCACAGCTCTGATATTCCAGGGTCCATGTGGGACATTTTCCTCCCTCGTGCTAGTACCGGGCAAGCCCTCACCGGCTGCAAGCTCATGCCCTCAGCCCCTGGCAAGGGCCCTTTATCCTTCCATTCTCCTGTTCTCTTTCTAGAATTCCTACTATCTTGGTGTTACGCCTGGACTGACCACTGACCTCCTGATCATCTTCTCTGTCTCTCTCTCCTATTCCTGGGAGATTTCCTCAACATCTCCCTTCCAACCTTTCTATTCCATTTCACTTCTATTGCATCTTCCATTTCTAAACCTCTTTCTTTGTTCTCATTCATCACATGAGAGATAGTTGTTGCCCTCTGAAGATATCAGTCGTGACGTTTGCAGTTTTCTTCTTGGTGCATGGCCCCCGGGTTTGCTTGGTTCCATCTCTCTGGTCTCTGTCCTTCAGGGTCAGAGCCTTAGGTCAGATTTCCAGGGACCCTGCTTGGAAGTGACTCGTGACTGGGAGTGGGGACTGAGAGCTGATGAGACACTGGGACCCTGCAGAAGAGCTTGTCCCCAGAGCTTCCAGGGGTTGGGGGGGTCACTGCTTCTAGGTCCTTCCTCTTGGCTGGTCTCACTCCTCAGAAAGGACAGCTCCAATCCTACCCTAGACCACCCTCCTGGACCCAGTGGCAAAAGATAATGCGTATCAGCCGCTCTCTCCAGCCTCCCTCTCTGGGACACTGTGCCACGTTCTCAATTACATGGGAAGGCCCAGAAACCCTGGTGTCACCAGCTCCAAGAATACACCTCCAGTGTCCAGCTGGGGTGGAGGAGGGCTCTGGACACCTCACTGCTTCTCAGCTACTCTTGCCACTCTCTTGGGAGCTGGTGCTGCCGGCCGGGTCG
Source organism: Homo sapiens (assembly GCF_000001405.40). Lineage (NCBI taxonomy): Eukaryota > Metazoa > Chordata > Mammalia > Primates > Hominidae > Homo > Homo sapiens. Next base: position 45,178,967 of record NC_000007.14, on the reverse strand, counting down.
TGGGAGGGCTCCGCAATGTCAACCTGGCTGTTCCCAGCTCCCCTTTTCCAGCATCAGGTCTGACTTCACCAAGGGCACTCAGTCAGTGGCTCTTGCCCACTCACTCACTGGCTCCTAAATGCCCATCGGGTTGCCTCCACTCCTGTCCTCCCAATCCACGGCTGGACATCTCTATTTAGTCTCTTTACCAAGGCTTTAGCGGGTTACAGAGAGGAGCAAGACCAGAAGCTACGAAGCTATGACCTCCTCTTCCCTGACTCCACCCCCACCAGTGGGTCCATTCCAGGCCTGTGTCCAGGCTCACTGAGGACCAGGAGGAGCCTGCAAAACCCCTTCCTGAATCCCAGCACCCCTTCCCAGCAGACTCAGAATTCCATTCCACTTGGTTCAGCAAGCAGTTCCCCCACAGAGTGGGGCTGCAGATGTGACAGCCTCAAGAAGCCCCCATCTGCTGGGCCACTAGAATGGCCAGGGCCGGGGAGGCTTCCTGGGGCAGGGCCATGGTCAGTGTCTCTACGGAAGACAGGGGCTGGGGTGCTAACATGCAAAAGCATGAGGCCAGCACATTTAGGGTCTGGCAGCAGCCACCAGGGGGTGGCACAAGACTGCAAAGCCAGAGGTGGAGTGGGGTGGGGCAGAGGACTGTGAGGCCATGAGCAATTTCCAAGGAGGTAAGGAGATGAAAAGCTTGGGAAGCTTCTAGAACAAGGGGACCTCCCTTCACTATGAGGTGTTGTCCACAATTACACCTGATATAAACCATTGGAACCCAATTCCTCTAAGTCCTCTGACCACTGAGGACAGACCCAGCCATGACTGGTGCTGTAAGAAAGACACATGACAATGTCCACCCAGCTCCAGCTGTAAGGAGAGGTGGAGCACCCTCCAGGCAAGGCATCCCCCAGGCCAGGGCACCCCCTGGGGTAGGGCAGCACCCACCCCTGGGAGAGTGCACCCCCCAGGCCAGGCCACCCGCAAACTGGACACTCCCCGGGCAGGGCACCCTCCAGGCAGAGCACCTCCCAGACAGGGCACCCCCAGGCCAGGGAACCCCCGAACTGGACACTCCCAGGGCAGGGCACTAATCTGGATCAGGAGGAAAAGCAGGCATGGGGAGGATTCCTAAATAACAGAGGAGAGGGAGAAGCAGAGGCACAGTGTAGAATTGCTAGAACATCAGAGTGAGGATGCGGAATGGGGGGTAGGAAGCTGGGAACCCGCTGTGGGTGTGGGGAGCACAAATGCCGTGGGCAGGGGCACGGCATGGGCGGGGCCGTGAGTGATGTGCCAGGGGGATGTGGGTGGGGTGGCCAGAGCCAAGAGCAGAGTGTGAATAGGAGCGTGGTTGGGGCCCTGGGCAAAGTGTGGGGCAGCACATGAAAGGGCTGTGGGTGGCCTACGGTGGGTTGTGGGTGAGGCATGGGTGAGGCCTTGGGTAGAGTGCGGTCAGGCTGTGGTCAGGCAGTGGTTGGGCAGTGGGCAGCGCTGTGGTCAGAGCAAATCCCACGCCCAGCAGTGGCACTCACACGATGAACTCGGACAGGTTGCACCACTTCCAGACGTCCACCTTGCCCATCATGTCTGCGAAAGCCTTCCCACACAGGGGCAGCCTCTCCAACATGCCTGTCTCGTTGCAGCCGCCTGCTCTGGGACACCCACCTGGAGAGGGGACAGCCATAAGAATTCCACTACAGTTCACACTGGGGATGCCAGGACAGGGGAGGCCCAAGGGGCCATAACTTGAGTACTCACTAGCAAGGCTCCGTTTGCAAGCCTGAGACCGTTCCAGCGGAGTCCTTCACCCTCCACCCTGACCTACCTGTCAGTGCAGAAAGGAGGCTCCACACAGGGACCTGTCCCCAAGACAGGACAAGTCCACCTTTTCACTTCACCGCCTCACAGGCAGTGGCACAGGCAGGGATCAGGCAGTGAGACCCTGGGCCAAACTCCTTGGGAGGTGGTGAGAGGGTCTCAGGCAGATCAGGGCTGGCAAAGAGGCTCCAGTTCCAGCTTAGGAGTCCCAGGGGCCTGGGAACATCCTGAGGACTCTAAGACCTGGGGACCATCCCACTGCCTGCAGGGGCGGCAGAGGAGGGCTCCAGGCCAGTAAAGACCAACCCCTCCCGGTCAAAGACCCCCTCCAATTCTGGGAAACCAGGGGCTGAGGCCACTGCAGGGACTCATGTTCCCAGCAATGGGAATGAGTCCTTTGGACTTTCTCAGGGTCTGACACAAGCTGCTTGTCCCAGGATTTCCCCACTGCCCTTCCCAACCTCTGCCCACCAAAACATCCCCTCCCCTTCCTCCTCATGCCTTTGCTCCACACATTTCCCCATGGGGAACATCCTCCCTCCCACTGAGCAATGCCCCCTGTCCTTCAGGGCCTGTCTCCACGGTCATCCCATTTCCAGACGACAGGACCTCCCTGCTCCTAAACTTCCCTCACCTGACCTCTGCTTTGGTGCTCATCATATACTCAAGAGAGACCCCAGGCATATGTGTCTCGGGTGTGTGTGTGTGTGTGCACGCACAGCCCTGCTGTCTGTGTCTTGGTGTGTGTGTGTGTGTGTGTGTGTGTGTAGGTACACAGCCCTGCCATCTATATCTTAGTGCATATGTGTATGCATACATGAGCATGTGTGTACACAGCCCTGTCATCTGTGTTCCGGCGGCTGGTGCTGGGCTAGAGGAAATACCATGAAGAAGCAGATAAGAAAATGGTTCCAGATTGACATGGGACAGACCTGGCTCACACCCACACTTCACTGGTTACCAGCTCAACCTCAGTTTCCCCATCCGCAAGATGAGGGATACAGGCCCCACCTCACAAGGAGGTTGAGCTGGCTAACTTAGTCTGAAATGCTCAGTGCCACCTCCAGGAACGTATCATTCATTCATTCCCTCAATAAGTCTTGGCTGAATGATAGAGAAAGCAGTGAGCATTTCAGAGTCTGATCTTCTTCCATGTGTGGCTCACCCTGGGCACTGAGCAAGTGCTGAATAAGTCACTTTAATATGGAAATGGCAGGTTTAGACAGGACCACTTTCTGGTGCAGGGACCTGCTCCACCAGAACACAGCGCCCCAGACACTCCTCAAGAGTCATAGCCTGCTTAATGCTAACATTAGGGAAGACCCTGGAAGCCCCTTGGTTGAACAAGCGTCTGATGCCAGCAAAAGGGAGTGGCTTGTCTAAGGCCAAAGGAAGGCTGGAGGGGTCCAGATCCCAGGGTTAAGGGAACTGTCATGCTCAGCCCACCCCCACCTGCAGCAGAACACCTGGAGCACATACAGAGGACAGGTGTTAGCTGGAACCCCACAGAGGAGAACACAAAAGGGCTTGCCAGCTGTTCAGGGTCGTGGGTTCCCAGACTCAAGGCACCTTCTTCCCTTCGTGACTGCCCAAACCTATACCTCAGAATCCAGGCTGACAGCACTGAGAAGGGCCCCTGGGGGTCACAGCTGGTAAAGTTGGACAGAGGACTTGCAGGTCCCAGCAGGTGGTCTGAGAAGCCTGTGTAGGCACTCACATCTCCCCTTCTGTCCATGCAAGCTTCCCCAGGACCCAGGGCATCTTGAGGCCCCAGAGAACCCTGGAGATGGGAAGCACACAGGCTGTGGCTCAGTGGTCAGCCTGCTGCCATGTGTAAGCAGATGGCAAGGACACAGGCTGGGTGAAGTCACCACCATGGCCCCTGGACACAGGGTCAGTGACTGGCTCTCCCAGAACAGGTGTTTCAGGGCCTTCTGGCCACTCTGCATGGTTTCCAGCACCTGGAATGTCCCTGACCCCCACGTTCGCTTGTCTCATCAGCACAGCTGCAGGCCTGGATTCTCTGAAAGGCCACACATCCCACTTAGGGCCCCAACCCCTGAGTGAGCCTCTGGGGTGCTCACCTCTCTTCACAGAAAGGCCATGTGCTCATTCTGTGTCTGTCCCATCCCTGCATGTAGCACAGGTCCCCCACATGGTCCCACAGGGTCTGCACATGGAGATGGTGGCTCAGTACCCACTGTCAACCCAGTGAAATTTATCCAAAGATTTAGCAAAACATCCTGGACCACCGCTATCATGTGTTGCGGACTGTGTTGGATCCTTGGACAAGGGGAGAGGGAGAGGGTCTGGTTCCTGTCTTCAGGACCTGCCATCTGGGTTCCAGGGGGCAAGAGGAAGACACAGGGATCTCAGTCCAACTAGGGGAGTGACTGAAGATAGAGCATATAATAGATGGGGCAGAACCCAGGACAGAGTGTCAGGAAGTCTCACCAAGATGCACAGGCCATATAGGGGCTGCGCATACAGGCAGCCACAGTCAGAAGGAGACCTGAGCTCCGATGTCAGTGGCGGGAAGGGGACATGACCAGGGCTGCATCAGGACCACTGAAAGGGATGGTGCAGTGGCTATAGGGGGATAAAAAATGCACAGGCCCCATCGGGATCACCTAAGAGGACTTGAGCTGCCCGGGTAGCAGAAGGAGCGTGGAGCAAGATGGGTCCAGGTGCCCAAAGCAACATGGCTTCAGCAAATACCAGTCAATGGCCCAGAGATGGACCAAGAACAGCAGCCAGTGTGGGGACAGTGGCCAGCCGCACACATGAGGGCTTGCTGAGGCCATGGGAGTCAGGAGGTCCCTGAGGACCCAGCCTGTACTTTCCCTGGCCCTTAGGCCCCTGTCATCTGTCCCAGACATCACAGCAGACCCCAAGGGCACTATAACACCCACTACACAGATGGAGAGGCTGATGCCCAGAAAGGTTAAGTGTCTCCCAGGGTCACACAGCTTTGGGGTAGTCATCTGTGCATGCCGGGCCTGCTGTCTTCACCCACGGTACCCAAGACCCTCCTGGCTCACTCCTCCAGCCAAAGCACGGTGCTCCCCATCCTGTCTGCTCTCACTGGGCCTTGTCCATTTCCTCAGCTGGGAGTGCCCACTCCCATCTCCCTAGGAGGAAATCCACAGCCCCCACCAACACCCCCACCTCACCCCTCTCCTTGGCAACTGGGCCCCACTGCTCCCCTGCTGTCGAGGCTCTGCTATATGTGTCTGCCCTCCTCCCAGCTCAGGCCTGGTGTCAGGAGGTCCACAGCAGCATTTGCGCCATGAATGTGAGGACCCCAGGATGGTAGCAGTTGAAGCAGTGTGAGCTGTGGGCAAAGCTGCTGACAGTCCCCAAGGGAAAGCAGGTGCCCTGGATGATCAGCCCTGCTCCTTGCAGTCCTCCCCACACTATCAGAAGTGGCAGAAGCCTACAGAGGCTACAGGGAAAGCTACAGCTTTCCCCAGTGGGCAGTCAGCTCCATGCTGGGGTTTCCTCCACTTCCCAAAGCCCATCAGGGCTCACTGGGCACTGGGAAACTTGGACGTAAAAACCACTGCCCACCACCTCCTGCTCAGCTGTCCACAGACACAGCTGGGACCTTCATAGGGAGAAGCCCACTTGGTCCCCACAGGCACCTCAAGGCATGTGTCCTTCCTTCCACAAAAGCAATATTAGAGAGGCCACATTTTTCACCCAAAATCCCAGTTTGTTAGCGGCAGCCTGGACAATAGCCCAGGGTCCTGACACCTGGGCACCACCCACAGCTTCTGATGGACACCGCTTGCAGCTATAGTGTGGATTTTGTAAAAGGCTTATACAAGCCTCACTATATCCTTGTAGAGAAGATAAGCGGACACACTTCCATGTCCAGTCATATGGCAGACGTCTGGACAAACTTTCTACTGAAAACAACTGAAAGCCTGGATAAAATATAAACCATACATTCATAAAATCATCAAGGAGCTGACAAGATGGCAAGAAATTATCAAGCTAAAGACTAGATGGAGTGGAACCCAGAGGGCCATGGATTTGTTGCCCTGGAGGCATCTTCCCAGCCTGGAAAACTGGGGGTGGATAAAGGCCAAGATGAGAAGTCTAATGAAAGGCCCCATAAACTGACATTCAGAGGTAGGTGAACCAGAAATAACTCTTCACCCTCGGCCAAGTAGGAGGAATGGGACCTGGCACTGAGCAGGGAGGGGGACCCCTCTCTGAGAAGTCATAAGCAAGGCTGACCTTCTTGTGGATTCACAGCCCAAATTCACATGACCTGGATGGACCCAGGGAAACCCCAAGTTTAAACTGATCATCATGGACAGGCCCCCGCAGGAGCAAATAAACCCAAACCCTCTCAGAAGGAGGCACCATCATTGCAGCCCTCAGAAAGCTGCCATAATTAACTTCCCAAGGAAAACAAGCAGCTCACAATCAAAAATCAACTAAGTATAACCTCAATAGAAAGACCCAACAAGGTGAAACCCTGTCTCTACTAAAAATACAAAAATTAGCCAGACAAGGAGGCGTGCACCTGTGGTCCCACCTACTCGGGAAGCTGAGGTATGAGAATCGCTTGAACCAAAGAGGCAGAGGTTGCAGTGAGCCAAGATCGTGCCACTGCACTCTAGCCTGGGTGACAAAGTGAGACTCTGTTGAAAGAAAAGAAAAGAAACTCAACAAGGGGGTACAGACTTCTGGGATGGTGGTATGAGAAGCTCATCCTAAGGGCACACATCAAATGAAGAAGGTTATTCAAGAAAATCTACCACATCTCGGGAAGAATAGTGAGAATCTGTGACATTTGAGCCACAACCTGTTCCCACTCCACACCCTACCTCTGGCTGTAGAGCCTGTACTCCAGTGGGTGCAACCACAAATGGAGGTTCTCTCTACCCCAGCTCCCAGTCCTGGGCTACAGTTTCACCCTGGGACAAGCAGGCATGTCCCTCCCAGCTCCAGGTTGCAGGAGGTCTCTTCTTTCTGGGCAGATGAGGCCTAGAGAACTGAGGCTCCCTGCCCCGCCCAGTCCCCACTTCTAAGGTGGAGGTTCTGCACCAGGCATGGCAGGCCAAGAGTACTGGGGCCCCAACCACCCCACCCCAGCTCACTGGTAGGGTGGAGGCTCCACAATGGGAGGAGCAAGCCAAAATCAGGAACTACAGTGTCCCTCATGGGTGCCTGCTTGTGGAGCAGAGATGTCATTCTGGTAGAAGCAGGCCATTGTCCTATCCCCCAGTCCAATACAGTGCCAGGTCCTGCCCAGGGGAAGAGGCAGGCTGTAAGAAGAGACAGATATTTCCATAGCTGTTGCAGAAGGGATTGACTATATTTGGAACAGAACAGAAGTCCATGCCTGAGGGTGTTGTCAAAAACAATGGAGGCAGGCGTGGCATCCCACACCTGTAATCCCATCACTTTGGGAGGCTGAGGTGGAAGGATTGCTCAAACCCAGGAGTCTGAGGCTACAGTGAGCCATGATCATGCCACTGCACTACAGCCCGGGTGACAGAGCAAGACCTTGTCTCAAAAAATAATAACAATAAATAAAATAATTTTTTATTAGACTAAAATAATTTTTAAAAAAAGAAAAAAAATCAAAAAAGACATGAGACTTTGTTAAAGCCTGAATAGATTTTAAAGGATTATATAAATGTCCTCTGACCACAATGGAATAAAATTAGAAATCAAAGACAGGGCTGAGCGTGGTGGCTCACGCCTGTAATCCCAGAACTTTCAGAGGCCAAGGTGGGCAGGTCACCTGAGATCCAGAGTTCGAGACCAACCTGGACAACATGGCAAAACCCCATCTCTACTAAAAATACAAAAATTAGCAGGGCACAGTGGTGCACACCTGTAGACCCAGCTACTCAGGAGGCTGAGGCAGGAGAATCGCTTGAACCCAGGAGGCAGAGGTTGCAGTGGGCCGAGATCACACCATTGTACTCCAGCCTGGGCAACAGAGTGAAACTCTGTCTCGAAAAAAAAAAAAGAAAGAAGGAAATCAAAGATGGAAAGAATTTGGGGAAATTCACAAATATGTAGAAAATAAACAGCATTCCTAAATAACCAATAGGCCAAAGAAAATTTCACAAGGGAAATTAGATATGGTTTTGAGATGAATAAAAATAAAAGACACAACATACCAAAACTTAGAGAGATGCAGCTAAAACAGTACTTGGAGAAAAATTTTTAGTTGTAAAAACTTATATTAAAAAAAAAAAGGCTGGACATGGTGACTCACTCTTAGAATCCCAGGTGGGATGGCTTGTTGCTGGGAGTTCCTGACCAGCCTGGGCACCATTGTGAAACCTTCATCTCTATAAAATAAAATTTTTTTAATTAGCCAGGCATAGTGGCACACCTGCAGTCCCAGCCAACAGGGAGACTGAGGTGGGAGGAACACTTGAGCCTAAGAGTTCAAGGCTGAAATGAGCCATGATCACACCATTGCACTCCAGCCTGGGTGACACAGCAAGACTCTGTCTCTAAAAAATAAATAAATAAATAAAATAAGGCCGGGCGCAGAGGCTCACGCCTGTAATCCCAGCACTTTGGAAGGCCGAGGCGAGCAGATCATGAGGTCAGGAGACCGAGATCATCCTGGCTAACACAGTGAAACCCCATCTCTAGTAAAAATACAAAAAATTAGCCAAGCATGGTGGCATGCACCTGTAGTCCTAGCTACTCGAGAGGCTGAGGCAGGAGAATCGCTTGAACCCAGGAGGCAGAGGTTGCAGTAGCCAAGATTGCGCCATTGCACTCCAGCCTAGGTGACAGAGCAAGACTCCGTCTCAAAAATAAATAAATAAATAATAAAATAATAAAGAAGAAAGATCTCAAATCAATTACCCAGCCTTCCACCCTAAGGCACCAGACAAAGAAGATCAAACTAAGCTTAAAGACAGCAGAAGAAAGGAAGAAATTAAGATTAGAGGAGAAATTAATGAACTACAAAATAGAAAAAAAATCAACAAAATCAAAGCTCATTAAAAAAAAAAAGCTTTTAAAAGATCAACAAATTGACAAACCTTTAACTAGACTTACCAGGAAGAAAAGAGAGAGACTCAAATTACTAAATCAGGGATGAAAGAGGAGATATCACTATATCACTACCTGTGTTAGAGAAATAAAAAAGATTATATGCAAATACTATGAACTGCTATATGCCAACAAATTAGATAATGTCAATGAAATGGACAAATTCCTAATAAGGCATTGTTATGGAATGAATTGCATCTCCCCTAAAAAAGATATATTGAAGTCCTAACCCCTAGTACACCTCAGATTCTGACCTTACTTGGAAATAGGGTCTCAACTGAGGTAATCAAGTTAAAACTAGGTCATTTGGGTAGACCTAATCCAACATGACTGGTATATTCTTACAAAAAGGAGAAATATGAACACAGAGAAAGACACACACAGAAAGAAGATGAGGTGAAGACATTCAGGGAGAAGACAACAGTGTGAAGATGGAGGCAGAGATGGGAGTGATGCTACTGCAAGCCAAGGAACACCTGGGGCCACCAGAAGTTCAGGAAAGGCTGGGAAGGAGTGCCCAGCACCTGGGTTCTTCCAGCCTCCAGAACGGGTTTTAAGTCACCCAGATTATGGTACTTTGTTACAACCTAGGAAACTATTAAAGACATAAACTACTGAAATTGGTTCAAGAAGACATCAAAAATCTAAATAGGTCTATACTAAATAAAGAGACTGAATTCTTAATTTTAAAATTTCTCCCAAAGATAATCCCAGGTATAGAGGCTTCTCTGGCAAATTCTACCAAACACTGAAAGAAGAATTAACAGAAATCATTCACAAACTCTTCCAGAAAATAGAGCAAGCAGCACTTCCCCATCTTCCAACTCATTCTCTGAAGCCAGTATAATCTTGACAGCAAAACCAAAGACATCATAAGAAAAGAAATCTATAGGCCAATATTGCTTCTGAATATATACGTAAAAACCTTCGATACTAGCAAACTTAATCCAGCAACATATAAAAAGGATTATACACCATGACCAAGAAGGTTTTATCTCAGGAATGCAAGGGTGGTTCAACATAAGAACGTCAATTCATGTAATATATCACATTAATAAACGAAGGGGGGAACCACACGATCATCTCAATTGATGCAGAAAAAGCATTTGACAAAATCCAATGTCTTTTCATGATTAAAAAACACTCAATATATTAGGAATGGAATGGAATGGAATTTCCTCAACATGATAATGACCATATATGAAATGCCCAGAGTTAACATAACCAATGATGAAAGACAAAGCTATCCTTTAAGATCAGGAACAAAACAAGGATGCCAGGTTTCACCACTTCTATTCAACATAATTACTGGAAGTTCTAGCCAGAGCAATTAAGCAAGAAGTGAAATAAAAGGCATCCAAGTTAGATAGGAAGAAGTAAAACTATCTCTATCACAGATGACACGATTTTATACTTAGAAAATCTGAAAGAATCAACATACAGGCACACACAGAGAGAGACTGTTACAGGTAATAAACTAACTCAGCAAAGTTGCAGGATACAAAATTAACACAAAAAAATAAGTTGTATTTCTGTGCACTAGCAATGAATAATCCAAAAAGGAAACAAAGAAAACAATTCCAATTCCAATACAATCAAAAATAATAAAATTCTTAGTAATAAGTATAATTAAAAAGTACAAAACTTGTACTCCGAAAAGTATAAAACACTGTTGAAAGAATTTTTTTTTTTTTTTTTTTTTTTTGGAAACAGAGTCTCACTCTGTCACCCAAGCTGGAGTACAGTGGCACCATTTCGGCTCACTGGAACCTCTGCCTCCCAGGTTCAAGGGATTCTCATGCCTCACTCAGCCTCCTGAGTAGTTGGGATTACAGGCACCTGCCACCATGCCCAGCTAATTTTTTGTATTTTTAGTAGAGACGGGGTTTCACCACGTAGGCCAGGCTGGTCTCGAACTCCTGACCTCAGGTGATCCACCAGCCTCGGCCTCCCAAAGTGCTGGGATTACAGGCATGAACCACCATGCCAGGCCTGTTGAAAGAAATTTTAAAAGATCTACATAAATAGAAAGACATCCTATGTTAACACATTGGAACACTTAATTGTTAAGATGTCAGTACTACCTAAAGTGATATACAAACTCAATGCAATCCCTATCAAAATCGCAGCTGGCCCATTGCAGTAATTGATGAGCTGATCCTAAAGTTTCTATGGAAAAGCGAGGGACACAAAATAGCCAAAACAATCATGAAAAAGAACAAAGTTGGCCAGGCGAGGTGGCTCACGCTTGTAATCCCAGCACTTTGGGAGGCCATGGCGGGTGGATCACCTGAGGTCGGGAGTTGGAGACCAGCCTGACCAACATGGAGAAACCCCGTCTCTACTAAAAATACAAAATTACCCGGGCGTGGTGGCGCATGCCTGTAATCCCAGCTACTTGGGAAGCCTCAGGAGAGGCTTCCCAAGGCAGGAGGCAGGAGAATCGCTTGAACCCGGGAGGCGGAGGTTGCGGTGAGCCGAGATCGCGCCATTGCACTCCAGCCTGGGCAACAAGAATGAAACTCCGTCTCAAAAATAAAAAAAAAAAAAAAAGAACAAAGTTGTAGGACTCACACATCCCAATCTTACAACTTACAACATGGCAACAGTAATCAAGATAGCATGGTACTGGCATAAGGTTAGATAAATAGACCAGTGGAATAGAATTCAGAGTCCAGGAATACACCCTCACACTTATGATAAATTGATTTTCTACAAAGGTACCAAGACAATTCACCAGAGAAAGAATACTCTTTTCAACAAATGGTACTGCGACAACTGGATATACACTTGCCAAAGAATAAAGTCGGACCCTTCTCACCTCATACACGAAAATTAACTCAAAATGGATCACAGGCCGGGCGCCGTGGCTCACGCCTGTAATCCCAGCACTTTGGGAGGCCGTGGCAGGCAGATCACGAGGTCAGGAGATCGAGACCATCCTAGCTAACACACTGAAACCGCGTCTCTACTAAAAGTACAAAAAATTAGCCGGGCGAGGTAGCGGGCACCTGTAGTCCCAGCCACTGGGGAGGCTGAGGCAGGAGAATGGCGTGAACCCAGGAGGCGGAGCTTGCAGTGAGCGGAGATCATACCACTGCACTCCAGCCTGGGCAACAAGGCAAGACTCTGTCTCAAAAAAAAAAAAAAAAAGCATCAAAGACCTACATGTAGAGCTAAATTATAAAACTCTTAGATTACCCAGCTATTCGGGAGGCTGAGGCACAAGAATAGCTTGAACCTGGGAGGCCGAGGTTGCAGTGAGCTGAGATTGCGCCACTGCACTCCAGTCTGGGCAACAAAGCAAGCCTCTGTCTCAAAAAATAAATAAATAAAACTTTTAGAAAAATACAGGAGAAAATCTTTGTGCCCTTGTGTGAGAAAAAGCCTTCTTATACATGACACCAAAAACCCAAGAAACAAAAGAAAAATAGATAAATTAGACACGTCAAATTTTAAAACTTCTGTACTTCAAAGGATAGCATCAAGAGAGTGAAAAGACAACCCACTGAATGAAAGAAAATATATGCAAGTTGTATATCTGATAAAAGACTTGTACCCAGGTTACATAAAGAATTCTTACAACTCCATAATAAAGGGAAAAATAAAGCAATTAAAAATGGGCAAAGGATATGAATAGTCATTTCTACAAAAATATATATAAATGATCAATAAGCACATGAAAGACAATCAACATCATTAACCATCAGGGAAATGCAAATCAAACCACAATCACATACCACTCACACCCACCAGAATGGCTATCATCAAAAAGGCAGTCAGACGTGATAGCACACACTTGTAACCCCAGACATTTGGGAGGTTGAAGTGGGAGGATGGCTTGAGGAGTCCGGGGTTGCAGTGAGCTATGACTGCACCACTGCACTCCAGACTGGGCAACAGAATGAGACCCTCTCTCAGAAAAAAAAAAAAAAAGTGTCAGTGAGGACATGCAGAAATTGGAACCTTTATATACTACTGCTGATTGGAATGTAAAATGAAGCAGCCACGTTGGAAACTAGTCTAGCAGTTTCTCAAAATGTTAAACGTAGAGTTACCATATGACTACACAGTTCCACTCCTAAATTTATACCGCACATGTTCACACACAGATTTTTACATGAAGATTCATAACAGCATTATTCATAATAGCCAAAAGATGAAATAATGTCCATCAGCTGATGAATGGCTAGAATGTGGTATACCCATGTGATAGAATATTATTTGTACATAAAAGAGTGAAGTGCTAAAACATACCACTATATGAATGAACCTTAAAAACATTCTGCTGTGAGAGAAGCCAGTCACAAAATCTCACATATTATATGATGCCATTTACACTAAATGTGCAGAACAAGCAAATCTAGAGACAGAAAACATATTAGTGATTCCTTAAGGCTAAGGGGGTTGGAGGAAATAGGGAGTGACTGCTAATGGGTAGGGGGTTTATTTTTGTGGTGACAACAACGTTCCATAATTGAGTATAGTGATGGTTGCAAAATTCTAGGAATGTACTAAAAAATATTGATGTATACTTTAAATGGGTGAATTGTGTGGCATGTGAATTATATCTCAATAATGCTGGCTTTTTAAGGCATAATAAAAACTTTTTCAAACATACAAAAGGTGAAAGGAAATATCACCCACACACCCAAACTATAAGTAATGTTTAGGAAAGCCTATCAGAAGCCAATATGGACCTATGCAAAGGAATGGAGGAGATCAGAAATTTTAACTATGCAAGTAAATATATAGAATTTTTCTCAATGTCTAAATTCTGTAAAAAATAATAATCATGTATTGTGAGATTTATAACTTTGATTTAAATAAAATATATGACAGCAATGGCATAAAGTTCAGGAGGAGAGAAATGGAAGGTTCTTAGGCTATCCATGAATCAGTGTAATGTCACCTGAAGACAGATTGATGAATTAAAGATGTATACCATAAACCCTGAACCAACCACTGGAGTAACAAAACAAAAAAAAGAATTACACCCAATTAGCAAGGATGGAGGAGGAGGAGAAGGGCAAGAGGAAAAAGAAATGGAGTAATAATAATAAATACTAAGTCCAAAAGAAGGCAGAAAAGGAGAAAAGAGAGGAAAAGAATTGATGGTACAATGGTAGATTTAAATCTAACCATATCAATAATCAGATTGAAAGTAAATGGTCTAAGCACTTCAACTAAGAAGCAAAGATTGTCAAATAAGAACAAAAAGTAAGGTCCAACAGTAGGCTGCCAACAAGAATCCAACTTTAAATGAAAAGACTCAAATAGGTTCAAAATAAAAGAGTGGGAAAAGACACATCTTGCTACCACTAATCAAAAGAAAGATGGAGTGGCTATATTAATATCAGACAAAGTATGTTTTGGAGCAAAAAATATTACTAGAGATAAAGAGGGTCTTTTCAATACAATAAAGGGCTCAATTCATCAAGATGATGTAGCAATCCTAAATATGTATGCACCTAATAACAGCATCAAAACACACAAGGCAAAAACAGAACTACAAAAAGAAAATGACAAATCCACAATTTCACAATTATAATTGGAGAATTCTTTTTTTTTTCTTTTGAGACAAAGTCTCACTCTGTCACCGAGGCTGGAGTACAGTGGTGTGATCATGACTCACTGCAGCCTTCACTGCCTGGGCTTGAGCAATCCTCCCACCCCAGCCTCCTGAGTAGCTGGGACCACAGGCATGTGCCACCACACTCAGCTAATTTTTTTTTTGTTATTTGTAGAGACAAGATCTCATATTACCCAGGCTAGGCTCCAGTGATCCTCTCGCCTTGGCCTCCCAAAGTGCTGGAATTACAGGCATGAGCCACCGCACCCAGCAGATAATTGGAGAATACTCCTCTCTCAATAATTTACAGAACAAGTAGATAAAAATCAGGAAGCTATTAGAAAACGTGAACAGAGGAGGAACAGAGGTGTCCAGGGCACAGGCAGGAGCACAGTGGAGCTGGGTATACTGTGTGTGGAAGGGTGGGGTACACACCATTGTGGGTGTAAAGGAAAGAAGAAGTGACTTTGGAAAGGTAGACCCAGGGCAAGGTTGGAGCAGGATGTACAGGTCTTCAGAGTTTATTTAAAGTCTAATAGAAAGGCAGAAGTGGGTTTTCAGCCACAGTACTCTCCCACTTAACCCAAATAGGCCCTCTGAACCTTCACATCATGGAATCCTGGGCAAGCATCAGCCAGGACTGAAGCTGGCGTCCCTTCAAGAGAAGCCATACCATCTCTGCAGGAATGGAGGCCCGTGTCCTTCTGAAGCTTGACCGTGCCACCCTCCAGATGCCCCACTGGCACGGAGCCAGAAGACAGAGACCTCATCCTGTTTAGTTCCTGATTTGCTGTGTGACTCCAAGCAGGGCCCTTCACCTTTCTGGTCCTTTGTCTCCCCATCTGTAAAAAAGAGTGATTCTGATTCTGTGTGTTTCCATTGGTTAATAATTGTGCACCTACAAAATCTCTGTCAAGGTTAGCTTCCATCGGGCCCCAACTTCCTATTCCCACCACTGCTGACCCCAGCCTCCAGCTTGTCCCACCCATGAGCTGCTGCTCCACGACCCTCTGGCTGCTGGCAGCACCTGCCCCTCTTCCTCCACAATCAGACTGTCCCCCATTACCACAGCCTCCTTCCTGGACACCAGCAGCTCCCACTTCTGTGTATCCCAAGCTGCTGACCCCAGGTTCTCTTGTAGCACAGCTCTAGACCCTGAAGTGCTTTGAAGGAACCAAAAAGTAATAAGAGACTCAAAAGTGAAGCCATTCTTCTATAAGGCTGGTAGGGACCACCATTCATGAACCCACCCAGAAAGCCCTGAGGCTTGGGGGCTCTATCCCTAGTTCCTCTGGGCACTGTCATCTTTCAGGGCAGCCACCAGAGATAGGACAGACCCAGCAGAGTCAACTGCACAATAGGCTCACCCAGGCCACAGCCCAGGCCTATTGCATGGGAGCCTCTGGGGTGTGAAACCAATAATTCATGTTTGTTAAAACCTCCAAGTGATTCAGACATGGGGTCAAGGCTGAGACTGAGAGATGGAAAGCAATGTGTCTCCACTCAGATGTGCAGGCCATCACCTGAAGACCTCAAGCAATGTAGATTCCAGTCCAGCAGGCTTGGAGGCCAAAGCACTCATCTCTGCAAGCTCCAGGCAAGCCCCTTCTGCAGGTCCGAGGACCACACTCCAAGGAGTAAGGGCATGGGGGATGGAAGAGCAGCAAGCAGGAGCCAGAAGGCTCTAGGTGCTCACCTCGGCTCTGCCCCTGACCCTGACACTCACTCACTTGCCCCTCTGAGCCTCAATGTCCCCATTCAGAAACAGAACCAGTGGCACCTACCTGGCAGACCCTTGCCCCATTTCTCTTTCCCTTCAGCCAGGCTCTCCACCCCCCTCAGTACTGACCAGTGCTCCCTGAATGCCCTGTTCTAAGTGTGGCCCAACCCGCCAAGCCCTACAACAGCCAGACAGGGCAGGTACTTAAAGACTGAAACCCTGTGGCAGGGTGGGTCAGCTGCTTCCTCACTTAGACAAGGCAGGGGAGTCAAGGTTCAAAGCCAGGCCACCTGCCCACAGAGCTGTCTCCAGGTGGCATGTCACCATTGCCTCACACTGACACCCTCACTCCAATTCCCACCCTTGGTCTGCCAAGCAGGGCTGCATCCAAGGCTCACCTCCTTGCCCTGAGGGCTCCTGGCTGGAGTGGCCCCACTTAGCCCTGGTCCCCGATCCCCACCTTCCTTTCCTTCTCTCCCAGTGGGCACTTCCAAGCTCCATGTCAAGCCTGGGCTCTGCAACAGATTCTGGAGTACAGGTCGGCATTGATCCTGGGAAGGGCCTGAAAAACATCATGCCTCCTTCACCACCTCCCTCAGTTTAGAGATGGGACGATGGAGGCCCAAAAGAAAGCGACTTTCCCAAGGCCTCCCTCTGCCACCCTGCTCAACTGCACCTGCCTGCAGGTGAAAAGACAGCCCTGGCATAAGTGACCAAGGGGTGCAAGCCCCAGGGACCACGTGGAGTCACACGAGGACTAAGGCGGCCTGTGCACCTTCACCCTAAAGCTGCCCCTGCCTTGGACTCTGAAGGTTCGCCTAGCTGCTCTCCACATCCAGCTCCTGTCCTCACCCCTGGGTCTGGCGTCACTCCCTAACAGATTCTCTCAGCACCCTTGGGTGGGTCTCCTGAGCTCCGCCCACCATCCCAATGGGCACGAGCCAGGCTAGCCCCACCCTGTCCCTCCTGGCCAGTGCCCACACCTGCAGCCTGGTCCACCTGGACCCCTAGGTCTGAATCTGAACCCCTAGACCTGGACCACTTGGCCTGGTCCCCCCTCAGCCTACTCTGACTGTCACCTATCAGGCCACCGAGACCCAGCCCAGTTCTTCTTCCTCCTCTGCCTCCCCCTCCTTCCCCTTCTTCCTCTCTTCCTCCTTCCCCTGTCCTTCTTTACCCTCCTCCCCCTCCCCTGTTTCCTCTCCTCTCCTTCCTTCCTCCTCTTCTTGGAAGTCAGAATGAATCTGAACCACTGCCTTCTCCTCCCCAGCCCTTTCCTGGAGGTATTTGCCGCAGCCAGCCCAAGTCATGGCTGTTCCTACAGCCCACCTCCCTACACAGGGCCTGTGTCTGCCACATTTTCACATTAACTATGATGCTCTGAAACACAGCTCAGGGACAAGGTCCTGATAAGTATTCATTACCCTCAGGCAACTATTATTCTCCCTGAGCCCCTGATCTCCCTCACTGAGCCAGGCAAAGACAGCATCAATTCCCCACCACCCCCAGTGCCAGGGCATTGCCCAGCCCCTCCCCCACGGCTCTACAAATACCCACCCAGGTCGCACAGCTATCTAAAAAGAGAAGGAGGGGTCCCTGACAACATGCCCCTCCCTGAATCTCTGCATGCCCCAAATCTCTACATACTCCATAATCTTCACATGCCCCATCGCAAGGACCTGGCTCAGGCAGATTGTAAATGTGCCTTTGAGGACCACATGCCATCCTCAGGCAGGTGTTCTGGGATAACTCCTCTACCCACGGAGGTGCTATGAGGATGCCTGTGACAGCACCAGCCCTGGGCCTGCACAAGGCAGGCACCCTGAGAAACCAAGTGCCCTCCCCAGGGAGCTCATTTCTAGTGCACATGAGGCTTGAGGGGCTCCCAGCAAAACCTGACAACCCACCCAATGTTAGAACAATGGTGTAAAGACAGATTCCTGGCAACACCACAAAAGAGGGCCATTGCCAATCAAGCTACTGGCTGCATTAGTAAAGGTCGCAGGAACTGAATCAAAATAGAAATCCATTTTGGTTGGTTTCATTGGGAAACAAAGAACATGCCGGCCTGTGTTTCTTTTGTCTCAGGGACTTCCAGACGCCACTGAGAGATGATAAACAGCCAAACAGATGCATTTCCGCCAGAAAGGGCTTTTGTGGCTAGTCATTTGGAAATGAAACACAGGCGCTCTCCCCCTCCTTGACAGAAAGAGCATCGACGAGACTGGCAAGTGGCTGCCATGGGCCACGGTCAGTCGACCTTGGGAGGCTGTGGATTCTGGGCGGTTCTGCCCCTGGTCTCTGTGGTTGGGCAACTTCCTCTCTAACCTCCAGATTTCTGTTTCCTTATGAAGAATAGGTAAGAGCATGGAGGTCAGATAACCTCCAAGGAACCTCCAGTGCCAAAAATCTATGGGCCTCTTCTTGGCCAATCACCACCTTCAAGTCTTTTTTTTTTTTTTTTTTTTTTTTTTTTTTTTTTTTTTTTTGAGGCAGAGTCTCGCTTTGTCACCAGGCTGGAGTGCAATAGCATGATCTCGGCTCACTGCAATCTCCGCCTTCCAGGTTCAAGCGATTCCTCTGCCTCAGCCTCCTGAGTAGCTGAGACTACAGGTATGCACCACCACACCCGGCTAATATTTTGTATTTTTAGTAGAGACGGAGTTTCACCATGTTGGCCAGGATGGTCTCGATCTCCTGACCTCGAGATCTGCCCGCCTTGGCCTCCCAAAGTGCTGGGATTACAGGCGTGAGCCACCGCACCCGGCCGGCCACCTCCAAGTCTTTAATTCACCAGAGTTACTGCTATCCAACCATGGCCCTTGGGCCCACTTGATTCAGTAGAATCAATATGACCACAGGTAACATGGCAGCAGGACATCATTTAATGATAAAAACGATGGTACCATGTTCATACGCTTGCACACACAGGCACACACACTATGGTGCTCCATCTTTGGGTGCTGTGAGTGAGCCTCATGAGGCCCAGTGCAGTCACTGGTGGGTGCCTTCCCATACCTCCCCTTGTTTAAGCATGAACCCTTCCACCCCACAATCCCATGCCCAACACAAGGTGATAGGGACTAAACTGAATGGAATCAAACTGACGGTCTCAGCAGCCCTTTACAGATTGCTATTATTACATCTACATTGCAGCTCGGAAACTGAGGCCAGTGAGTGCTTTATAATCTTGGGATCATGATCAGGATTTTCACCCAGACCAGAAGAGTCCAGTCAAGAGCTGGGCACCACAGCAAAGTGTCCTGCTGAGTAGACAACTGCTGGACTTCGCATCCCCACAGCCCCACACAGCATCAAATGCTTTCTGGAAAAAGGTCTGGAATTCTCAAAGAAGCCCCAGAGGCCTGCACCCTCCCTGCTGGTCCTCCTGAGCTAGTCCTCAGTCAAGAGGAACCCACCCAGCTCCTTCCTTCCAGACACAGCAGCATCCAGGGCAGATGTGGGTTCCAGTCCCGGATACCTCTGACACATCGGCCTGGGACCATGAGCAAGTTTTACCTCTCCCTGAATCTCACTCTGGCCAGTCGAACACTGGGAGGGTCTGCTGAGAAGCTGGACCTGGTCCCTATTCTGGCCAGGGAGCGTGAACCCATGTCCCATTGGAGGGGGACAGTCAGGACCAACACAACAGGACAAAGAAGTGGCCCTCAGGAACTGGGTCCACGAGAGACAGGATTATTAAGGGGGGATTCTGTGCAGGCGGAAGCCTGTGGTCCTTCTCAATTTGATACTGGAGATGATCAGGAAAGCCTCAGCTTCTCCCAGAATGAATTGAGAGGACCTTCCTTCCACTATAGCGACCAAGATCTCCACCTAAGGGGCGCTCACTGGAAGTTTGCTGAAATCCCAAATCAGCATGCTCCTGATTTCAGAAGCTGCCATCCACCTTTGCACTTCAACACAAAATCCACCACATCCTAGGCTCCAGCCCTGGAACACCAAATGAAGCCACACAAGTTCTGCACACCAAGACCTCTTCAATGGAAGGAAAATGACCACTGAGTTTGGTCCACCCTTTTCCCACCTCCCGTACCAAATCCCAAATCATCAAAACAGGCCCAACTCTGCATCTTACAGCCAGGGAAACTGGGGACCACCAGGCCAGGGCCCTCCATCACCAATGTCCCCCCCAGAACTGGCCAGGCTCAGTCACCACTCAGTGGACCCCAGCCCTCAGCAAGCACTCTTCCCCAACAGCCTTTACACACATTCTCTCTCTCTCTCTCTCTCTTACTTTTTCTTGGATAATTTCTTTAGCAAGGTACTTCAAAACAAGCTTTTAGTTTAATCTATTTCCATTTTGTGAGCAATGGTTCTTCCTAGAGTCCTGATTTCTTGCCGAAGAAGGCATTAGGAGAGGATGGCTCAGAGAGTCGCCCCGCTTCCCCTCTCAGCCAGTTCCAGGACACACACAGGCGTCCACACACTGAGGGGCCCTGGGAGGACCAGCTACCCAGTCCGGAGTCCACCCGCCCACGCCCCTGTGAGTGGTGGGCAGGCACTCAATGCCAGGACAGAGAGCTCACTACCTTACAGACAGCCCACCCTGGGGGATAAGGGGTAAAGAGCCAGACCTGGTCCACCTCTTCTCGCCCACCCTGAGGCGACCCCAGAACCGGGGCGTGGGGGGACATCACAACTAGAAGGACCGGGGGCTGCCGGACCCTGCCGTCAGAAGACCCCGGAGGGGGCCCTGTGCCTCCCTTGCCCGCCAGAGTCCTTCGCCTTCAGCTTCTCCCGGGTGGAACCCTCCCGCAGAGCCTGGGAATCCCGCCAGGGTCACTGTGCGCCCCTCCCGAGCTCCGGGGCAAGGGAAGGACCGCGGCGCAGGTGCGGGAAGGCGCGGGTCCACCCGGGTCCGGTGAACCCCGAGGAGTGGGGGCGCCCCCGGTGCGGGCCGTCGCCCCCTTACCGCAGAGCAGCAGCAGCAACGGGAGAAGTTGCGGGCGCCGCAGCGCTCCAGTCTCCATGGCTGGCCGGCCGCAGCTGGGTCACGCTCGGTCCCGCTGGGGGCGCGGCTGGGGGACGCCCGGTTGGGGTTGGGGTGGGGCGGGGCCTCAGGGGGTCCGCCCTCAGGCCGCACCCCCAGACCACGCCTGCGGCCGTGCCCCGTTGCCTCCAGATGTGGGGTGCAGTCCCTGCAGGCGCGCCGGGTGGGAGGGATGGGGGCGGCTGGAGTCTCAGCGGGGTGAGAGGGGGGCGAGGGCAGGGTTTCGAGCTGGGGACAAGCTGGGGTAAGGTGGGGTGCCGGCTGATGGGCTCTGAGGGCGGGGCTGGGGTGCTGAGCTGCAAAGGAGCTTTTTGGGAGCAGATTGTAGGGGCAGACTGGGAGGTGAGCTGGGGTGAGCGTGGGGGCCGGCTGACGGTGGGCTGGGATGCAGGCTGGAGAGACTTGGGGAACTTCCGTCCAGGCTCAGGGGCAGAGGGTGGGGGTAGACCGGGGAGGGAGCTGAGGTGAGGATGAAGCGCTGGCTGATGATGGCCTAGAGGAGTCTGGGGGTAGACTGGAGGAAGGTGGACCTGGGAGTGGGCTAGGTGTGCCCTGGCCGAAAGTAGACCAGAGTCCAGAGCTGCCCCCAGGCAGGGAGGGGAACTTTGAGCAGAGATACATCTAGGAGCCAGGTCTCCAAAGGTCAGGAAAGTGCATAAAAGAGGTTGGGGGGTGTGTGTGTGTGCGTCTGTGTGTGTGCGTGTGTGTGTTGTTCATGGAGTACGTGTGTGTGATGTGCATGTGGGGTGTGTGTAGATGCATGTGTGTGCATGGAGTGTGTGATGTATGGTGTGTGTGTGGCATGTGTGTGTTTGAGTCTGAGACAAGGTGTGTTTGTGAGTGTATGCTTGGGAAACAGTGTGTATGAGAGAGACTGGAGGGTGTGGCAACTACACACACAGAGACGTATCACACACCAAGAACCAAGCCACAAGCAAACCAAGGGACAGGAGAGTATCTGGCACCACCAAAGACCTGGCCTTGAAGAGTGTCAGGGTCCCTGAGGCGAAGGAGGGCCTCAGTTTCTCCAGCCACAGGTCACTTGGCCAGATGGGTCACCTCTGTCACCCTCAGCCCCTAGCACAGGCCCTGGCTCCAGTGGACACTTAATGGTGTCTTAAGAATTGTCACTGGTCAGGACTTCCGAGAGCCAGCTAGAGGCACCTCTCTGCCCTCCAGGGCCCACCCACCACCCCTGGGGGCACATGCTGGTCTGAGGTTGGGGCACAGGCCCAGGCTCCTACATGGATGGGCCCTCCACTCCTCTGAGCCGTAGGTACTGCTACCTTCCCAGGAGCTGAGCTGAACTTCTCCTGGCTTAGAAAGACCCACTTTATTTAACAAGACCCTTATTCGGGAGAAGAACTTTCTGTGCTTTTTTACTGAAGAAATTCTGATTACAGCCAGAATTAATTCAAAGGAGTCAAAACTAATTAAAATTGATCATTTGTCCTGCCTTCTGCCTGAGGGGTGGGCAGCAGGTGTAGGGGTGGCCACAGAGCCTCTAGTGAGACTGATGGTGCCCACAGCCAGGCCTTCTGCCCACAGGCCAGGGGTCATAAAACAAGCTGACCAGGGCAGCAGGGGGCTGGCTTACACACACGCACACCCTACACCAGCCAAGACAAACCAAGAGGATGGTCCAGGCCCAGGTGTCCACCCACATCCCACACAGACTCGGCCCTACAGCTCTCTCCAGGAGAGTCTTAGTCTCCACTCGGTCCCACAGCCCCAAAGGCGGTTGCACATAGCTTGCAGGCTGGAACAGTAGGATGGGGTTGTCAGGTGGGAGGGGGGCAGCCAGTTCCCCCAAGCCTGCACCAGGGAGCAATGCTCCCTTTCCTGGACTCCCCACCCTGGCTCTGCAGTGGGGAAGCCCTGGCCATTCTACAGAGTTGGGTTCCAACACCTCTCCTCCATGGAACCAACCATGCCCCAACAAACTCCCAGGGAGTTGTGTCTACTGCCCCTAGGTCCCTCTAAGGCAGGGCCCTCACTTCTCCTCTCTGTGCCCAGTGGTGCCCATGGCCTCTGCAGGGCAGGTGGGTTTAACACAGGCTGTGAGGAGCTGAGCCATGGGAGAGAGGGACCTGCCCCTTCCACGGTGCATCCCCCCGACCCTGAGTGTGGAAAGGCTGCCGCCATAAATGAGATTGACCATGGGGTGTGCCCTGGACAGCACCTGTCTCCCTGCTTGTCCCTCGGTGGGTGCTGGCCCCGGCACCATTCCCTGTGTCTGCGATCCTGTGTGCACTGGGGTCCTCTCAGGAATCCCCTCTTAGCGTTCATAATTATTTATTTATTTTATTTATTTATTTATTTATTTATTTATATTTTTTTTAGAAGGAGTTTCATTGTTATTGCCCAGGCTGGAGTGCAATGGCATGATCTTGGCTCACTGCAACCTCTGCCTCCGGGGCTCAAGAAATTATCTTGCCTCAGCCTCCCGAGTAGCTGGGATTACAGGCTTGTGCTACCATGCCCGGCTAATTTTTGTATTTTTAGTAGAGACGGGGTTTCTCCATGTTGGTCAGGCTGGTCGCGAACTCCCGACCTCAGGTGATCCTCCTGCCTCGACCTCCCACAGTGCTGGGATTACAGGCGTGAGCCACCGCGCCCGGCCGGTTCATAATTCTTTACACCAAACTTCCCCATTCAGGTTGCGGTGTAGTCTCTCTCCTGATCAAGCCCTGATTCACCATTATCATGATATTTATTCTGTGATTCCTCTTATTCTTAAATAGTTGTAAGAGAACATTTTCTTGACACTCAAGTGGCCTCTTCTAAGAGGAAGAAATAACATCCTGGTGTTTCTACCAGATCAGGGGAACACATGGCCGCTGGGCCTTCACTCTCCCTGGAAGTAATGCTTCTGCCCGGAGTCCACGTGTCCAGGCAAGGGCCTGAGCACAGAACCTGGTGAGGTTTGGGATCTGGTTCTGCTTGCTCTGGGGCTAGACTTCAGGAGGGTGGGGGTTGAGAAGGAGCCAAGGGAAGCCATTCCCGGGCACCTGGCTCCCCCTGCTGGACAGACACTGAAATAACGGTATCATTGTCGATGAGACTACGCCTCTGTCCCTGAGGCAGCAGCAACGCCTCGGTGACCCCTCTCCAGGGACACAGAGGACCGGTCTTCAAAGAAGGGTGATGAAGGAGATTCCAGGAAGGGGTGCCTCTGACCCTCAGCTGTTTTCCACCTTCCCACGGATCAAGACACAGCCTTCCATCTCCTGTTGCGTTTGTTTGCTCATTTGTTTAATTGCAATAAAAAATACTTAACGTCAAATCAAGCATTTTAGGATGGGTGTGGTGACTTATGCCTGTAATCCCAGCACTTTGAGATGCCGAGGTGGGCTAACTGCTTGAGCTTAGGAGTTCTAGACCAGCCTGGGCAACATGGTGAAACCCCGCCTCTACAAAAAAAATACAAAAATTAGCCGTGTGTGGTGAGGTGCGCCTGTAGTCTCAGATACTGTGGAGGCTGAGATGAATTTCCTTTTTTTTTTTTTTGAGACATAGTTTTGCTCTTGTCACTCAGGAGTGCAATGGTGCCATCCCGGCTCACTGCAACCTCCACCTCCTGGATTCAAGCGATTCTCCTGCCTCAGCCTCACAAGTAGCTGGGATTACAGGCCCTCCCACCACGCCCAGCTAAATTTTGTATTTTTGGTAGAGATGGGGTTTCACCATGTTTGCCAGGCTGGTCTCGAACTCCTGACCTCAGGTGATGCGCCCACCTCAGCCTCCCGAAGTGCTGGGATTATAGGTGTGAAGCACTGCGCCCGGCCTCCTTCCTTCTTAAGGCTGAATAATATTCTGTTGTGTGGATAGACCACATTTCATTTACCCATTCATCTGCCATTCATTTCCTTTTTTAAGTCAATGAAGCAAGTTTACTTTCATTTTATTTTATTTTTGAAAAACCTATCAGAAAATGTCTTGAGGAAAATACATTAAAATGTTATCTGTGGTCATTTCTGGCTCTGGAAAGATTTAAAGTGGTGTTTAATTTACATTACCTTCTGCTGGTCTCTGCTTTCTCATTTTCCTACAGTGCATTTTGTGGCATGTGGTGGGTTTTATATAATGCATGTGTTGTGAGAGTTTATGTGTGTGCACTGATGAGTATATGTACCTGTGTGGGTGTGTTGTGCAGCTCACGAATGTGTGGCATGTGTGTATGGGATGTGTGTGTACCTGCTGTGAGGTGATGGTGTGTGTGTGTGGTGTATGAATGGGTGTTCATGTGTGTTGTGTGTGGAGCATATATGAATCTATGTGTCTCATGATTGTGACTGTGGTGTGGGGCATAAGTGTATGCACACGTGAGGAATGTGTGAGTGTGTTCAGGCAGAACATTGTTGGCCCCTGCTGGACAAAATACGCACAGTCATTTCCTGGAGCACAACCTCCCCTCTCCCACCACATCATCTGACCCTAAGCATGCTGACCCCATCCCCCTCTGCCCTGCTCCCACCAGGCGACATAAGCAAAGACTCAGAGCTGGTGCCAGGGCAAGTTTGGGGCCCTGAGCATACCTCTTGGCTTCTTTGAACCTTGGTGAGCTCAAAGTTAACTGCAACAGTTTAAAACACCTGTTATGATTATTTGGGGTGTGAGTTATGAGTTTTATTGCCTGCACTTGACAATAAAAACAATGTCATTTAGGAGCAGGGTTCCTGCGTTGCTAAGAAGGAAAAGTACTTTGGAGACTGGAGAGCACAGTACATGTTAAGGGTCATTCTCTTAAGAACGTGTTTGCCGTCTCCTCCGAGGGAGTACAGCACAGTGACAGAGGGAGGGAGGCAGGAAGCCCCTTCCCACGTGACATGGTGAAGCAAGAAACCATGAAGCCCCAAGGTGCCAGCTCTGTGCCCAGGATCACTGTCTCAGGGTGAGGCCTAAGGAAGCACTTACCCCAGAGAGCTCAGTACCATGTGCTCCCTGTTGGTTTGGAAAGCTCAGGGCCACACACTCCATTGGTTTGGTTGTGTGTCATGAATCCCTGAGGAAAAGATGAAGCTCTGGATTTCAGTAGAAGAGAGAAAGGGAAAGATCAGTATGGTTCATAGAATAACGGCCCCCAAAGATGTGCGTACCTAATCTCCAGAACCTTTGTCACCTTACTTGGTCAAAGGGTCTTTGTGGATGTATTAGTTAATTTCATGTGTCAACTTGGCTGGGCCACGGTGCCCACATACGTGCTCAGACACTATGCTGGGTGTGCTGTGAGGGTATTTTGGATGAGATTAACACTTAAATCGGTGGCCTCTGAGCAAAGCAGATTGCCCTCTTTAATGTGGGTGGGCCTCATCCAGTCAGGTAAAGACGCGAAGGTAATGAAAAGACTGACCTCCCCCAAGGAAGGAGTCCCCCCACAGATGGGCACTGGACTTAAGCGTGGGCTCTCCCCTGTGTCCCCAGCCTTCCAGCCAGCCCTGCAGATTTTGGACTTGCCAGCCTGCATAACCCCATGAGCCAATTCCTTAAAATAAATCTCTTTCTGTATATCCACACATCCTGTTGGCTCTGTTTTAGAGAACCCTGACTGATATGAACACAGAGGTGATGAAGCTCACAGACCTTGAGGCAAAGAGATGATCCTGGATTATCTGGTGGGGGGTGGGGGGAGGCCAATTTAATCACATGAGCCCTTCAAATCAGAGAACCTTTCCTGGCTGGATCAGAGAGTTGAGACTGGGGAAGAGAAGTGAGATGTCACAGGTTTCGACCTCCGATGGCTGGCTTTGAAGATGGAGGAAGGAGTCACCAGTCAAAAAATGGGGTGGCCTCTAGAGCTGGGAACAGCCCCCACTGACGGCCAGCAAGGAAGCAGGGGCCCAGGGCCTACAGCCACAAAGAATTCCTCTCCGCCAACTGCCTGAAAAAGCAAGAACACAGACTGCCCTGGAGCCCCCAGGAAGGAGCACAGCCTGCCAAAACCTTGACTTTAGCCCGGGAGACCCACGTCAGAACTGTAGGATAATACACTCGTGTAGCTTAAGGTGCTAAGTTTGTGATAAAATGTTGTGGCAGCCCTAGAAAACTGTACCACCTAATATAACCTAAAACTCATACAACTAACACACTTCACGTCTTACTTGGGCCTCCCCCAGAGCAACCCCTGACACCGGGAATGGAGGTGGGAAAAGCACACAGGAAAATCCCGCAGTGTGGGAGGTACACCCAGCCCTGGCAGCCCTACTCACATCACACACGGCTCCACCCAGAAGCCGCCCTCCTGCTGGAGTACAGGGTCACCCTGTTGAAAAGCCAGCTTGGAGATGAAGCCCTGTGAGAGTGAGGTCCCATCCTCCACAATGCAGTGTACATTTGCCATGTTGCTGTGCAGACTCCACAGGGATGGATATCAAAGAAGAAGCAGGAGGCCCCACGCCATCACTCCAGTGGCCCACATGGGGAAGTCATGTTGCCCATGCCCATAACTCTGACTCTGCAGGTTGGACGTCCTGATCCTACCAGGGGGAGAACAGAGTGACCACTCTGATAGGAGGAGCTGACCCTGATCATTGGGGAAGGAAGGGCTGCGGCTTCACACCGGGGCCAAAAAGGAAGATGGAAAACCCAGGCAGTCAGTCCACTTAGGGGTCTCCGGGCCCTTCCTGGCAGTGCTTTGACAGTAAATGTGCAAGAGCTGCAGCTATGGCCTGGGAGGGGCTGGTGAGACCAGGGAGAGACTGTCCAACATGCTAGCCAAGAGTCAAGGGAACCCAGGAGGGAGAGTAGAGGGCAATGATATGAGAGCAGTGGCGAGAGCTGTAGATGACCCCACGATCTTCCTCTTCTGAGCTTCCCCAGGGAAGAGGACAATAGAATCCTCTCCCTGGGTCCTGCATGCCCCACTACAAAGGACACATTCTGAAACCATCAACTCCCTTAGAACAACCCGAAACCCCTCTTGTGCTGCACTGCATCCTTGAAATTAGGCCTCACTGGTCTTAATGTGTGACTACTTCAGATACTCAGTTTACCGTCCAGCCTCAAACCTGATTAAAGCGGGATGATAACGGCATCATCTAGCGAATGACGGATCGGATTAGAATGTATCTTAAAAGAGGAGATGGATACTCAATAATGGAAAAAGAGTTTAAATTATTGCCTGAGTCACTTCATGTTGAATTCCAAACCTCAAAACCCATCCCCAGGACTCAGGACTTTAGTGTGTAATACCAAGGAAATGGAGGCTCAGAGAGAAGGCTTTGCCCCAGGGAACCCGGCTGGACTGTCCTCAAGTCCGTCCTCCGCTCATGTGCGCTATTATTTATTCTCATTGGTCACCCTTTATTCATGCCTGGGTCCTGGATGACAATCGCCCACCCACCAGGTCCCTCTCCAATGAACGCTCGACTGTGTGCTTTCTCCACAAACAGCTTGGTTCCCACAAAGCCACACGGAAGCCACAGGGG
This sequence comes from Homo sapiens, assembly GCF_000001405.40. Lineage (NCBI taxonomy): Eukaryota > Metazoa > Chordata > Mammalia > Primates > Hominidae > Homo > Homo sapiens. Next base: position 45,150,381 of record NC_000007.14, on the reverse strand, counting down.
ACGGGAAGGCAGTGCAACAATGGATGGTGCTGGCCGTTGTCAGCCGACAATCAGGCTCTGTGATTTTCAAATTTCAAAAGGTCTATGGAGCCCAGACTTAAGGTGAAAAACCTTCAAAGCCAAGAGAGAGGAGAATCCCTCTGGTTGCAAAAGAGTCACACAACAAAAACCCCAAGTCACCTTTTTCTAGGTGGAAACCCCTTTTTCATTTTTTAGTAATTCTGCTCAAAGAGATTCTGTCAGCCTAAAACTACTGCCAGTGACTTCTCCTGCTACCACTCTCCACTCAACACCATCTTTCTCCACACCCCACTGTTACAGAGGAGGACGAGGTGAGGTCCTCTCTGTTAGCTGGCAAGAAGGATGGAGAGAAAGTTTCTGTCCATGCTGGGCACTCATGTCTGCCCCCTGGATCGGTGCCACACTTGATCTTCCACCCACACTAACCTTCAGACACATCACAGATCCTCTACCTTCGCTTTTCTGGCCAATAGGAAGCACCAGTGGCAGATGGAAGGGCTCGATGCAGCCCTGCCAGTGGCTTCTAGACCCAGCCCCTTTCCCCTGCTCCCTCAGGCCTGGGGCTGCAGCTGGATGGCTCCCTTTCTGGTTGGCAGATGTTAGGTGTGCTTCCCCATACAGCGCTGGCTCCTTGGACACCACAGTACACAGACATTCCCTGCTTCAATCTGCTCTTTGGAGAGTATGTCCCATCTCCAGCTAGCACGCTGACTGACCTACCATCTGAACTCCACATTTGTGATAATAGACCTGATCCTTCAATAAAAAGTAAAGTCATGGCTGGGAGCAGTGGCTCACACCTGTAATCCCAGTACTTTGGGAGGCTGAGGTGGGAGGATCACTTGAGCCCAGGAGTTCAAGACCAACCTGGGCAATAAAGCAAGACTCTGTCTCTACAAAAAAAAAAATTTTAAATCAGCCAGGCATGGTGGCATGAGCTTGTGGTCCCAGCTACTCAGGAGACTAAGGCTGCAGTTAGCCGTGTTCGCACCACTGAGCTCCAGCCTGGGTGAAACAGTGAGACCCTGTCTCAAATAAATAAATCAGTTAGAGACCAGCCTAGGCCACATGGCAAAACCCTATCTCTAAAAAAAAAAAAAAAAAAAAATTAGCCAGGCATGGTGGCAAGCACCTGTAGTCTAGCTACTTGGGAGTCTGGGATGGAAGAATCACTTGAGCCTAGGAGGTCAAGGCTGTGTTGAGCCGTGATCGCGCCACTGCACTCCAGCCTGGGTGACACAGTGATACCCTGTCTAAATAAATAAATTTTTTTAAATAATGTAATTTTCTGATTAATTGCCTGATTTGCTTTACTTGAAGTCCCTCAGGTAGTAGTTGGGGAGCCCCTCTTGCACTCCAGTGCTGACTTCATATTGCACTCCTTTTCCCCTTCACCGGGGAAATGAAAAGACTGAGAGGAATGAATGATGTTCAAGTTTACTGCATGCCTTCCTGTGGAATGCATGCTACCTGGGGCAGGGTCCACATCTGTCTTGTTTATGATTGTAATACAGCGCCCAGAACAATGCTTAGTACAACGTGTGCGCCTGACGCATACTTGTGTAATGAGCGAATGAACAAATGCCCTCTGCAAGTTGTGCACGTGCATCAGGAGTGTGACATCACATGGCACTTTGAGAAGCAGTGCGGAGGATCCACCGGAAGCACAAGGACACATGCCTCCGCAGGGAAAGAGATGGGGAGATGGTGAGCCGGTGAGTTTGGGGAATAGCAGGCCCATGCCGAAGTCTCCGCTGGTCTGCCTAGGTCCTGGATGGTGGACGGGGCCGGCTGCAGACAAGGAGCAGTAGTGGAGGGAAGGAGCCAGGCCTGACGGGCGTTGCTGTGAGGCTGACCTGAGCTCAGAGAGAGGCGGGCTGCCGGGCTGGACCTGTGCAGAAACCCTGCAAAAGCACGGGGCTCGGCAGGCTCGACATTCAAAGGCCAGGACAGGAGGAGAAGCCAGCCAGGCTAAGGGGCGAGCTCTGCGGTGTCTGACCTACAGGAACGCCGCTCTTCTCATGCATGAGTGCGGTTGCCGCCGAGGAGCCGAGTACGGGCTGAGCCTGGCCCGCTTCTCTGCACAGCTCAGAGCCTGGAGGAGGTGAGCCGCGTGTGTCCTCCATCCAGGATGCCCATGTACCCTCTCTGAGCTCTCAGCGGCTCATTTCTGCCTTCTGCTGGAATTAACCGGCTCCTCATTTCGCTCTGAGACCCTCCTCCTCCGGGTCAGCTCCCCCAGCTCAGTCTCCTCCTGGCTCAACTTCACCTGTCAAGATGGAGCTGCAGGGTCACCTCCTCCGAGGAGCCTTCCTTGACTCTTTTCTCACATCTGATCTCTGGGCTGGGTGCCCTCCTGCGCTCGCCCGCAATCCCCAGCTCAGGAACTGGGTTTCACCATCAAATGCCTGGGACAGAACTAAATGAACTTTCCCTCACCCAAACACTCTGTACCTTTTTGCAGTTTTGCATTTTTTATACTTATGTGTGTCTTCATTTTCTTGTTTTAAACATTGATATACTGTAGAGTGTTTGTCACTTTTTTTACATATTTATTATAAAAATATTTAATATATATTTTATTAATTTCAATTACAATATCTTTTTGATATTTTATTTAAAATTATTTTATTACAAAATGTTTTATTACAAAATAATTTTTTAGTTACGAAAGTGCTAAATGTTAACGCCTCAGTCCCACTTGTCCAGAGATATCAGTTAAGTTTCTTTTGTGTCTTTTCTGAAGTTTTAACAATATTTCTATTGCAAAATTTATTTTTATTACATAATTTTTTAAGTTTTCAGGGCATCCCCACACACAGGTAGGGCATACATGTATACACACATCTGCACATGCATCTTCTGGACACATGACATTCCCCACCTGCCTAGGAGCTTCCTGGGACCACTGCCCAGTGTGCAAACCAATCACCTCCAACCCCCCAGCTGAGTGTAAGCTAGTCACATGGTGTCTCCACCCCTTCTGCATGGTCAGATGGACATAATACCCAAGCTCCTGCTCAAAGTCTCCTTGCTGGGAATCTGAAATTGGGCTGAGACTTCAGTTCAGCCTGGGACCATTTCCCGAAACTCAGGAGGAGAGAACCCTGGCACTGCCGAGAGATGCAGCCAGAGAGGAGAGGCAGAGAGAACTCCAGTGCCCATGTACTCCCGTGCTCCAGTCCTTCTTCAGATCCAGCTGTGGGGCCAGCCCTCATCCGAGGCATGCACCGTTTCTCGTTGGGCTTTAGGCAAAGTCTGCTTTAGGACAGCCTAGGGGGTATTCGGGGGCAGCAACAGGGTGTGCTATTCCGTGCCTAAGGCCCAACTCTTGCTCATGTCTGGTCTCAGAAGCCAGTGACTCTGTGACCGCTGCCCCCTGGCCTATTGCCCAGTAGGTGGCCCACTTGCCCTCCCTTCCACAGTCATCTCTAAGTCACACCTGGGGTTCCCAGAGCATTTAGTGCTTCTAGCCTTGTCTACCTCTCTTGCCCTTTGACCTTGCTGCCACCTCCACCCCAGCTGGCCCCAGGACAATCGTGGCCTGAGATGGAGAGGCCTGAGACACTCAGTGTAGCCCAGTGGAGCTCAGCCTGAGCCTGTCAACTCCCGTCCACCCCCTGCAGGGACTCCTTACTTGGGGATACAGCCCACCTTGCTCAGCGGTTTCCTCCCGAGCCCAGGCCCACGGCCCTGCTCCCGGCCTGCCTTCGTTCATACTGCTCACAGCACCTGGCTCCGCTGGCTGTAAAAGCCCTTTTGCCCCATGTTGGGTACACTGCCTGATGTCCGCCAGCCCCCCAGCCTTATGCTTACGGGACAGACAATGCTGAAGAGGACACCTCAACTACAAGTTCCAGCCCTGGGTGAGCCTGGCTCCTTTCCTAGAGGTTCCTAGGCTAGCCCCATCCTAATGCTGTTCAAAAGGGCCCCTCAGAGACTATGTCTGGGCAGCCCTCAGAGCCTTCCTGACTGTGTCTTAAACCTTCCTCTCCAACCACAGGGGCCCAGCCTACAGCCTCTACACCCCCCACCCCTCCCATTTGGCTTTCTGTCTGGGGCTCCCACACTCATTAGCCATAGTCCCCAGGTCTGCATCAGGTTGTCCCAAGCCTTCCAGAAGAACAGAGGCTGAGAGGACACTTCTGTAGGGTCCCTACAGCCACGGAGGAGGAAACCAAATCCAAGGGCCCCGGGTGCAGAGGCACAGCTGAGGAGCCCCAAGCCCCAGACCAGTGCTGGAGCGATCCCCAGCACAGCAGCCTCTCCCACTATCCCAAAGACGGTGCCCCCCCGCCATCAGCATTCCCTGGCAAACTTTTCCCATCCTCTGGTTTTCGGTGGGTGGCCACAAATGCCAAAGTAGCTCCCATCACCTTGGAGCACAGAGCTTTTTTTTTTTTTTTTGACACAGGGTCTCATGCTGTCACCCAGGCTGCAGTGCAGTGGCGCCATCATTGCTCACTGCAGCCTCAACCTCCCAGGCTCAACCCATCCTCTTGCCTCAGCCTCCTGAGTAGCTGGGACTAAGGGCACATGCCACCATGCCCACCTAATTTGTTTTTTCTAAAGATGGGGTCTCACTATGTTGCCCAGATTGGAAAAGATTTTCTTGAGAATGTGGCTGACGAGCCCCGCCTACCCATGCGGCCCTTGCCGCCCTTACCCGGCAGAACTGGGGGGCCCAGGACATTCCTGATCTGATTCTCCAAGATAAGGCAGCCCTCCTTGCATCAAATCATGTATTCTGGACTCTCTAGAATCAAAAATAAAAGTCTCAGCAATACTTATGCCTGCCTTATGGGTCTCTCCATTTCATTATTAAAATGGCTTCTCCCCACGCCTGCAGCAGCCCAGCAGTCCTGCTGCGTGGGCAGCCTTGTAGGAGGGCTCAGCATCGCCCCACAGCTGATCCCCTCCTAGGTATGGGGTTAAGTGTTCACCTCTTGGCTTCATCACCTCCCAACTATGTCACATGGAGAAAATTACTTGGCCTTTCTAAGCCCCAGTTTCCTGGTCTGTAAAATGAGGGTAATGTCTGGTCTGGAAGGATTTTGTGGAGATAGCTAAGATAATGATGAAGTCTAAGGCCCTGAGCACAAAGCTCAGCCCGAAGCTCAACGAAGGACAGCTGCCTGCTATCAACCGAGACCTCCCAGTCCCCCAGAGCATCAGCTGCATTCCTGTCCCTATCACTTTCTGTGGATGGCCCCGTGGCCTCCTGTACTGGGTAAAAGTTGATGTGCTCTCTGCTCCCCCGTTTCATCTTTACACGCCTCATCTTCACCCTCCCTCCACTCCAGGGATGGTATATGGGGTTCTGTTTCCAAAGCCAATTCTGCCACGTTTGCCTTACAAACCAACTCTTGGAGCATCTACCCTCCAACCATCTTTCCCGCTACTCGCCACCTTTCATCTTAACCTTTCCCTCTAGTCTTGATATTTCCTGAAAAGGCGCCACTGAAAGCTCCAAAGTACGCTCCTGGTTCCCAACCCCTGTGAACACTGCCAGACCTCATTTTCTCCAACTTTGGCAGCATTTGGCACTTGCGGCCCCCTTACCTCCCCTCCCCCATCTCCCTACTCCCTCCACCCCACCCCCCATACTTTCTCCTTCCTGGTATTCTTCAGTCACTCCTCTCAGTGTCTTTCTCTCCCTCCCTTGCCCTAAGAACACAGGCTTTCTCCAAGACTGGCCCTTGGCAGTCTCTCTCTTCCCTCAGCACCTCTTGGCAATATAATCCATGACCATTAAGACCATGCATTCTGCACCCTGTGCAGACAAATCTGAAATGACCCTGACCTCTCTGCCCCCAGTCTGTCCTCTACCTGTGCCTCAAACTCAACAAGCAGAAAAGCAAACAAGGGACAGCTCCCTGAACCCCACCCTCCAGATACCCTCATCTGAGGACTGAATCACTCTGCCAGATCCTTCCCACATTCAACACACCACTGTGATCCAATTTACACTAGACACACACTAGACACACCACCCCAGCAATAGGATGGGCACACACACACTCTCCCTCACACAAGGCTGGGGCATGGATTCAAGGCAAGATCCCTTTGGAATGGTTCATTCTCGCTGACCTCCTGGTCTCGGAATAGAATCAAGTCCTTGATGCCTTATAGCCACTCATCGCTCTTTCCCCTAATCCTGCTCACAAGAGCCCAGGTTCCTGTTTAATTAAGTCAAAAACAGGACAAAAAGCTGAGAAGAATGGTGAGTCTACAACTTGGAAGATGCTCACCCTGGCTCTCAGGATAGTTACAGTCATAGTCATGGCAGATGCAAAGGCAGGGGAAATATAGTAACATAAAATACAGAGCCAGGGAGAGTGTGAGCAGGAGATGGGGCAAAACTGCATATAGTATTCCTCAGCCGTATGAGAGCGGCAATCCTGTCTTACCCATCTTCAAGCCTCTGATGCCCAGTAGAGAGCCTCGCACATAGTAGAGACTCAGATTTTTGTGGGATGAATGAATCCCTGAGTCCTCTGCTTATTCCTTTATCTTTCTCAATAGGTTACACCTCTAATGAGTCAAAGTAAATGCTGTGGCTGTGAATGGGCTTTCTGACTAAGAGCTCAAGGACACTAGCCTAACGGGGTAGCCTCTCAGTGCTGACTGTGCTTACCCAAAGCCAGACTTGATATCCTGAACTGAAAAAGGGGGAGGCCTTCATCAGAGATCTGGAGGACTTGGTGAATACCAAAGATGGTCCCTGTCAGGGAGGTGAGCATTTGGCACAAGAAGTGTTGAGGAGAAATGCAAGAGACATGGGCCATGAAACTGAAGATGTTCCTTCCAGATTTTCTTGGATGCCAGGATTTTGCTTTGGGAATCTTTTAAAATAATAATAATAATAGTAATATGAAGTAGGCCAGGTGCGGTGGCTCACACCTGTAATCCTAGCATATTGGGAGGCCGAGGAGGGCAGATCACCTGAGGTCAGGAGTTTGAGACCAGCCTGGCCAATATGGAGAAACCCCATCTCTACTAAAAATACAAAAATTAGCCAGGCGTGGTGTCAGGTGCCTGTAATCCCAGCTACTCAGGAGGCTGAGGCATGAGAATCGCTTGAACCCAGGAGGTGGAGTTTGCAGTGAGCCAAGATCACGCCACTGTACTCCACCCTGGGTAACAGAGCAAGATTCTGTCTAAAAAAAAAAAAAAAAAAAAAAAAAAGATGAAGTATGCCAGAAGCTCTTAGTTCATAGGCACTTAATAACTTCATTTTTGTCTGTCCCCATATTACAGGGAGAAAGAAGTAAATAAAGGGCTATTTGTCCAGGGCCAAATGGCTGACCTGGGACTCTCCTCCTTTCTGGATGTCAGAGCAGAGCTGTCCTGAACCCTCATGATAGCAAAAGATCTGAAACTGGTGTTGGTAGTTGGGGAAAGGCAGGCTTCTGGAGAGGTGGGGGGCACAGGCTCCTGTGCAGTTCGCAGACTTGGAAGGCACCTTCCGGGTTTTTGTGTTTGCATTTTCTGCACTTTACAGAAGTGGTACATGTCGTTTTGGGGGAAGAAATAAAAAATGAAGTGAAACAAAAGGAAATAAAAATCATCTGTGGCATATTGACTTTAGAAAAAAAAATCATAATACCTTCCAGCCTACTTTTTACGTTTTTTAGTTAGATTCATGTGAAATCATAACCCTCCAGGCTCCCCTGCTGCTGCTCTGAGAACATGCACTGGGCACCTGGAATGCCAGGTGTGAATGTGCTCTTTGGCTTCCCTGGCTTTCTCGTGTCCTGAGTATGACCATTCTGCCAGTACTGTGTCTGCCGTGATTGGAAATCCTTTATCTGTCTTCATTAGATTTTACAACAGGGAAGATACTGATGTTTTTTCTTAGTTTGTTATGACCATTTTACTATTTGGTAATAATAAAACCTTCTATAAAGTTAAAGGAGTACATGGTGGTAGCAGTAAAGAAGACAGAAATATATCAATTTAAACCTTGTGCAACACAGTAATACATAAAGTGAAAATTATTTTCTCCTCCCCTTTTCAGCCCTACTGTAAAAAGAAGGCTTCTGATGGCTGAATAGTATTCCTTTGTGTGGATATCACAATGGACATCACCAACTTTCTAGTGTTAGATTTTCTGTACAACAAATAACAATGTGATTTCATGGTAAAATCTTTGCACAGGCCTATGTGTTACATTCCTGGAATAAAATGGCTGCAGAGTGCAAAGGCAGCCACACACACAGCTTCAGGAAGTTCTTTCCTGGAAGCCACTCTGGGGTGAGGCCCATAGTTCCCACACTCCCGCCACCTGTTGCAAATCTGAGACCCAGAGAGGGGACGGTGGTTAAGCTAGCATGGGGTCCAGTGATCCCATTACTGGGTATATACCCAAAGGATTATAAATCATGCTACTATAAAGACACATGCACATGTGTGTTTATTGTGGCACTATTCACAATAGCAAAGACTTGGAACCAACCCAAATGTCCATCAATGATAGACTGGATTAAGAAAATGTGGCACATATACACCATGGAATACTATGCAGCCATAAAAAAGGATGAGTTCACATCCTTTGTAGGGACATGGATGAAGCTGGAAACCATCATTCTGAACAAACTGTCGCAAGGACAGAAAACCAAACACCACATGTTCTCACTCATGGGTGGGAATTGAACAATTAGAACACTTGGACACAGGGTGGGGTACACCGCACACCGGTGCCTGTCGTGAGGTGGGGGGAGGGGGGAGGAATCGCATTAAGAGAAATACCTAATGTAAATGATGAGTTAATGGGTGCAGCACACCAACATGGCACATGTATACATATGTAACAAACCTGCACGTTGTGCACATGTACCCTAGAACTTAAAGTATAATAATTTAAAAAAAAAGAAACACACACACACACAAAAGAGCTAGCGTGGGGTCCAGTTTGTTGACTCAGTCAATTGTTGGCTCTTTTCATCCCATAGCACTGCCTTTCCCAAACTTACCTTGGATCATCTCTTCCAATGACCCAAGTAGCACCTAAAATGGCTAAAGAGTCACCTGTGTAGAAATCAGGACAGACATAGGACCTGGAGAATGGCCATACTCTGGGTGAAACAGAAGATAGGTGGAACAAGAAAGCCCGGGAGGCCAGAGGAGTATGTTCACACCTGAGATTCCATGTGTCAGAGGAGGGGCCTGGTAGAAGGTGATTGGGTTACGGGGGCAGATTTCTCCCTTGTTGTTCTCGTGATAGTGAGTGAGCTTTCACAAGACTTGATCATTTAAAAGTGTGTAGCACCTCCCCCTTCTCTCACACTCTCTCGAGAACTCTTCTCTCCTGCCACTATGAGAAGAAGGTACTCACTTCCCCTTCCGGTATGATTGTAGGTTTCCTGAGGCCTCCCCAGCCATGCCTCCTGAACAGCCTGTGGAACTGTGAGTCAATTAAACCTCTTTTCTTCATAAATTATCCAGTCTCAGGTAGTTCTTTATAGCAATGTGAGAATAAACTAACACATAGTCCTTCCTTGTGTATGAAGTTTTCTGTGCATTTCTGGGCCTGTGAGGTTAAGGCCCTAAGCCTGGATGCTGTGGCGATACTACAGTACCACTGAGGTATCCCCACCTCGTGAGGCCTCTTAGAAGACAGCCTGTTAACCTTCTAGTAGCACTCAACCCCGCTGGCCTTCTTGGCTCACAGTGCTTACAAGGACTTCTAGTAACCACTATGCCCAACGTTATACAGCATGTCACAGCCCATAGGAAGTTTTCCCATTTTCTCTTTTGAGCCTCACCATAAAATGCAATCAAAGCCGGGGCAGAATGATTGTCCTCACTCTGGTGTCAAACAGACTTTGTTTCAGACCCTGGCTCCCAGGTCCTTTTCTAAAGTTCTCAGTCCATTTCCTTATCTGCAGAACATAGATGACCCTGCTCATAGGGCTGCTGGAAAGAGCAAATGAAGAAATGCTCCTCTTCCACCCCTGAGCTGGCAGGAACAGTGGCCGCCCCACGACTCCCACTACTGCAGGGCAGTCCCACTGCACTCCACGTTGGCCCAGCCTAATAAGATCTCAGCCTGCAGCTTTTCATGCTTCTGAGGAGTATGGTTTATACACGTAGGCAAGCAGAGGACAGAGTGAGACAGGGTGGACTCAGGCAGGAAGAGACACTGTAGGAGAAGAGGTAGATATCTGGAGAAGAGGGACCTTGTTTGGATGTTTTGATGCATGAGTCTAAGAGCTTGAGAGGAGGAGCAGCCTAAGCACCTGTGGGCAAGGATGGGGAGCAATGGGGTCCATTGACTGAAACACAGATGTCCTCTGGGCATGGAAGACGTGGCTCAGTACAATAATTAGCCATGCAGAACAAAGGAAACCCTACTGAAACACACATTTTATTAAAAATTAAGTCAAGCCAGGCACGGTGGCTCACAGCTGTAATCCCAACACTTTGAGAGGCCAAGGCAGGAGGATCACTTGAGGCCAAGAGTTTGAGACCAGCCTGGGCAACACAGTGAGACTGTCTCTATAAAAAAATAAAAAATACAAAAAAAAATTTTTCAGAGTTCATTTGGGAGGCCAGGAATTCGAAACCAGCCTGGGCAACACAGTGAGACCCCATCCCTACAAAAAAAATTTTAGAAATTGGATGGGCATGGTCATGTGCACCTGTAGTCCCAGCTATTTGGGAGGCTGAACTAAGGGGATTGCTTGAGCCCAGGAGGATGAGGCCACAGTGCACCATGATTGGACCACTGCACTCCAGTCTGGGTGACAGAGTAAGACTCAAGTCACAATTCAAACTTGAAATCCCAAAAGCATGTGTAGGAAGGAGATTCTGTAAATAACTCTGGTTGTTAAGTGAAGAACTAGTGTGCTCAGCCATCCCTTCTTAGCAGTGGTAAATGTCCCTTTTACTGAAATGGATTTATGGAGGGCTTTCTAGAAGTGTATATACCACATGACAGGCAACGGGGAGCCTTTTCCACTCCTGGTAAGATCTGCTCCCTGAGAGCCATGTTTGAGGAACATACGCTACTTGAAAGTTTACTTGAAGACTAGAAGCAGGAGGCAGGAATGTTTCAGCCTACAGAATAAAGGCAGGACAGTGGCAGCATGACTGGACAGGAAGACCAGAGGAGGAGCAGGAGGCTGGGGAGACAGAGAGAGGGCGGAGGGAGAGGGCAGGCAGGATTATCAAAGCATTAATAATCCACTGTAAACCCAACCTAGCCAGGGCCATTTTTTGGAGGAGTGGGTAAGTGTGGAGCCACGCCAGGCAGCAATGAGTAAGGAGGAGCAGGTGTTCCAGATCCAAGTCAGGGTGGCCACAGGCAGCCCTTGGGACCCCCTGACTTCCCTCACAGCCTTGCAGGCCTAGGTGTCTTCCAGTCGACATTTTCAGGCATCGGGGTGCAGAGAGAAAGAAGACACACTCCCTGTCTAAGTTCTCAGTCCATTTCCTTATCTGCAGAACATAGATGACTCTGTTCATAGGGCTGCTGGAAAGAGCAAATGAATTCTCAGTCCATTTCCTTATCTGCAGAACGTAGATGACACTGCTCATATGGCCGCTGGAAAGAGCAAAGGAAGAAATGCTCCTCCTCCACGCCCAGTTGACATGTCTATTTTCTTACATCCCCTTCTTTCCTACCTGAAGGATAACATTTTATGGATACTTGTTTGTGTTTTGCCTTTTTCACTTAAAGTATGTCTTAGAAATACCCTCACCTCAATTGTGGAGCTCTTCCTCCTTTTTTTTTTTTTTTTTTTTTTTTTTTGTTGAGACGGAGTCTCGCTCTGTCGCCTCTTCCTCCTTTTTAACAGCTAAAGAAATATGCTTCTAATAAACCATGAGCAAAAGAAGAAATAAAAATGGAAATGATAAAATATTTGAACTGAAAAATAATGAAACTACCACATATTAAACTTGTGGATTATGGGCCAGTGTGGTGGCTCATGCCTGTAATCCCAGCATTTTGGGAGGCCGAGGCGGGCGGATCACCTGAGGTCAGGAGTTCCAGACCAGCCTGGCCAACACGGGTGAAACCCCGCATCTACTAAAGATACAAAAATTAGCTGGGCATGGTGGCGCATGCCTGTAGTCCCAGCTACTTGAGAGGCTGAGGCAGGAGAATCATTGAACACAGGAGGTGGAGATTGCAGTGAGCCGAGATAGTGCCATTGCACTCCAGCCTGGGTGACAAGAGCAAAACTCTGTCTCAAAAAGAGAGAAGAAAATAGACATGTACATGCTCATTTGTGCCAAAGAAATATAGAAAAGGATAAATGAGGAGCTAAAGAGATTGGTCACCTAAGAGAAGGGTGGAAAAAGGGTACCCAGGGGGATGAGAACAAAGTGATAGGATGGGGAGGGGTACACTCTGCGTCTCTAGCCTTTTGTGTGACTCTTAGAGTTAAAGTAGAGTTCACACACTCAAAAAACAAGCAAAACCCAAAATGGAATGCAGACAGTAGCACTTGAGCTTCACAGCACTGCAAATGAACAGCACAGCTGCATTGAAGGGAGCAGGGAGGAAAAGAGCTCACCTAAGTCATTGTGGAAAACAGTACCGGGACTGGATCCTGTATGGCTAAAGGCAAAAAGAACCGCACAGAAATCCTGCGATGGGCCAGGCACGGTGGCTCACGCCTGTAATCCCAGCACTTTGGGAGGCTGACGAGGGTGGATCACCTGAGGTCAGGAGTTCAAGACGAGCCTGACCAACATGGTGAAACCCTGTCTCTACTAAAAATATAAAAATTAGCTGTGCATGGTGGCACGTGCCTGTAATCCCAGCTACTCAGAAGGCTGAGGCAGGAGAATCACTTGAACCCAGGAGGCGGAGGTTGCAGTGAGCCGAGATCGTGCCACTGCACTCCAGCCTGGGAGACAGAGTGAGACTATGTCTCAAAAAAAAAAAAAAAAGAAATGCTGTAATGTAGCCAGTGAATGTATTTCCTCCAAGGGTGTGGCAAGCAATTCTGAAACTACTTGAGGCATGGACTAGAACTGAAAAAATTAGTAAGAATATCATAATAATGACAGCTGGGTTTCTCACTGTTGGAAAAAGAAGTTACAAGTGAGGAAAGGCTAAAGCGAGCCCCATTGTGTTGGTTTGGAACCAGAGGTATCAGTATAAACTCAGGACTTTAATCTGCATACAAACAGATAGACACAGAAATACACATGCATGTCCACGCGTGGGTTAGCAGACATGCGTATATTTCCTAGCCTGTCTGCTGATGAGAGAGCCTCAACAAGGGACAACCCAGGAGCATGGACAGCTCTGCTAGGATCTCAGCTTCTAAGCACCATTCTCCAGTAAAAAGGCACCATGATCCTTAGAAAAATGGCTCATTCCCAGGTTGAAGCAGGGAAGCTACAAGATGAGTTTGGAGCATCTTCTCATGCCAGAAAGTGAGAAAGTGCCCAAAAAAAAGAACAGTTGTCAAAAGAACATGGGAGCCAATCTCAAGGCACTCCCAATGGCCAAAGCTGGAACAAAGTGCTAAGTAATCTAATAAATGATGGGGCAAAGGGCAGCCTTTCCTTACAGAATAATTCCAGTTAATAAGTGTAGAAGAACGAAGACAAACTACCATCAGGCAAACACCACAGTAATAAGTGGTACAGACAAGATCCACCAACGAATGTTAAAATTAGCGGGCACAAGTTTGAAAAGAACAAGTTATTAGTATAATCTCAAATTCAACCCCCAAGATATTTATTAACTACAAATGGAGAGATACACAGAGTCACTTTTCAGTGTTAAGACTTCCAGGCGAAGGCCACCAGGTTGAACAAGTTGGGTTTATTTCTTGCTGCAGTAACAAGGGAGAACACAGGCTTTGGAGAACCATAAGGCGACTTGGGGAGAGGGTGTTATAAAGGCCTCATGAGATTGGGCCTTGATTTTGGGGGAGGGTTTAAGAAAACAGGGTTTTTTTCTGGGTGGGAGGCTGTCAGGCAGCAGGAGTAATTAATTCTGTGATGAAATATCTTCAGCTAAAGTTATAGTTGGTAAAGAAGCAGCAATTGCTCACATGACCCAGGAGAGGGAGCTGTTGGGCCATTTTGTGGTTAGTTGATGTTCTCCTGAGTTACACTTGATTATGGAGCAGGCTTCTTTCTCTGAGGTCGATGTTTTGGGTAATTGTTTGTGTTCAGCAGGAGCACCCTAAGGCATGGCCCCCGGATGTCAGGGCTGCTAGTCTCTTTCTGAGCAGTGGAGACGCTCGGCAAAAATTGGTCAAGATTAGTATCACCAATAGACATTGCCAAAAGAAAACTGGCAGAGCTGCATTAAAAATCAGGTGAAATGTTGTCCTCTTACATCTTACTGGGCTTTGGCGTCTAGACCTCCAGTCCAAGGACAGGGCCAGAAACAAAGCTCATCTTCAGGCTAATTCCCTGGAACTGGAAATGCCTCCAGAGCAAAAGCAGCTTGGAACGTCTAGGCTCACCCCGCTGGGTTCTTGTCTTCTTCCAGATCTTGCTAGCTTTTTGATGCTTTCAGTAAGACTTTTGGGGGCTATTATTGTTCAGCTTCTTGAGTCATCCTCAGAGGGGAAGTTGATCTGGATTGCCTAGCTGCCAAAGGTCTTTCTTCTGATTCCTCAGGAGAAACCAGGGAGAGACTGAATATCAAATAGGACAATAGCCAGGCCATACATATGAGTAGAACTTGTCCCATAGTCTGCAGCAACCAGCCGGGATGCCAGCCTGCTATTCCTATGCAGCCAAATGCATAGGAAGTCAGACCACTCTCTCTAGCAACGATCCTGGAAGGCCAAACAATAACCCCTCTAACAATCGGCCCCAAATGGCCAGAACTTGATTAATAACTGGCAGCTTCCCTAATTTTTGTCCCTGCTTCCAACTTAGGACCAGCCAGAAACAAAACAAATATGCTCTTCTAACCAATCACATAGGCAGCCCCCTTTCTAGTGAGCTGCCCCAGCTTCCCCGGGCTGGCTGCCTCCATCAGGGCTCACCTGAGCCTCCCTTTTCCACTGTGAAGCTTTCCCTCCCTTTCCCTCTGCCTGCCTGTGAGTCTTGGCCAAATGCAGTGATGGCGGCCAGCCCCCTTGCTAGAGCAGCTCTAGATGAAGAGATTTTGCCTGTTCTCATGTGGGTGGTCTTTCTGTATTCCCACACCAGAAAGCTAGCTTTTAATGGTCCTCTAATGTTAGCAAAGAAAATAAAATTGCAAAATGTCATGGGGGTAAGTAGGCTGAAGGACCGCCATGTCTGCAGAGCATGGCGGGAGCCACTGAAATCTTTCTAGTAGGCTAGAGCACCCAGCTCTGCCACCGCTAGAGAAAGGACGGCCAAGGGGGCTTCTCCCAGAAACCTCATCTCAGAACCAGGCCTCAGTAGGGCCTTAGGCCCACTGTGGGTCTCTGACCCTGTACGACATGAGTAGTGTGGGACAGCAGTCTGGGCCACTTTTCTAAGAAGACAGAGCAGGGTGGTGCTCTGACTCCCAGCCTGGCCCTGGGGCTCCAGAGGCCAAGGGTAGTCCCAGGGCCACTCCCCAATCCCAGTGTGATACTGGCAAGTCCCTGACCAAGCTGAGCTTCAAGGCCCCCAGCTGTAAAGAAGGGGGCCCCTTGGCTGGAACAGTGAAAAGCCACTCCATTCAGGGCTCATTACCTCCTCATTCTCTACCCAAGGCATTGACCTGAGCCTCAGAATCTCCCCAGGGTCAGTGTTTCTGCAGAGTAGGGGCATCAGCTGGAAATCAAGAGTTTATGGAGATGTAGAGGCCAGGCCTGCTGCCCTCCCTTCTACAACCCCACCCCTGCTGGACTTTCCCTTCTCAGCCCAGGAGACCCAGGCCCCGGTCCCACATACCTTCCTCCCAGGCCCAGTGCCTACCTTTGTCCAGGCTCCCCTTCTCCTCTCCTCCCACCTCCCTGTCAACTGGCAAAGGGCCTTTCTAAAACGTGTCTGATCCTGCCTTGCCACCCTGACCCCTGGCCTGGCCCCCATGGCTCTCCATGGTCCAGCCCTGCCAGCCTCCCCAGCCCTCTCCCACCTCAGTGTTGGAGAAAATGACTCCCCAAAAAGACCCTGTTTCTCTGCACCTGCCAGGCTGCATGATATCTCAGCCTAGGACCATCCATGCTCCTTGCGTCCTTGTGTAGCGCTGGACTCTTCTGAAAGCTCGGGGGCGACTCCCTGTCAGAAGCCTCGCAGCTGGGGAGGAGCCTCTGTGGGTATGCACCTGGGGTCTGCATTTCATGTGCCTGTGCCCCTGGCCACACACAAGTGTTAGCAAATGGACCACAAGTGAACAAGCTGGACAGAGATGACACCATGAGGCCTTAGCCACCAGGGCTGCGCCCAGCATCCTCTGCAGCCCTGCTCTACCTGCTGTGGTCCAGGGCAGAAACAGAGCCAGTGGGACATCCAACCCACCTGCCAATGACCACAGGCCCATGAGGCCCACGGTTCTGCTAGGTACAAGAGAAGGGGCAGAGGGCCCACTGCAGCCTCACAGCCTTGCAGCCCTGGAGTAGGAGGTGGCAGTAGAGCTTTGAAAGATGGGAGGAGAGAACTTTCTAAGCAGGAGCTAGAGGCAGGAGGTGTAGCAACTGTATGCAGGGACATGACTTGGTGAGACAGGAGATGTAGGAAGGGTGTCAGAGCAGACAGACCATGATGAGGGCAGAGGGCTGAGGGCAGGACCTGCACCCAGGGTCGGGACCCCTATAATGAGAGTGAGACCTTCACCGAAGGGTCATGACCCCAATGACAAGGACAGGACATTCACCCAGGAGTCCTGACTCTGATGACAAGGGCTGAGGACCTGCACCAGGGTTGTGACCCTGATGACAAGCATGAGACCTTCACGTGATCAGAGGCCGTGACCCTGATTGCAAGGGCTGAAGGCAGGTCATGTACCCAGGGCCTGTGGCAGTCACCACAAGACCAGGACACACCTGTGGAATAGCATGGCCTCCTCCATCCCTGTCTTTACTCAGAGTTTTGGAGAAAATCCTGACCCAGCTGACCCCATAGGACCAGGAGTGGGGACAGTGTGCTCCAGATGACCACAACCCGGGGCCTCATTTCCCCATCAATCCTGGGCACACAGGAGCTGCTGGGGAGTGAAAGAGCCTGTGCATCTTAGAAGATGATAGGCTGGAGCCAGGCAAGCCAGGGGCCAACAACCTTCCCCTGGGCGCAAGAAGAACCCTACATTCCTTGCCTCTGGGGCTGGTGAGCCTGGAGGAATGGCATTCCTGGAACCCTCTGGCTTCTCCATTTGGCCCTGAGGGCTCTAAGGGCAGCTGTGCACCTAACCCGAACTCCTTGTCCTGCCAACACCTCTCACTCCTCCCCACTGCCCCCCACCAGCCACACAGAACATGTGTTCCCTCCTGGCCCCCCGGGCCCCAGCTCCCTCTGGTAGTTGGAATAGGTCTCATTATTACCCCATTTTACAAATGAGGAAGGAGTAAGCTGCTCAAGGTCACACAACTAGCACAGCCAAGACTAGATTCACACAGGCATGCACTCAAACGCTTCCTCTAGGCCACTTCATTCAAGGTCATGAAGGGCATGAATGCCACACCCCAGCATTTGGACTTCTCCCCCCAGGTAATGGGAAACCGCCGAAGAGTTTCAGATGGGGTTGTGATAGGATCATGCCCAGGCGTGAAAGGCCATGCTGGACAGAGCATTGACAACTAACTGGAAAGTGGGGAGGCCTGATATAGTCTTCCCTCCCTCCATCCCTGCCTCCTTCCCTCCCTCTCCCACCTCCTCCCTCCCTCCTCCCCTCTCTCCTTCCCTCCCTCCCTCCCTCTCCTCCTTCCTCCCTCCCTTCCTCCTTTTTTCCCTCCCTTCCTTCCCATTAAAGGCTAATGCCCCAGATGCTGCAAATGTGCTGTTCAACAAGATGAGAGAGGTCCTGTGCTCTGGAGGACAGTATACAGGACATCTCATGAACAAATCAGATCGTCTGTAGTCAGACAAGTGTGTTAAGGCGGTTGTTGCAGTGGCCGATGCCACAACAGCCCATCCCAGGGCAGCAGCCCAGAAGAGCTGACAGGAACACACTCAAGAGGGTTTTGGAGGGGCATCCACCAGTGGCCCAACCTCTTGGTAACTGATTAGATGGAGAAACACAAAAGGGAGGCCCTCCAAGTCTCTGGCTGTGAGGAACCATTCCCAGGGAAAGGAGATGTGGGAGGAGGCCAAGTTCTGCATTGGCAACAGTGGGCAGATGTGGGTCCAAGGCCTCTGAAGGCTGAACAGATGGGCGTGCTCCGGACCAGGCAGGGCCCTGGTTGTGCCTGGGAGCTGCTGCCAGGGATGCAGGGGTGGGGGCTAGGGCAGGGGCTCAGGGAGCGTGGGCGGATGCTTCCCACAGGATGAGGGGAGGGGAGAGCAGAGAAAGGGGATAGTGGCAGTGCCATAGACATTCCCTGAGGAGTGAGGACTATAGAGGGACAAGAAACAGGAGGGAGGCTGGGGGAGCTGGGGTGCAGGGGCAGTTTGAAGGAGGACTGCAGAGGCTGGACACCACTGAGAAGGAAAGACCCAGCCAACCTGAGCTCATGGAACTAGCAGTTACTTTACGCGTAGAATAATTTTATCTGTAGGAAAACAGCCCTGGGATTTCCAACTTCATATGAAAGTAGTAGGGGATTGGCCAGGCGTGGTGGCTCATGCCTGTAATCCCAGCACTTTGGGAGGCTGAGGCGAGTGGACCACCTGAGGTCAGGAGTTCAAGACCAGCCTGGCCAACATGGCAAAACCCCGTCTGTACTAAAAAATACAAAAATTAGCCGGGTGTGGTGGTGGGAGCCTGTAATCCCAGCTACTCGGGAGTCTGAGGCAGGGAGAATTGCTTGAACCCAGGAGGCAGAGGTTGCAGTGATCTGAGATTGCACCACTGCACTCCAAACCGGGTGACAGTGAGACTCTGTCTCAAAAAAAAAAGAAAGTAGTTGGGGTTGAAACAACACGATGTTTCAGATTTAAATTCCAACAACAACACAAACAATAGTAACATGAGTCCGACAAAATGTTGACAAGGTTAATCTAGACCATCGGTCTGTGAGTACCTATTGAACTATTATTTTTACTTTGCTGTATGTTTAAAATTATCATAATAAAAAGTAAAAATAAAAGCCTCCACCATCACCCATCGACCTATCTACCCAGTGGGCAGGATGAGCGTGTCTGCTCATGAGGTGTCGGGGACCAGCCCTGCATACCCAGGTGTGCCAGCAGGGACTGGGAATCGGGCCAGATGCTTGGAGGACACTTGGGCGGGGCCTCCCATGTGGGCGAAACATGGACCCTTTGGCCCAGCATCTCCGCCTCTACACTGGTACCCTGCAGAGCTCCCTGCCCACATGCCGAAAGCTGGGGTCTTCTGTGGTAGCAAAGAATCAGAAACAACCTAAATGTCCATCAATAGGAGACTAGCAATTATGTGGACACATCCATACCGAGGGGACTAAGCCGCCACTCAGAAGCAGGCGTGTGTCATTAAAACCCAGCCAAACTGAGCTCACAGAACTAGCTCAGTTTGGCTGAGCTAAATGGATGTTCCCCAAATGGAAAAAAAAAAAAAAAAAGGAGGGGGAGACAGTGTGCACATAAGTCGCATTTCTAAGGAGAACGGACCTGCACATCCATACTTGAACAGGCTTGATCATCTCTGAAGAGAGTAGGAAATCAGCCTCCAAAAATGAGAACGGGGGTCAGGGCCAAGTGGGAACGCCACTGCCCCCTGCCCTGCACCGTGTGTGTTGTCATCCTTGCATGCCTGTGGCTTTTCTTCCAGAAATAGTAGTAATGAAGGGAATAAAGGAGCGCAGAAAGGGGAATGGAACTGGGCCTGACATGACTGGGGGTGCTAGTGGTGTTGGAAGCAGCCTCGAACTGGCCGCCTGGCCCAGGCAGGAGAAAGGTCATCCCCTGAACCCAGATGACAGGCAAGAGAAAGATCATCCCTAAGTCTTCTTAAGTCTAAGAAGACTTAGGGATGAAGAAGACTAAGTCTTCCAGAGGGTGGGCACAGCCTTGCTGACAGCCTCGCCCTCCTCTCTGAAGTCGAAGTAGGCCATTTGCTGCTGGGAGTGGGAGGTGGGGCTCCAGGGCCCTGAGAGCAGACGAAGGTCGTGGAAGAGTCCCTGGGGGAAGCAGGGAGGGGTTGGTGGGTGTGTGATGGGAGTCGTGCCCCGGGGCCCAGGCAGACTCTGAACGCAACAGCTTTGGGGCTCCACAGAGTGAACTCATCGGAAGACGTCCACTGGCCAGGCAGAGGGTGGCTGGGGAGAAAAGGGGAAAGCGGGAGCCTGGAGCCCCGAGAGGTGTGAGGGCAGAGGTGTGGATCAGGAGGGGCTGAGCCGGCTGGAAGGGGGTCAGGCTGTGGCAGGGCCTAGCCTCTGTGGGACTTGAGACGTCAGAGTTAGAGCAGAGCTGGGGAGTAGGGGCCAGGGACAGAGGGTCTTTGGGACCCCTGGGGGCAGCCAAGACAGCGGGTAAATCAGGGGCTCCAGGTGTGTGCCACTTCATGCCAGCAGCCCACACAACCATGTGTCCCTAAGCTTGGTTCAACATTCTGCTCTTATGCCTTGAAATCCTTAATTTCACCTGTCAACATATGTGCTAGTAAGTGAAGTCTGGTGGGACAATGGAACAAACACACATGTGACCCACATGTGCAGCAGGCCTGGCCATCCCATGTGCACAGGTCCCAGAAAGGCACAGACGGAGTGGGGCCCTGGCTTCCCGACAGGCTGGAGCCACAGAAGGATGCGACGGGTCTCTGAGAAACACGAGCAGCCCAGGAGCCCTGCCGGCCCTTTCCTGCCTGCCTTATTCCCGTAGGAGCCAGCCAGTTACTCTGAAAAGGACAGCACAGCAGGAAAGGGGAAGACAGTAGCCAAGTGCCTTCCTTGCTTGTCCGGTAGCCAGAGAAGGAGAGCCTTGGCAGGGCATGTACATGTCAACAGGTGAAATCACCAGTGCTCACAGCGGTACTCCTCACGGGGGCCAAAAGGTGGAGACAGCCCAATGTCCATCAATAGATGAATGGACCAACAGAGTGTGTGCATGCACACCAAGGAATACTATGGTACATAAACAGGGTGAAGCACCGACACGTGCTACAACATGATGAACCTCAGCAGCCACGCTCCGTGAGATAAGTCAGGCACAGCAGGTCACACGTTCTATGATTTCATCTCCATGAAATGTCCAGAATAGGCAAATCCACAGAGACAGAAAGTCAATTGGCAGTTGCCAGAGGCTGGGGACGGAAGGAAATAGAAAGTAACTGATAGTGGGTACTAGGTTTCTTTTTAGGGTGATGGAATGTTCTGGAATTAGAGGTGGAGGTTGTATGACGTTTTGGATGTACTAAAAAACACTCAATTGTACACTTTACAATTGGGGGTGAATCTGACGGCATGTGAATTACATCTCAATAAAAAATTAAAATAGGGCTGGGTGCGGTGGCTCATGCCTGTAATCCCAGCACTTTGGGAGGCCGAGGTAGGCGGATCACTTGAGGTCAGGAGTTCAAGACCAGCCTGGCCAACATGGCGAAGCCCCATCTCTACTAAAAATACAAAAAAATCAGCCGGGCTTGGTGGCAAGCACCTGTAGTCCCACTACTCAGGAGACTGAGGCATGAGAATCGCTTAAACCCAGGAGGCAGAGGTTGCAGTGAGCCGGAGTTGTGCCACAGCACTCCAGCCTGGGTGACAGAGCAAGACTCTGTCTCAAAAAAAAAAAAAAATTAAATTAAATTAAATATTTTTATCTTATTAAAATAAGATAAAAATAAAGAATGCAACTTTTTATCCTTATTAATATACAAGTTCATATAGATATGAATGGCCATAAGAGGCAAAGCAGACCTAGGGTGCTAAGAGTGTCTGGCCACAACATTGGTTACAGCAGGTTTGATGTAATGGAGGGAAAGTTTAATCTGACACATTCAGTCAACCAGTTCCTTGTGTCAGAAGAGTAAAACTGCTTAAGAGGAAGCTGTTTCCTCAGAAC
The DNA here is from genome assembly GCF_000001405.40 of Homo sapiens. Lineage (NCBI taxonomy): Eukaryota > Metazoa > Chordata > Mammalia > Primates > Hominidae > Homo > Homo sapiens. The sequence goes on along the minus strand of NC_000007.14, from coordinate 45,128,346 downwards.
AACAGATGGATCCAAAAATATTAAATAAAAAGAAATGAGAAAAAAATAAGTGGAACAAAACCAGTTGAGTTAGTTTTGTGCAGCGTTTGCACTGTTGTATATGTGTGCCCATGTGAGCTACAAGGTAAGAATTGTGTGATTGGGTGATTCTGCCTAAGAGCTCAATGCTCTTGTGTTTGCCTTTGAATTGGCATTGTACAACATAAAAATGACTGCTGATACTCATGTTCATAATAAGAAATTTTTATTTTCATTTACTTAAATTGACACATTGTGAAAAGCATCATGACAAGTACAGAGAGACTGTGGAAGAGAAAAATACTTTTTTATTCTAGTACCTTTACCAGTACTTTTTTTCCATTTGTTGAACAAGGTGCCCTGAAAATGGCATAGCTAGCTCTGGGGGCACCCTGTGGAGATGGGAAATGCTGGTGAAGGAAGTGCCCCTCTGTGCTGTCAAGGAAGAAGGGACTAGGTGTGGGGTGGGGGGCAGGGGGAGGGCGCTCACAGTGTGAGTCTGTGGCCAGGGATCTGAGTTCTTGGGATGGATGGGTCAGCTCTCACCTCAGACCCAGCATCGGCGACAGAAGGACTCAGATCTTCTAGCCAAATCCACTCATGATGTAGGTAGGAACGGACAGAGACAGAGAAAAGGGCCACCAAGGCCTGCCAGTAAACAATCACGGCCTTGCCACCTTCACTTCCCCAAGCCCTGGACTCCACCAGGTCTCTGGTGTGTGTGTAGCTCCCTTCCCGGGAAGGTGGAACAGCCTACGTGAAGCATTGGGTAAACTTCAAGCCATGGAGAGGCACAAGAGGTGGCAAGTCACCATGGCCAGAGTGTCCATGCTGGCTACCCCAGGAAGGGCCTGGGTTGAGGCCCACTGCTTTGCAGAGGGACTATAAGGGCCGTGATGGAGCCATGTCATGCCATGGGCACGTACAGGAGGCACATTACAGCTCCGCCAAAGTAGCAGGACATTCTGGGCTGGAACATCCCGATGTTCAGTAGCAGAGGGTCCCAGGGGAAGTTTTAAGGGACTCTGTGTCCAAAGCCCAGAGGCCATAGGCCTGCAATGAGGGTCCCCAGCTGGACAGGAGTGCAGCCTGGACCTGGGACTAAGCACCAGCTGTCAGCCAGCACATGGTCACCACGGGGTCTTCAAGGCAGATGTCCAGGTTCCACAATCCCCAGGGCCCCTTCCCTGTCCAAGCCCTCCAGGCAAGAGGATCAAGAAAATGCCCCAGAGCAGAGGAGGCATAGCGCACTGGCAGCACCCGCCCCTGCTCCGTGGCACCCGCTCACTTGGCACAGAAGGGTCCCTTCTGGGAAGAGGCCTTCCTGGTGTTTGCCCTGCACAGACAGCCCCTAACATAGAGCCTGACTCGTTCCTCATCCAGTGCCTGGCATTCTCCACAAGGAGCTTGCAGCTCATAAGCAGAAGGCATCTCCTTCTTGTCAAAAGCCCAAAAACTACAAAAAAAAAAAGAAGCAAAACACCGTCTGAGAGAGCCCCTGCGCCTGCTATCTCTCTCCTATTTTGTTTCCTAGGTAACGTACAACTTTGGGACACATCATTTCTTTTGTCCCCGGGGGCCCCTATGCAACCATTTTAAAATAACTGCTATAGCAGTGTTTGGGATAGGTCCTATTTCTTCCTTCCCCTGTCCTTAATTTTATCAATTCTCATAATAAACACGCATTACTTTCAAAATGGGGAAAAACTGGTCAACCTAACTAAGGACTTTTTTTTTTGAAACATGACCCTGATTATAGCAGCCGCCCCAGACCTCTCAGCCATTTCCCCAGCACTGGGCCTGGCCTCTGGAGGCATTCAAGGAGGAAGTGCCTCAGTCCAGTTGGGGCCATGCCAGCCTGCCCCCTGCCCCCCGCCCCGAGGCCCTCCTCCCACCCAGGTCCTTTAAATGTAACCCATGTCCTCAGGCCACCACCTGCCGCCTGCCTGCCACCCGCCACCATACACTGTCTCTTCAGCCTGGCCCTGGCCCTGCTTGCCCTGAAAGTGACCCTTGCTGTGGCCCCAGCATTCATTTCGCCAGGTAACCTCTCTAGGGGACACTCCCAGGAGAGTCCTCCTGCCTGATCTCTGCTTCTGGTGGAACCCAAGGCACCACAGGTCCTGGTGGTTTGGCGACAGGAATGGGGAAGAGAGAAACAGAGGAGACTCACTCCTGGGGGTGGGTGGTGGGGAGTCCAGGGATGGCAGAAAAGCAGGGCTGTATTTCCACGTGGAGGCAGCTGTCCCACTGGGCCTGAGAAGCGTCTGGGCCTGAGAGCGAGCAGTGCAGCTGGGAGATGGGGAAGTGGCAGCGGAGAATGGGGGCTATCCTCAGGCCCTAGCCAGTCTGGTCAGGGTCTTAACGTCCCACCACCTGCAGTGGGCCTGTGGTCTTGCTTCCTAATTTTCTCAGCTGACTTCCCATGCTTTTGTCAAGGCTGTCACATTCCTGGTAGATTTTTTTGGCCTTCTAAGAAACAGCATGTTAAGCTGTTAACGGCTGCGTTCCTCATTGCCCCTACCTTGCTTTCCCTTGAGGAGCCTGGGGATGGGGCCTGGACCCCCACTCACCTGCCCATCCTGTGTGCAGAGCAGGCCGTGTGCCCCGAGGCCAGCTCCTCCGAGGAGGTGCCCTGCGTCAAAACCTGCCTCACCTACAATGACTGTCTTGGCAACAGCAAGTGCTGCCCCAGCTCCTGCAGCCGCTCCTGCAAAACCCCACCATTGGTAATACTCCACCTGGCCCTGTGCCCCATGGTGACAGCCTGGCTCCCATCTGTTGGGGGAGGGAGGAACCAGCTTTCTCAAGTATCTTCCTGAGCTGGACACTTGGGACCACCCTCTTAGTGCCCACACAACTGCCCCACACACTCGGCCCTACATGTGAGCCCCCTTCATTTGCCGGAACCTGCCTGAGGCTGACCCACCCTCATCCACCTCTGTCCTGTGGTCCAGCCTCCAAGGATGGTGTGGAGGTTCCTGCCATGAGATCAGCAGAAAGGAGGCCCCGGGGACACATCTGACCCCAGAGCAGAACAGAGGCTCAACTTCCCCATTTATTTTTTATTTTATTTATTTTTATTTTTTTTTTATGTTTTTGAGACTGAGTCTCGCTGTGCTGCCCAGGCTGGAGTGCAGTGGAGCGATCTCGGCTCACTGCAACCTCTACCATCCAGGTTCAAGCAATGCTTGTGCCTCAGCCTCCCAAGTATCTGCCACACCCAGCTAATTTTTGTAGTTTTTTTTTTTTAGTAGAGACAGGGTTTCACCATGTTGGCCAGGCCGGTCTCGAACTGCTGACCTTGTGATCCTCCTTCCTTGGCTTCCCAAAGTGCTGGGATTACAGGCATGAGCCACAGCGCCCAGCCCAACTTCCTCATTTATAAAATGGGTATTTTTGGCATGGGGAGCCCTGGGAGGTGGGCCCAGCAAGGCTGGGAAGCATAAAAGGGCTTTGGGTGATGAAGGGCTGGCCCATCTCTCCCCTAGTATCAGCCCCAAAGATTGGCAGCTGCCCCTGGGTGCAGCCTGCAGTGAGCCCAGAGCTCTGCGAGGAGCAGAGTGAGTGCTCCATGGACGGCGGGTGTTAGGGAGAAAAGAAGTGCCGCTTCAGCCGCTGTGCCATGAAGTGTCTGGCCCCTGTCCTAGGTATGAGTTCCCTTTCTCCCTGAGCTTCCCCTGGCCAGCTTGGGCCTTCAGTGGGGCCTTGAAAGTGGGTGCAGTCCATGAGCAGGCCCTGGGGGCAGATAGGGCTCGGCACACCAACCCAGACTATGCCAGCTGCAGGCCCCCAGGCACTCAAGGAAGCCACTCAGGCTGGGAGTGAGTGTCAGTGAGTGAAAGTGGCCCAGGGAGGCAAATGACTGGCAGGCCCAGTGCTGCTCGACCTGTGTGCAAAGCCTGTGCCTCTCCCACTTCACTGCAGAGAGCAGCTTACCTCCCAAATATTGGGAGAGCTCTAGGTCAGGGGTTCCAAACATGGGTTCTGGGCTAACCGTCCAAGCCCACCTATGACCTGGACTCCCTTTCTGGCATATGAGGGTGGCCTCATCCACCTGTCTGCAGGCGAGGTGAGGGCTGGGGGAAAGCCAGTGGGGTGCAGGGCTCTGCTTGCTCCCCTGCACAACAGCAAAGGGGCCAGCAGCGCAGGTCCCCGGGCCTGTGGGCGTGAACACATTAGCACATGAACAATGGACAGCGGATGACCTCCCTCCTCCCCACCACCCCCCTGGCCGGGCTCTGTACTGCATCTGAGTTCCCCGTGCCCCCCTGCAGAGAACACCTCTCAGTGAGAGACCTTCCCCTGGGAGCCCCTGCTGCCAGGAGTGACCCACCCAAGTCTGCTCGACAGAAACCATCTCTCTTGGATCCAGAGAGTGCATGATGCCTTCTACGGCTGCTAATTTAAAAATCCACTCAGCTTCATGTGTTTGTCTTTCTGTGTATCTGTCCCGGGCTCCTGAGGGAGGAACGAAGCAAACGCAGGCCTCATCCCTGGGTGCTCCAGGCAGACAAGGCAGCTGGCCGGGAACAGGGAAACCCCGTGGCGATAAGCATGTCCAGGTGGGTGGGGGAGTCCAGCCAGGTGCACTCAACAGGCGGCTGACCTCTGGTGAGAATACACAGCCATGGTGGCATCTCTGGGCCAGGAAAGGCCTCTCCACTAGGTTCTGGAGACACTGGCCAGATCTCCCGGGGCTGACCCCCTTCAGAGGTGTTGCTAGCCCTGCTCATGGGGACAAGATCAGGAGCTGAGCCTGTGGGGGTCTGGTAGCTCAGAGGTTGCCTAGGCCTGGGCCAGTTTCGGTGGCATGGCAAGGGCAAAGGTGTGGTTACAGGAAGTGCAAAGGAAGTGAGAGGAAGGGGTGGGGTGAGTGTGGATGCTGCTCTAGGTCAGGGGTGTTTAGAATATTATGTCCCTGGAAGACAGTCACCACCCCACAGAGACACTGAGCTCTGTGTCCACACACGGCTGCCTCACACAACAGGACATGCAGCTCTGCTGGTCATTTCAGGGTCCACAGTGTTGGCCATCAGGCACCCAAGAAGATGGCTGTGTGGGAACTCACACCTGGCCAGATCCCTGCGGCCCCAGGGAACTGCACTTGACTTGTGCAGTGACACAGGCCTGTTGAGCGGCTGGGAGGATCGCTAATGGCCAGTGCCTGTCGGCACCAAGCTCCAGCCCCTCTGTCGCACACAGGATGCACACTTACTCTCACACAGAGGAAACAGTTCTGTCTCCATTCGTATAGCAGTTTCATCGTCCTAACCTGTACCTGTGTCTGCTCTTTGGTTTGAGCCTGATCCCTCTAGAGTTAAATTAAATCTCTTGTCCCTTGTTCACTTTGTATCTATTGTATAGAAGAGTCATGATTTTTCCCTTTTTTGAAAATTATCTTTTAGCAACAAAAAAGCTGAACACGGTATACAAGGCAACTTGAAAGAAGGGGTTTTTATTCTCCTCAACTCTAGGCTGCTTTTTCACATGTTTGAAAAAATTTGTCTAAAACGCCTCTAGTGGGATTTTCTTTCTCCAAACACTTTCTACACCCTGGCTGTGCTCCTGGCTTGGGGGTCGAGAGGAATCCAGTTAGCTCACCAGGGGCCAAGGGTCTCAGCAGAAAGAAGAAAATCAAATGATTGAGCTTAAGCAGCAAGAAGAAAGGAGCTGTACTCAAAAAAATCACCAGCCTCCCCGTGTTCTGTGGCTGCACTTGAGGAGTGGCTCGAATTGGATCAAGTCCAGATGAGAGCCTCGAAAACACGAAGCCACAGCCTTGGGAGAGTCCATGATAAAGCAGAGACATTTTGAATGGGGGTCCTCTCTGTGTGTGCTCCGGCAGGACATAGGAGGCAGGCTGGGCCCTGGTCAAGCCAGAGGGAGGGGTCCACTACCTCACCTGCCTAGGTTTCTGCAGGAGCCCAGGGGCCCCAGGCCCAGGCCTGACCTGAGGTCAGCCCCATTTGGCTCACTGACCCAGCACATAAGGTCAAGGAGACGACCCATACCATCAGGCTGGCTGAGATGAAGGTGGGACCTGGAGATATTGCTCAGCTTCCTCCATCCCTGCCTCCTCAGAGCTTGCAAGGGAGAACAACAGGGCCGGCCCAAGCAAGCCACACTCACAGCAAGCCTAGATTCTCCGGGAGCCCACACTCATGAGGAGCCCACATCCATGAGAGCCACGCTCACTGGTTATGTGACCTGGTAAGGTCACTTCCCTACGGCTTCAGTGCCCACAGAGACCTCCATCATCATGCTCTGTCAGTGAATGGAGGAGGAAGGCAGGACTGACCTTTAACCCATAAGTGCCAGGCCTTCCTAGGTGTTGCACACAGAGGGACCAGGCTGTCCTGGCCAAGCTGCTGCCCTTGAGGTGCACAGGGGCCTCCCAGAAGAAAGAGCCTGCTCACTGCTGATGTGTACAGGAAGAGAGGAAGGCCCCCAAAAAGAGTTCCCCAGAGCCATGTGCAGAAGGACAAGAAGGGTCCCCCTAAAACAGAGCACCCAGAGCTGTCTTGAAGGCAGGGCCCAACCAGTGAAGTGGGGAGTCTGGGGCACCAGGGGCCATCTCAGAAGACACTGGTGTCAGGGACCAGGGACCAGGAGTGCAAGGACTGTTTGAGATGCTAGGTCTTTGCATCATCTTCAGCTTTGCTGTCTCCATCATTGCCTCTCTGTGTTCACTCAATAACTCAATACATCTTTGAGTTCACATGACATGTCAGGGGCTTGGGAAATGGGATGAACCATCCCACACATGAAGGGGTTCAACTAGTGCCTGGATTTTGTTCATGAACAATCCTCCACTGAAAGGCAGCAGGATTCCTTGGAGAAATAGATGGGCAAAGAAGGCACAAGGGGAGTGCTGGCGTCCGCCTGACCAATGATGATCTGCTGGAGGGACACATGAGCCTGCCACACATGAGCGCCGTGAGGGTACTGACGAGGACAGAGTACAGCACGCTGAATTTCTAAAAACCCCAGAGTTGAGAGTGATACTAAGACATGGAAGAAATGTGGTGCAGGAAGGCTTACATGTGAAAAAAATTAAAAATAGGCCAGGCACGGTGGCTCACACCTGTAATCCTAGCACTTTTGGGGGCTGAGGCAGCCCTCGAGCTCAGGAGTTTGAGACCAGTCTTGGCAACATGGCAAAACCCATCTCTATCAAAAATACAAAAATTAGCCAGGTGTGGTGGTGCATGCCTGTGGACCCAGCTACCTGGGGGGGCTGATGTGGGAGGATAGCTTGAGCCCAGGAGGTCAAGGCTGCAGTGAGCTGTGTTTGCACCACTGCACTCAGCCTGGGCTACCAAACAAGACCCTGTCTCAAAAACAAACAAACAAATAACAACAACAACAATCATAGAGATTAAGGAGACAAAGGTCAATTGGGGACATTCGGATATGGACCTGAATCAGATGGCCTTATTGCATCAATGTTAATTTCCCTAGTAGGATAATTACAGTGGGGTCACATGGACAATGTTTGCTGCTAAAGTGCTTAAGGGAGAAGTTTGTGATGTCTACAGCTCACTTTCTTTCTTTCTTTCTTTTTTTTTTTTTTGAGATGGAGTCTCCCTCTGTCACCCAGGCTGCAGCGCAGTGGCACGATCTTGGCTCACTGCAACCTCCGCCTCTTGGGTTCAAGCAATTCTCCTGCCTCAGCCTCCTGAGTAGCTGGGACTACAGGCATGCACCACCATGCCCAGCTAATTTTTTTTGTTTGTAATTTTAGTAGAGGCAGGGTTTCACCGTGTTAGCCAGGATGGTCTCGATCTTCTGACCTCGTGATCCTCCTGCCTCGGCCTCCCAAAGTGCTGGAATTACAGGCGTGAACCGCTGTGTCCGGCCAGCCTACAGCTCACTTTCAAAGGATTCAGCAAGCAAACAAACCAAGAAAACTTTTGAATTGTATATATACAGCACATACACACACGCATATGCATGCCTATATTCATATGCTTATAAACATACACAAATATAAACACTTACATTGCATGGTCTGAATGTTCATCCTTCCTCTTCCAAAATTCATATGTTGAAATCTTCACCACTAAGGTGAGGTGAAGGTATAACATTCGGAGGTGGGGCCTTTGGGGGATAATTAGATCATGAGAGTGGAGCCCTCACGAGTGGAAAGGGACCACAGAGAGCTCTCTCTCTGCTCTTGGCCATGTGAGAATACAACAAGAAGATGGTCACATGCACACCAGGAAGACAGCCCAGACAGCCTCTACCAGACACCACATCTACTGCCACCTTGATCTTGGACTTCCAGCCTCTAGGAATGTGAGAAATAAATTTCTGTCATTTAAGCCATGCAGTCTATAATATTCTGTCATAGCAGCCTGAGCAGACTGTGATATACATACACACACACACATACATACATGTACACACAAGACATACATATACCCACACATGTATATACATGTATGCACAACACACACATATACATGCATGCACACATACACACAAATACATACACACATATGTACAGTGAGAACAAGCGGGGGTGAGGCAGGGGTAGGGATAAAGAAGGAAGACGGAAGTATGGCCAAATTCTTGCTGAATCTAGATGACAGATTTATGGATAGTCACCGTACCATGCTCTTAGCTTTTCAAAAAATTTGCACATTCTCTAAATAAAAAGAGGGGAACCAGAAAGGGCCTGTGGGCTGGCCCTCCAGGCCAGGGAGTGTTTGGGGACCAGGATTGGTGGGAGAGGGGCAGGCCCTGAATTTGGTAAAGCACAAGGTGGGAGTGTAGCACAGAAGAGAACCTCTCATCAGAGGAATGACTTGGGTGGGCTGAGGGGGCGCCACAAGGAGGCCAGATCTATGTGAAAGGAGGACCAGCAGGTAACATGGTCACCTTGTGGCACCTGGCCCAGCAGCCTGAGACACAGGTATGGGAAAGGTGGGTCAACAGGTCCCGTGGAGGCCCTGTCAATGATGCACTGTGTTGGTGGGAAGCCAGCAGCCTGCTCTCCCAGGCCAGGACCCCTGCATACTGCTGCACCAGGCCTGCCCCTCCCCATCTCAAGGAGAAGCTACCAGGAGGTCCTGCAGGCTGGAGGCCAGCGGACATACCCTTTCCCCATCCCCGTCTGTCCCTGCCCACCAAGGCCCAGCACTCAGCCTCCCATGCTGGTCAGGTGCTGGGGAGAGGCAGGGCTGAAATGGAGCCGTACCACCTCCATGCACTGCTGCTCATGCTGGGACCCTGAGGCCAGCCTGGGCAGCTGGAACCACCCAACCTTGTCTAGCCTGCAGCTCAGAGTTAGGCTGCAGGAGACACATCCATCCCCTGATGCTGGAGGCTCCTCCCCTACAGAGAAGTTTCACCCTGCCCTGGCCCCTGTATTGACTATGTTTCCAGCTTCTGCAAACAATGCTTTAACATCTGCCTTGTATGTATATGCTGGACAGACTTGGTTCTGCACCCTGATGATGGGCCTGAATCACCTTGCCTTGGCCTTCTGCCTCCCTCATCAGCTCCTCACCTCTCAGGAAGAGTCCTCCTCCTGGGCAGGGTACACTTTTCAAACACAAACCAACCAATCCAATGCTCACACCCTCAAACACCTCCTCTATGGGGCTCTCACACTCTGGCCACTATGGACTTGCTCTAATCACTCCAGGGCCAGGTATCAGACAATGAGGGACAGCCCTTCTGCTCCAGGCCCTGAAGTTACTCAAACCACCCAATCCTAAACTGTCGCCCTGCCTTACCTGTTCTTTCCCACAGAAACCACAGTAAAGGCTCTTGCCCACCACTCCCTGCCCCATTCCTCTGCCTCAGGGCCAACCCCAGTGTTTTCCCATGTGGCCCCTGTGGTGTGGCATGTGCCCTTCTCTCCAGAACTGAGAGTAATAAACTAGCTTCTCAATGGCAATCATCTCCTGATCCATCAGTCTTCATGAACCTCAAATTTTTTATTAATACATGATATTTTAAAATAGTCCCAGCCGGGCACAGTGGTTCACGCCTGTAATCCCAACACTTTGGGAGGCCGCCAAGGCGGGTGGATCACCTGAGGTCAGGAGTTCAAGACCAGCCTGGCCAACATGGCGAAACCTTGTCTCCACTAAAAATACAAAAAATGAGCCGGACATGGTGGCACACACCTGTAATACCAGCTACTTGGGAGGCTGAGGCAGGAGAATCGCTTGAACCTGGGAGGCGGAGGTTGCAGTGGGCCAAGATCGCACCACTGCATTCCAGCCTGGACAACAGAGTGAGACTGTCTCAAAAAAAAAAAAAAAAAACCCTTTCATATTTTTCCATATAAAACACTGCTTTAAGTTTTAATGTTTTTTCCCCCAAGACAGCCCAGCCTGTACCCTACTTGGGTAGATTTTACAAGCTGGTAAAACAGCCCCCTTTAGAGGCTGAGCATCCATGCCAGAGAGATCCATGGGGCCACTCCACCATCTCCCACTGCATTCTCATGGCAGCTGCCACCGGAGCTCCCAGGACTCTGATAAGGTGGACCACCTTGGCCCCTTCCCAGCTCCATCACCCGTACCCCCAGAGGCCTTCTCACCTGCACATCTGTTAGCACAGGTACTCAATGTCAGTGGCCTCCAGAGCAGGAGCCCAGGTTGACTGAAAGCCAGGAACGGCTATGAGCTGGGCCCTACTGGTGCAGGACAGGGCTGGGTCCACTGGGCTGTGGCTGTCACGACCCACTCTGCACACTGTACCACACCTCTCACCACACTGCATGAGGAGGGTGCTGTGGCCTTCTTGGTGGATGAGAAGGAAGGATGGATGAGATGTTCTGTGGATTTCTGGAAGGGTTGGCAGAGGTCAGGACTGTTGGCCCTGCTGAGGGTTTCCTGCTGGGGGTGCAAAAGACCCACCACTCTGAGTCCAGCTGGGACAGAGCCCCGGGCAGGCACAGAAGCAGGGGGAGGCCTGGGGCTGGTGGCAGAAGACCTGGACACTCACTCTCCATGTGTCCTTAGGCAAGTCCTGCCCTCCCTGGGCCTCAGTTTGCCACATAGATAGCAGGGTAGAACAGGCTGTGTATGGCCAGAGCAGGGAGCCAGGCTGACCTTAGACTAGCCTTTGGGTCTGATTCCTCCTCTTATGCAGGAATCTGAAGAGACATCGATTCCATCAGGCCCTGAAGAAGGGCCCTTCTCTGAGAAAGTCCCTCAACAGGTTTGTCAGGGGTCCCCAAGACCACCCCAAGGTTCTGTGACTCTCCAGAGGAACTCACAGGACTCAGTACACAGTCATACCCTTGGCTAAGACTTAAAGAAAAGGATACAGAGCAAAATCTGCAAAGGGGAAAGGTACATGAGGTGAAGTTGGAAGAAACCAGGCATGAGCTTCCAAGAGTTCTCTTCCAGCAGAAACAAGAGGGAGTCACTACTGGATTCCCTCAACAATTAGTTGTGATGACACGTGTACAATGCTGTCTACCAGGGAAGCTCATAGAGACTTGGTGCTCAGGGTTTTTATCAGGAGCTGGTGTCTGCCTAGCATACACCAAAATTCCAAACTCCCAGAAGAAAGGCAGGTGCTTAGCATGAGCCATGTTGTTGTACAAACAGTTTAGGTGCAGGGAAGACCCCTGCCCTTTATAGGAAGTTATTATCAGTATAAGAAACTGTTTGCCAGCCAAGTTTCCAGATGCCAGTCAGAAGGCAGCCTCAGGTGCTGTATCAGCTTCTGCACTCCAGAGCTCATATCAACTGTGGTTTGATTCCAACTGGAGGGAAGGTGAATAGACAGGAGCAGACAGAAACAGGGTGGTCAAGCATCCCAGTTTGCCTGGGACTTGAGGCGAGGAAGGGTAGGGGAGCTTCCCAAGACATGAGACTTTCTATGCTAAAACCAGCATGGCAAGTGGAGAAGTTTCAACATGTGTTTTGGAGGGGTCAAGTATTCAAACCACAACAGACGCTAACTACTTAGAGTTAGCACAGACCTCACAGGTTAAGGGCTCAGTCCCACAACACTGCCCTCACTTCAGGTGCCAGTCACAAGTAGTGGGTCCCAGACTATCCACACTTCTGTTTGACTTGGCTACAAAGCAAGGTTTCCCATGACCTGCTCTTCAGGTTTAGTAATTTGCTATAAGAGCTCACAGAAGTCAGAGAAACATTTTATCTACTGCCTTATTCCATCTGGGCTGCTGGAACAAAATACCATAGACTGAGTAATTTATAAACCCTAGAAATGTATTGCTCACAGTTCTGGAGATTGGGAAGTCCAAGATCAAGACACCAGCAGCTTCAGTGTCTGGTAAGGGCTCTCTCCCTCATAGAAGGTAACTTCTTACTGTGTCCTCACATGGCAGAAGGAGAAAGGGACAAACATGCTCCCTCGGGCCTCTTTTATAAGGGCACTAATTCCATTCACGAGGGCTCCATCCTCTTGACCTAATTACCTCCCAAAGGCCCCACCTCTTAATATCAACACTTTGCAGATTAGACTTGAACATACACATTTCGGAGGGACACAATCAGATCATAACATCTATGTTTACTAGTTTATTACAAAGCATATTTTAAAGGATACAGATGAACATCTAGATTAAAAGGGTCTTAGGGGCCAGGCACGGTGGCTCACACCTGTAATCCCAGCACTTTGGGAGGCCGAGGCGGGCGGATCACGAGATGAGGAGATCAAGACCATCCTGGCTACCACGGTGAAACCCTGTCTCTACTAAAAATACAAAAAATTAGCCGGGCATGGTGGCGTGTGCCTATAGTCCCAGCTACTCGGGAGGCTGAGGCAGGAGAACGGCATGAACCCAGGAAGCGGAGCTTGCAGTGAGCCGAGATAGCGCCACTGCACTCCAGCCTGGGCGACAGAGCGAATCTCCATCTCAAAAAAAAAAAAAAAAAAAGTCTTAGGGCCAGGTTCCAAAGGAAACTGTTCCTCTAATCACAACACTTCTGGAAGAATCTCAAGCATCAGAGCTTCTGTTCCCATGGGGTTTGGGAGGTGACACCTTCCCAGCATGTGGATGCATTCACCAACTTGGAAGCTCTCTGAACCCCATTGTTTAATAAGTTTTTATGAAGTTTCATTACCTAGGTATAATTGATAAAATCATTGGCCATTAGTAATGACAGTCAAAAGAAATGTTTTTATATGAGGAATATGAGCTTCCTCTAAATTATCAGGCCCAAAAAAAGGCATGAGAAAGAGACAGCAGTCACATCTCACTTCCTCCCTCTTGCTGAATAATCATCTTTTGAAGCTGCTTGCTATGTGGACTCTAGACTGACTGCCCCCCAAGTAGCTATAAATTAACCTAACAATACTGCATGCTGCACAACATAACTCATACCCTATCATTCAACAATGTATAGCCATCACTAATCAATGTTATTTCTGTAAACCAATGAGAATTCCTGACAAACAACTTTTTATCTGCCCCATGCCTAGTCCCCTTTTTTACCTTTAAAAACCTGCTTGTAACAAAGGCTTAATGAAGCTCATATCCCAGGTTACTTGCATGTGAGTCTTCTGGGCAGCTGTCTTCATTTTGGTTCAAATGTAAACTCTCCACTTTTATTAATTTTGCCTCCGTTTCTTCTTTTAGATAAACTGTAATCAAATCAATCTCCAGCCTCTCTCCTCTCTCTGGAGGTTGAGAGGTGGGGCTAAAAGTTTCAGCCCTCTAATCACATGGTTGGTTTCTCTGATAACCAGCTCCCATCTTCCAAAAGCCACTTCATTAGTGGCATAAACTCAGGTATGGTTAAAAGGGGCTTATGATGAATAACAAAAGATGTCACTATCATTCAAGAAGTTACAAGTGTTTTACAAATGCCCATCAATGATAGCCTGGATAAAGAAAATGTGGTACATATACACCATGGACTACTATGCAACCATAAAAAGGAATGAGATCATGTCCTTTGCAGGGACACAGATGGCGCTGAAAGCCATTATCCTTGGCAAACTAACACAGGAACAGAAAACCAAACACTGCATGTTCTCACTTATAGGTGGGAGCTGAACAATGAGAACACATGGACACAGGGAGGGGTACAACACACACTGGGGTCTGTCCATGGGACAGGGGGAAGGGAGAGCACCAGGATAAGTAGCCAATGCATGCAGGGCTTAATACCTAGGTGATGAGTTGATAGGTGCAGCAAACCACCACGGCACACGTTTACCTATATAACAAACCTGCACGTCCTGCACATGTATCCTGGAACTTTAAATTAAATTAAAATACACATACACAAATGAAAAACATCAGGATAGCAATTAGCTGGGGTGGAGGGATAAGAAAGAAGAGGAAACTCTCAGAAAATTGCAACAATATTGGTAATATTCTATTTCTTAAGTGGAGTAATGGGTTCACGGGTTTCTTTTCATAATTCTGCTTTGTAACTTGAGCATATTTAAATTTATATATACACTATATATATTATGTATATGTAGCAAACATTTTATAAATACAAATGATATTATCTTTATAAAATGCCTTAATGAAAACCTAAAGAAAAAAGTTACAAGGGTTTTAGAAGCTCTATGCAGAGACCACATATATATTTCTTAAGTCACAGGTGGCTTTTAGTATACTCAGTGTTGTGCAACCATCCCTATTATCCAATTCCAGGACACTTTTACCATCTCAAAAAGAAACCTCAAACCCATCAGAAGTCACTCCCTATTCTCCCCACCTCAACATCACATAGGTGACTCTATCAATTCACCTACTCTGGACATTGCAAATATAAATGGAACTATACAATATGTGGCCTCATGTGTCTAACTTCTTTCCCTTAGCATGTTTTCAAGGTTCTTTCCTCAACAAAACTCCATTAGTTTGTCTAAAGCTTTTCTTTTAACAGATCTATAAATCTGTTGTAATATTGTCTTTTGACAGACAACTTGTGAAGGATTTGGAGTAGAATTTGTGATAAATACATGGAATCTTAATTAACTGTTAACAGAAAAATCAAACTCTGTAAATTACTTAAAGAGGTTTATTCAGGGCCAATGAGTGACCACAGCCCCAGGAAAATACAAACCCAAAAAGCCTTAAGTGTTCCCGAGGCAGTCAGATTATAGTTTGGTTTTATACATTTCAGGGAGCCAGGGGTTACAGGCAAAGACATAAATCAATGTGTGGAAGGTATACACTGGTTTGGCTCCAAAAGACAGGATGTCTTGATGTGGGGGGTTTACAAGTTATATGTGGACTCAAATACATAGATATATACACGATATATGATTGATTGATAGATAGATAGATAGATCTCTTGGTAGGGGTAGATAGGGTCTCCCTATGTTGCCCAGGCTAGTCTTGAACTCTTGGCCTCAAGTGATCCTCCCACCTCAGCCAGCTTGACCAAGAGATTTTTTAATTTGCAACTGGTTAAAAGAGTGAGGCTCTGTGTAAAATTTGGAGTCAGCAGAAAAGAATGTTTAAGATAGTATGCCAGAATCAGCCACAATACACTGGGTCAAAAAAGACCTCTTCAGCAAGATTGATGGTCTGCAAGCTTGACTTAACCCTTGCCTTGCACGGCCTTAGGTCTTGTTTATAATTTGGTATCTTACTACCACAAAGTCTGTTAGTCTTATGATCTCTACTTTAACAAGGGGTGTTCAACCTCCCTTTCCAGAATGGCTGGGAACTCAGTTTTTAAGGTTTCTCTGGGGTCTCCTTGGCTAAGAGGAGGTCCGTTCAGTGCTTGGGGGGCTTACAATTTTATTTTTAGTTTACAAACACAAACAAACGTAATTATTTATTTTTATGTTTTTTGTTTTGTTTTTTGCGACAGAGTCTTGCTCTGTCAACCAGGCTGAGTGCAGTGGCAAGATCGCTGCTCACTGCAACCTCCACCTCCCGGATTCAAGCGATTCTCATGCCTCAGCCTCCCTAGTAGCTGGGACTACAGGTGCGCCCTACCACGCCCGGCTAATTTTTTTGTATTTTTAGTAGAGACGGGGTTTCGCCATGTTGGCCAAGCTGGTCTCGAACTCCTGAACTCAAGTGATCCGCCCACCGAGGCCTGGGATTACAGGCGTGAGCCACCGTGCGTAGCCAAGTAATTATTAACTCCACAGAAAATAAAAGGCTGTGCAGGAAGTAAAAATTAATCAAGTCCATATATAGACCTCAGATACATTTCGTTTGGGCTATCCTGCACTTTACTTTGTAATTAAACACCACTATTTAAAAATCAGGAAAATTGCACATAAAAATCCAGCTGCAAGTGGGCGCTCTGGAGTTCCCCAGTCTCCACTCACTCGTCCTCCCAGCCCCCACAGGCCTCAACGTCGCCTATCCCACTCCACCAGCCCAGTCTTCCACCGCCCTAGGAACTCTCCTACGCCTACGCAAGCAGGGAGGGATAGGGTGACAGCACCGACAACAAAGGGTCGTCTCCCGCACTCCGTATGAGGATGGCGTACTGGTCGGGGGGCAACCGAAGCCTTTCTTCCTAGGTTCTTTATCTTTTCTAAGTTTCCCATGACCTATCGCTCCGCTTGAGCCCTCAGCAAAGATGTCACCCGCCGAAAGGTGTGGCCGGAAGCTGGAGGCGTGGCTTCCGGACGTGCGGGGCGAGGCTCGTCTCGTTTCCGCCGGCGCTCCGAGTGACGTAGGGAAGCGCGCCGCGCACCTCATGGTTCCGGGGACAGTTAGGGCGGCGGATGGAGGTCAGCGGTGGTGCTCGCTGCGTAGGTCTTGTGGCACGGGGAGAAGGGGCGGCTGATCGTGGGTTTCGAGTGCACAACACAGGCGTGGCTGGGAAGGTCCTGGGATGCGGTGGAACTGGGGAGCAGGCTGGGACGCGGTGGGATGCCGTGGGCCTGGCCGTCTGCTCGTTCCGTGCTGGCTTGCCAGTGCGCACGCTTCCTCTCTAGCCCGCGCGGCCAGGCCTGGAAGACGCCGCCCCTGTTGACCGTCCATGACCCCAGCGAGCCAGTTTTCGTGACTTAGTGCAAGTTGTTTTCTCTCTGCATTTTAGAACTAAAGTTTTGGATTGCTGTTTGCCTAAACTCAAGTCTGGCTCCTGGGCTTCCGTTTACTCGGCTAAACTGCTCTTAGGGCTCTTAAAAAATTGGAAAGGCGGCCGGGCGCGGTGGCTCACTCCGGTAATCCCAGCACTTTGGGAGGCCGAGACGGGTGGATCACTTGAGGTCATGGTGAAACCCTGTCTCTACTAAAAATACAAAAATTAGCCAGGTGTGGTGGCGCGGGCCTGTAGTCCCAGCTATTTGGGAGGCTGAGGCAGGAGAATCGCTTGAATCCGGGAGGCTGAGGTTGCAGTGACTCGAGATCGCAGCATTGCACTCCAGTCTGGGCGACAGAGCGAGACTCCGTCTCAAAAAAATAAGTCGGAAAGATTTCTACACTGTGCTTAGGCTCAGGAAGTGGTAGATGTTGCGTTTGGGCAAATACTCCGACTCTCTGATCTCTCTCTCTTTTTTTTTTTCTTTAAGTGGAGTTAGACTAAGCTTTTTACAGCTGCTTTAATCCCCTCATATAAAAAGAAAATGTGCTGGCCATATACCAAGTTCCAGGAAGTGGAGAAAGATCAAACGTACATTCTGCTTTGGCAGAAATGAGGCCTAGGTGAACGTTTTATCTTGCCCTTGTCGCATGTCTTCCCTGGATCATGTAATCACCGTAGGGAGCTAGACTAGCTGATAGAATTTTTTTTCTTTTTTTTTTTTTTTGTGACAGAGTCTCGCTCTGCCACCCAGGCTGGAGTGCAGTGGCGCGATCTCGGCTCACTTCAAGCTCTGCCTCACCCTCCCTAGTAGCTGGGACTACAGGTGCCCGCCACCACGCCCGGCTAATTTTTTTGTATTTTTAGTAGAGACGGTGTTTCACCGTGTTAGCCAGGATGGTCTCGATCTCCTGACCTCGTGATCTGCCCGCCTCAGCCTCCCAAAGTACTGGGATTACAGGCGTGAGCCACTGCGCCTGGCCGATAGAATTGTTAAAAGCAACATCAAGGCTATATGTAACACATTGCTGGAGATGGCAACATTGAGTTTGGCCTTGGAAGGATGAGATGTATTTTAAAGGGTCTTATAGGGGGAGGAGGAGACCCAGATAACAAGCCCTGTAAGGTGAAGTGGAAGTGCAAGGCCTGTTTAAAATGGGGCCTTGTGTTGCTGGGAGGCAGAAAAAGCTAAGACTGAGAAAATCATTCTGGGCCATGTTATGAAGTGCTTCTTATTATTGGTTCAGAATTTTTGCTGTTAGAAATTTGGTGGGGGGGTTTTAGTAGGCTAGTGATGTAATCTACCTTGGTTTCGAGAGGCTCACACCTATGTCTACAGTGTTAAAATATATCCACAGAGGCTTTGGGAATGTGAATTTTTTTTTTTTTTTTTTTTTGAGATGGAGTCTCTCACCCAGGCTGGAGTCCAGTGGTGCAATCTCAGCTCACTGCAATCTCCGCCTCTCAGGTTCAAGCAATTCTTGTGCCTTAGCCTCCCAAGTAGCTGGGATTACAGGCGTGCACCATGATGCCCAGCTAATTTTTATATTTTTAGTAAAGATGGGGTTTCACCATGTTGGCCAGGCTGGTCTCAAACTCCTGACCTCAAGTGATCCACCCGCCTAGGCCTCCCAAAGTGCTGGGATTACAGGCGTGAGCCACCACGCCTGGCCAAGCCCGTAATTTTTAATCCTGGTTACCCTTGAAATAAAAAAATAAAAAAAAATTAATGCTGTCTAGGTCGTGTCTGCAGAGATGCCATCATTTAGGAGGCCTTGGGCAGGACCTGGGAATCTGAATTATTGAACCACATCCTAGGTGATTTCAAATTACAAGCAGGATGGAAACCCTCCCACCCAGGCTGTAATGTTCCTGAGTTTTGATATTTGATGGCATTCTGTACTGAAACAAAAATCCTGTGAGACTTTTGCTTTAGAAAATACTATCACATACCTATGGATTGTCAAGAAAGACTTAGTCTGATTTTACAGATAGAGTGGCTTTGACTATTTCATTTCTCAAGTTTGTGAGTCAGGAACTGCCCCTGTAGTAGCCCCTTCTCTCTCCTTTTTCTCTTCAGGGTTTGGAATCACTTGCTAGGAGTCTTGTCTCTCTGCCACCCAGGACATCATGGCAGCTCACCTGGTAAAGCGATGCACGTGCCTCCTGAGAGAAGCTGCTCGTCAGGCCCCTGCCATGGCTCCAGTTGGCCGACTGAGACTTGCCTGGGTAGCCCATAAGACTCTGACTTCCTCAGCCACCTCACCCATTTCCCACCTCCCAGGTTCCTTGATGGAGCCGGTGGAGAAGGAACGAGCATCTACTCCCTACATAGAGAAGCAGGTGGACCACCTCATCAAGAAGGCCACAAGGCCAGAGGAGCTCCTGGAGCTACTTGGTGGCAGTCACGACTTGGACAGCAATCAAGCAGCAATGGTACTTATCCGGCTCTCTCACTTGCTGTCTGAGAAGCCAGAAGATAAAGGCTTGCTCATACAGGATGCCCACTTTCATCAACTTCTCTGTCTGCTCAACAGTCAGGTGGGTGCCGGAGTGTGGTCTGAGAGCATAGACAAGAGGAAAACAGCCAGAAATGCTGGGGTCCACAGCAGCCAGTGCTTACCAAGCATAGACAGGGGCCTTGCATCTCTTGTGATATTTTTTATTTTTTTATAAATTTCAAAGTGCTTTATCGTGCTTTCTCTTTGTTTATCCTTACAAGAGGCCTGTTAGGTAAATATTGCTATGCTCGTCTTACAGACAGCCAAGACGCATAGTGATAGAAGCATGGGAAGTGAGCCTGGTTCTTCTCAGTTCTTTGGGTGCTTTCCCCCTCACCATATAGTCTTGACTTGTATTGCTCTCTGCCAGTGTCTGGCTGATGGCAAGGCACTGTTTTTGAAGCCAAAGGAGATGCAGCATGACTGATGGAAGGTCCTTGAAACTTGAGACAGACGTGGGCATGATCTAGCCATGTTCAGACCCTCCAAGGATGACCATGGAGAGAAGCAACAAGACCCATTTGTGTGGCACTGAGCAGGGCAGAACTCAGACTACAGAAGCCAGTTCCTGCTCACTGTGAGGGACTCCCTTCTTAGAGAGTCTTCCCCTGGGCTCCATGTACAAAAAAAGGAGTACAGACTCCTGCTGTGGCTGAACTGGCCCTAAATCCCTGGTCTGCTTTGGAAGGGAAGTGCTGGGGCACTGAAACCATGTTTCCAGTTGTCAGGTGTAATGAAGAGAAAGGCACTATCCAAGGAAGGAGTTGCACTAACTGAGTGCTTTTCAAACTGCAGGTTATAAAATCAGTGTAGTGGGATGTGGCCAGCTGATTCTTAATGAGGTAGAGTAGTATAAAAAATACCAGAATTCATCACATATAGTAAGGGGATTCACTAATGTCTCATGGAACTTTTGTTCTAGTTAAGGATGTATATATATGCCTGTGTTGTGTGGACTGGGGTTACAGTACATAATTATTTCTTGCTGGGGATATAATTCATAAAATGAACTTAGTTAGGCCCCCTTGTTATTTGGCTACAATTCTAATTGCTGTTTATTGACTCTTTTTACTCACATGTGATTTAAGAAAGTCTTATGATGCAAGACTGAACATTGTAACAAAATTATAAGGCAAGTATCTGTAATGTAATAACAGCTTTCTTTTCAAAGATTTTCCTGCTGTCCATGAAACCGGAAGGTAGACACCCAGATCTTCTGTAAGATTAGAATTTACTCCAGTACTTTCTCCCTCCTCCCCAGCCCTTCAGACAGCAGCTTCTCTGTTCGCAGCTCACTTCCTTGAAGGTGTGGTTTCTGCTTCTCATTCATAAGCGCAGAGACTGAACCTGAGGGTTCAGTGTTGAGAGACTTGGCCCAGGAAAGGACAGAGCCATACTTGTTTTACCATCTGCTCTCTTCTGCAAGGCTGGATTCAGGGCCAAAGGGCTCTAGAGCCACCCATGTTGACACTGTGGGCCCTGTGGACACAGTACCTGAATAGCAGTTACCCTCTTCAGAAACAAAGCAGGCACCAGCAGAGAGGACGGGCTGTGGTGCAGGTTCCGGACCCAGAACTATGTAGAAATAAGTTCACCTTCGTTTACCTGTATAGTGGGACTGATGGTTCTCATAGGATGTTGGTGTCTCATGGGGGTACGCACACAGAAGGATGCCTGGCATTTAGTAAGAGCCTGTTCAGAGGTGCTGCTGGTAGCAGCAGCAGCTTGGTCATCCCTAGGAGGCCTCTGCATTTGGGAGTGGGCAGGGCTTAGTGATACCGGGGGTCTTTTTACCCATATGTCAAAAGCGTTCCTGCAAACCTTTGTGCCTGGGGTGCTCCTCCCTTTGCAGGCAGTTGAGGGTCTGGCATGCTTGGGTGCCGCGTCCCTGGAGGGTAAAGGTGGTGGTTCACTGCCTAACGCACTGCAGGGACTCCTGCTTATTGCAGCAGTTGCATTCCTAAGAAACTTTCACGTTGCCAGAAACTGCGAGATTGGTTTGTTAGAGAACAGTTTAGGGGTTGGAGCTTCTCTGACTCAAAAACAAATTATTTTCCTGGAGAAAAGCCAGTGTGTTTTGTTTTGTTGTTTGAGACAGAGTCTCACTCTGTCACCCAGGCTGGAGTGCAGTGGCACAATCTCAGCTCACTGCAGCCTCCACCTTCCAGGTTCAAGTGATCTTCCCACCTCAGCCTCCCAAGTAGGTGGGACTACAGGCATGTGCCACCACACCTGGCTAATTTTTGTAATTTTAATAGGCACAGGGTTTCACCACGTTCACCAGGCTAGTCTCGAACTCCTGACCTCAGGTGATCTGCCTGGCCCAAGTTTTTAATACCTAAAACTTTTAATGTCGTTGCAAGTAAAAGTCACGAATGATAACAAAACTGATCTTAGCAAGCGTAAGTGCCACCTTCTCTGCCATCAGGTGACATCCATCAGGCTCAACTTTTTCTCTGACCTCTTGTATTGATTTGACAGCTTTACTTGCAGCTGAAGTCTACGTGCCCACTACCCAGAGCTGTAGCCAGGACCATGTAAAAGAGTGTGGTCTCTCTTTAATCAACTACATTAGGTCAAAACTTCATTGGGGAAACTTGGAGAATTTCCCTTGCCACTCTAGAGTTCTTGCTTGCAAGCAATTGCAAATGACCTCAGCCACCTTGAGCAGAAATGTGCTATTTATTGTAGCCTAGAGGATCAGGCTCAGAGGTGTACCCTTGGATCTGGCCTGTGCCTGAGGGGTGCTCTGGCTCTGCAGGTGCTTGGCAGCCATGTCAAATTCAGTGCCTGCCCTGTCTATGGTAGGCACTGGCCCAGAAGACTGCCACAGAAACAGTGACTCACAGGCCCTGTTACTGTGTCCCAGGCTCAGGGATAAATTTGGTTACAGACACCAAGCGTCTAGGCCTCGAGGCTGAGCAAGGCTGTGAGGAGCAGCCAGGCACTGGGGCCCTGTTACAATGGAGTGGGGAACTGATACTGTCTTCTCTGAAGAGTTGTAGTAAATGCTCATGAAACAAGGTTCAGAGAGGTAGCCTCCAGCTCACACACAGGACTGACAGTGCCACATCATTTCTCCTGTGTCCTTTCTCTGCCTAGATTGCCTCGGTCTGGCATGGTACCCTCTCGAAGCTGCTGGGAAGCCTGTATGCTCTGGGCATCCCCAAGGCCTCCAAGGAGCTGCAGTCGGTGGAGCAGGAGGTCCGCTGGCGCATGCGGAAGCTCAAGTACAAGCACCTGGCCTTCCTGGCAGAGTCCTGTGCCACCCTCTCACAGGAGCAGCACTCGCAGGAGCTGCTGGCTGAGCTGCTCACACACCTGGAAAGGCGTTGGACAGAAATTGAAGATTCCCACACATTAGTGACCGTCATGATGAAGGTGGGACACCTCTCGGAGCCACTAATGAACCGCCTGGAAGACAAGGTACTGGGCCTGAAAGCAGGTGGCACCCAGCCTGCCTCCCCTGGGCTTTGGGCTTGTTCTTTGGGTGACAGTTGTCTGCAGAGGGGTGCGTTGTGTGCACTGGGATCAGAGCCCTGGGAGCTTCTGTCTGGAGCCTCAGGCATCACATGGGGCAGGACCAGAGGGCTCGGAGCTGCAACAGGTGGTTGCCCTGTGGCTGCATTCATCAAGCACCACTTGCTCCTCCCAACACAGGCGCTTCCCTGATTGCACCTTTATCTTTCCCCCAAACCCCATCACAGCACGATCTTGAGAGGGGGGCATGGCAGGCAGCTCCTGAAGTAACACAGCTACTGCCCAGGCCTGGCTTCTGGCTAGAACTCTCCTGGAGATGTGCTAACCCCTATCGGCTGTAGCCCTGCAGTCAAGTCAAATTCAGTGCCCGTTTCTGTCATAGCGGGGGCTGGCCCAGATGGCTGCCACAGCAAGCTCCACAGCTCATGGGCCCTGGGTCACCTACCCTGGGACCTGGGGATAAGTTTGGCTGTGGACAGTGCTCCAGGTCCAGGGGTTCCCTGGGGTGGATGAGGAGGCAGGCCCTGCACAGTGGTCCTGTGTTTAGTCAGCTCAGGCCCAGTCTGACAGGGGCTGTCACAGGGGCTGCACTGGATGGGACCATGGGACCCCTGCCCCCAGCTCATCTCTGCCACCCCAGGCCATTGAGCTGACCTCTGCGCGGCTGTGGTTGACAGTGCCTGGAGTTGGTGGAGCACTTTGGCCCCAATGAGCTGCGGAAGGTGCTGGTGATGCTGGCAGCTCAGAGCCGGCGGTCCGTGCCCTTGCTGCGGGCCATCTCCTACCACCTGGTGCAGAAGCCCTTCTCTCTGACGAAAGATGTGCTCTTGGACGTGGCCTATGCCTATGGTGAGCCCTTTGGACAGAACGGTGGAGAGAGGGGAGCGCTGGCCCTGCAGATGCCTGCAGCCGTGTCAAATTCAGTACCTGTCCTATGCATGGTAGGCACTGGCCCAGAAGGCTGCCACAGAAACACTGTGACTCATGGGCCCTGTTCCTGTGTCCCAGGCTCAGGGATAAATTTGGTTACAGACATCAAATATCTAGACCTCGAGGCTGAGGTGGGGTGGAGCTGCTGGGTGATTGCTGACTCTCTCCAGCTAAACCCTGTGATCTGCTCTGTCCTGAAGGCAAACTCAGCTTTCACCAGACCCAGGTGTCCCAGCGCCTGGCCACCGACCTGCTATCCCTCATGCCCAGCCTGACTTCTGGTGAGGTGGCCCACTGTGCCAAGTCCTTCGCCTTACTCAAGTGGCTCAGCCTGCCCCTGTTTGAGGCCTTTGCCCAGGTGAGCCAGGGCCTGGCCCCAACTCAGAGAAGCTGGCTTCCTGGCCATCTGCTGGGAACCATTGCCTTAGTCGGGAAAGTAAAGCCAGTCTGAAAATGCTCACTTGTGGGGGCAAATACATATTTCTTGCATTTTGGCTTATTTTGAAAGGGCTGCTATTCAGTTCTCAAAAAAGTGTTTGAGAACTGTTTCCTCTGTTCTTTCACTGACCATTATAAGTGCTTCCATCCATTTTGGGGTAGCTGTAGCAGGTAGCAGCATGGCTGATGAGACTGAGAATCCACTGAGAACTGTCTACTGAATCACTGATCCCCCTCGCAAAGTGGAACTGTACAGAAAGATGACACCTGCAGTTACGTTTATGTGTGACCAGTCTAAACTAAGTTTACTGGTTGGAGAATATTTCTAAATCCCTTATCAGAAAGAAGCAGCTTCTAGGTGTCCCCAGCCTCTGTGGGTAGTTGCTGCCAGGCGAAGGAGTGTCTGGGCCTGTGTAAGTCCTTCTCTGTTCCCGACACAGCTCATGGGCCCTGGATGGAGGGTCCTGCCATTGCCCCTGGCCATGCAGGCTCTCCTCAGACTCAGAGCCAGGCAGGAGGACAGCGTGCTGGGCAGAGAGCTTATTCTGTCCCTCTGCTATTTCTGACCCACCCAGCACGTCCTGAACAGAGCGCAGGACATCACCCTGCCCCACCTGTGCAGCGTACTTCTGGCTTTTGCGCGTCTGAACTTCCATCCAGACCAAGAGGATCAGTTCTTCAGCCTGGTAGGGCCTCTGGGCTCCCACTGCTCGACCTTTATCCTCCCCTTCAGCTAATGGCTCATGAACCGTCCTCCCAAGATCAGCTCGGGCTAGGTGGAGGCGGGAGGGGCCACTATGTGTGGCATGGGAGGGCAGGGGGAACTGATTGGAGCCAGGCATCCTAGGGATTACTGAGAACACATGAAATCCTGCTGTCTGGTTGACTGCCCTGCCAGGCAGCGCTGGGGGGTCCTGCCTCTGGTGCTCCTTTTAATGCCCTGTTGATGCTCAGAAGCTCCAGTGGGCCTTCGTGCTATGTGCACCAGCTCAGGGCAGGAGGGGGAGCCTTCTTTATGAAGACCTTAGGACAGCCACAGAGGCCAGCAGGCCAGGTGTGATCCCAGGCTCCCTGGGATTCCATCAGGGGTTTGTCTGGCACAGTCCTGAGAACAATTAGCCAGGGGCTGGGGAGTGCTGCTTCACCTCTTGGATGCTCTCATCTCTCAGAGGACCAGAGATTCCTCCTTCCTTGTCCCAGGTGCTCACTTGGAGACATTATGGGAGAAGGGATCTTGTTCCCTGCCAGTAGGTTGGTTGTAGTAAACCTAATCAAATGCCAGCATTCAGCAGCACTCTTCTGCTGTTCAGAGTGGTCTTGGGGCATGAGGAAGATTCCTGGTACCTTCAAGCCCAGGATTGCTCCAGGCCTCACCAAGGGCCAGGGTTCTGCCTCTTGTTACCTAGTAGCCTCCTCTGGCCTCATCCCAACCAGGCCAAGACCACATCATGGATTGTGTCTCACCCATGGCTATTTGCAGCCCCTAAGGAGAGCCTGCTTTCTCCACCACACTCTATCCTTGCCCAGGTACATGAGAAGCTGGGGTCAGAGCTGCCAGGCCTGGAGCCAGCCCTGCAGGTGGACCTGGTGTGGGCCCTGTGTGTGCTGCAGCAGGCACGGGAAGCAGAGCTGCAAGCCGTCCTCCACCCTGAATTTCACATCCAATTTCTAGGTGAGCCCCCTGCCCCTAGTACTACTGGAACTGGGAAACTGCCTGGTCTTGTCTGCCTAGTGCCAGGTGAGAATTTGGGGCAGATGGAGGCCAGGGCTCTCCCTCCCCCTCGCTCTCCATCCTCTCCCTGTAGGTGGCCAGCAGACCGTAACTCTGCTGCCTCCTGACCCAGAAAACTGGGCTGGGACTGGGTGTAGGGGTGCACTGCCCTCTCATCAGGGTCTCCCCATCTCTGGCCGTAGGCCCACCTCCCTCTTCTTTCTCCTTGTCTCCTAGGGGGCAAGTCTCAGAAGGATCAGAACACCTTCCAGAAGCTGCTCCACATCAACGCCACTGCCCTGCTGGAGTACCCCGAGTACTCGGGTCCCCTTCTGCCTGCCTCGGCTGTGGCCCCTGGGCCCTCAGCCCTTGACAGGAAGGTGACCCCCCTGCAAAAGGAGCTGCAGGAGACGCTGAAGGGGCTGCTGGGGAGCGCCGACAAGGGCAGCCTCGAGGTGGCCACGCAGTATGGCTGGGTGCTGGGTGAGGGCTCCCCCTGGTTGGCACAGGGCCTGGCATTGCCTGAGTCTAACGGGACTCTTCTAACCCACCCCGTCTGCAGCAAGTACTGACCTAGGGAGCTGCAGGGTGTCAGCCTGGGCTCCCCACAGTCCCATCTTTGTTCATCTTTCCTGTGGGGGGGTTTCTGAGGGATGTCCCCCAACATGTTCTCATCCCACACCCCTTCCCCAGATGCTGAGGTGCTGCTGGACAGTGACGGCGAGTTTCTGCCCGTAAGGGACTTTGTGGCACCTCACCTTGCCCAGCCAACTGGGAGCCAGTCACCACCTCCAGGGTCTAAGAGGTAGGTGGCCAGGGACCTGTTGGCCATGGGGGCACCATGGCTGTTGGACTGCATATTCTTTGCTTTCCATCTTTCCCCTCCGAGGGGCTGGGAGAGTGGAAGCATGTCAGCCACCTCTTCTTCCTTCCAGGCTAGCGTTCTTGCGGTGGGAGTTCCCCAACTTCAACAGCCGAAGCAAGGACTTGCTGGGTCGCTTTGTTCTGGCCCGGCGACACATAGTGGCTGCAGGCTTCCTGATAGTGGACGTGAGTACCTCTTGGGCAGGTGGTCACTGCACAGGGAGAATCCCCAACCCACGCTAGAGAGGGGATCAGGTGGAACTGAGCCAGCAGGTATAGACACATGCCCTGCCCGTGGCCCCGGGCCTCTCCCAGGAGCCCAGGGAGGGAGTTTACTGTGGATCCTAGCTGCTCCAGCCTCCCCTCTAACCTTCCCAGCATCTCACCCCGTGGGTGAACCCAAAAAGGCAACCAAGCCTGCTTATTCAGCTTAAGAGGTGGGCAGGGTAGGGCCCATTCACAGATGAGCAGCTTGAAGCCCAAGAGGCTGCACAGCTGTTGGGGCTCTGAGTGCAGCTGCTCTGCCCCCTTGGTCAGCGCCTGTTGTCAGGAAAAGTAGGACCAGTGGAACTGGCAGGAGCAGAAAGATGCAGGTCTTGGGCCTGACTCTGGTTTCACACCTGGGAGACCTTGGTTAAGATCAAAGGTGGTCACCTTCCCTGGGAAGGGCCAGTGAATGAACATGTGGCTTCATGAGCCACACAAGGGTTCTGTTTGCTTCTTTGGGTTGTTGTGAGTTTTTTAACTGTTTAAAATTCAGAAGCCCTTCTTGGGCCTCCGAGTAGTTTGCAGACCCCTCCAGCACTGACAGTGCTAGCACCTCTCCCCGCCCGCACTGCCTGCAGTTCATGGGCTCTGCCTTGAAGACTTGGAGGCCAAGGGGCAGGTGTGCAGAGCTGTTGGTCAGCAGAGGTGTTGGGTGAGGGGTCAATGTGAGGACAGCAGGCAAGCAGGCAGAGCCACTGGCTGGAAGGGATCTCCTTGCCCATGTGACCTGTCTCCCCTGCCTCCTTCTAGGTCCCATTCTATGAGTGGCTGGAACTCAAGTCTGAATGGCAGAAAGGCGCCTACCTCAAGGACAAGATGCGCAAAGCGGTGGCTGAGGAGCTGGCCAAGTGACTTGTGCCAGCAGCATGGACTGCGTGCCTCTCCGCCGGAGGTCTAGCTGTGGGCGGCCAAGAAGGGTCACCCTTGAGGACAAACCTCTGTGCAGGACCTTGGCCAGAGTGGGGAGGGTGGCCAGCCACTCTGAGGGACAGAACGTCCTCTTGTGTATAATAAACCTTTAATTTTGGTGTTGGACCCCTGGGGCCTTCCCAGGCTTGGTCACCCTCTGCACTGTCAGCACTTGTCTGTCTGCTTTGTTGAGCAGGGCGTGGTTCTCCAGTCTGCCCTGTGCACTCCCCCGCCACGCCCAGCCCAAGAGGGCTGCTTTAGGGACAGACCTGGGTTGTTACCTGCCTGTCTCTCCCAGCTTCTTCCCTCCATGAGTGCTTATTCACATATGCCGGCCTCTTGCGTAGGGGTCTGTATCAGCCCCAGCAGGCAGGTGGAGTCCTAGAATTCTGAACCTCCAGAGCAGAGGAGCTTCCCAGGGAAGCTGATTGGAGATTCAGTGCATGGCTGGGGGTTCTGATGGAGCTGTGGCTACTGAACCACAGCCATCCTGGGAGGCTTTCTCCCATCAGTTGTCTCACACTTAGCTGAGTGAAAGGCACCCTGACAGCATGTGGTGACAGGTGATGTGAGGGCTGGGTGAGCACTTGGGAGGCGCTGGCTCTGGGAGAGGAGAAGATCCCACTTGGCTGACACCACGGCACCAAGAGCCAAACTCCATCGTTGTCTTCACCACCCTGACCAGAGCCTTGTGCTGTCATCTAGGAACTGGCTGCCCAAACAGGACCCTGGCAGCCTCCCTGCTGCTGCGGGGATTACCAGGTGCTGGGAGGCAACAAGCTTTCTACCTTCCAGCCTCTCCTTAGAGACACCTATTGGCAGAACCTGACTAAATAGCAGTCAGGGAACTGGGTTGCCTCCAGCCATACAGAACAGAGAGTAGGACAGTGGGGTGGAGCTGAGATGGAGAGGCCCACAGCCCTCAGCACTGTAGGCTCCCAACCCTAGGCTGTTTCCCCAAAAAGAAAAAGTCTAGTCACTGCTCTGATGCTTGGCCACTCACCCAAGCATTGGGGTAGTTTGTGCTGGCTTCACTGGGCACCATCAGGCACACCCAGCCTGTAGTTTTTGTTTTATATTACCTAAGTCGGCCAGGTGTGGTGGGATCACGCCTGTAATCCCAGCACTTAGGGAGGCTGGGGCGGGCGAATCGCCTGAGGCCAGGAATTCAAGACCAACCTGGCCAACATTGTGAAACCCTGTCTCTACTAAAAATATAAAAATTAGTCGGGCATGATGACAGGCACCTGTAATCCCAGCTACTCAGGAGGCTGAGGCAGGTGAATCACTTGAACCCGGGAGGTGGAGGCTGCAGTGAGTTAAGATTGTGCCACTGCACTCCAGCCTGGGTAACAGAGCAAGACTCTGTCTCAAAAAATATATATGTGTGTGTGTGTGTGTGTATATATATGTACATGTGTATATAAGTATATATGTGTGTATATATGTATATATACACGTATATACACACACACCCCTAAGTCATGATTTTGGAGCAATTGTAAGTGGTGTAGTGCTTAATTTTGGCATTCACACATTGATTGTTAGCATATAGAAATGGGATTGATTTTTATGTGATCTTGCTAAACTTTATGCATTTTTAAAATTCCTTTGGATTTCCTATGTAGATATTTATGTCCTGAAAACAGGAATGTATTTATCCTTTCAAATCAATATGCTTTTTATTTTGTTATTTATGACCACTTCATTAAAATATAATTCACATGCCATACACTTCACCCATTTAAAATGTATAATTAGGCCAGGTGTGGTGGCTCACGTCTGTAATCCCAGCAGTTTGGGAGGCCAAGGCCCTCAGATCTTGAGCCCAGGAGTTCAAGACCACCCTGGGCAACAGGCAAAACCCTGTCTCTATTTTTTAAAATACAAGAATTAGCCGCAGTGGCACGCACCTGTCGTCCCAGCAACCCAGGAGGCTGAGGTAGGAGGATCACTTAAGCCTGGGAAGTCAAGCCTGCAGTGAACCATGATAGCACCACTGCAGTCCAGCCTGGGCGACAGAGTGAGACCCCATCTCGAAAACAAAAATGTATAATTCAGTGGTTTTTAGTCTCTTTGCAGATACATGCAACCATCACCACAATTTGCACATTTTCTAAGCCTCATATACTGATGTGATATTTTGGTGTTTTGTGACTGGCTTCATTTACTTAGCATATTGTTTTCATGTTTCATTCATGTCGCATGTATGAGTATTCATTCCTTTATTTGGCTGAATAATATTCCATTATAGTTTGTGCCACATTTTGTTTATCCATTCATCCATTGATGGACATGTGGATTGTTTCCACCTTCTGGATAATATGAACTGATACAGTTTGGATATTTTGTCCCCTCCAAATCTCATGAAATAGGATCACCAGTGTTGGAGAATGGGGCCTGTTAGGAAGTGTTTGGATCATAGGAACATCTGTCATAAATGGCTTGGTGCCATCCTTGTAATGAGTGAGTTCTTGCTCTATATTAGTTCACTTGAAAGCTGGTTGTTGGGAACTCCTGCCCTATCTGTTCTGCCCTCTCTCGTCATGTGACATGCCTGCTCCTTGTTCACCTTCTGTCATGAGTAAAAGCTTCCTAAGGCCTTCCCAGGAGCCAAGCAGATGTCAGTACCATGCTTGTACAGCCTGCAGAACTGTGAGCCAAATAAACTTCTTTATAAATTACCATCTCAGATATTCTTCTATAGCAATGCAAAATGGACTAATACATGAATAATGCTGCTATAAATATTCCTGTACAAGTTTGAGTATAAATGTATGTTTTCATTTTTCTCTTGGTTATATACCTAGGAGTGGAATTGCTGGGTCTATGGTAACTATGTTTAGTCGTTTAAGGAACTGCTAGACTGTTTTACATTCCCACCAGCAGTGTGTAAGGTTTCAGATCTCTCTACATCCTCAATGACACTTGTAATTTGAGTTTTATTTTAGCCATGTGAGTGCGTATAAAGTGATTTCTCATTGTGGTTTTTGTTATTTCCCTAATAACTAATGGTTTTCAGCATTTTTCATTTACTTATTTGGCCATTTGCATGTCTTTTGGAAGAATATCTTTTTTAAGATTCAGGGAGTGGCCGGGCACGGGGGCTCACACCTGTAATCCCAGCACTTTGGGAGGCCAAGGTGGGCGGGTCATGAGGTCAGGAGATTGAGACCATCCTGGCCAACACAGTGAAACACCATCTCTACTAAAAATACAAAAAAATTGGCCGGGCGTGGTGGCAGGTGCCCGTAGTCCCAACTGCTTGGGAGGCTGAGGCAGGAGAATGGCATGAACCTGGGAGGTGGAGCTTGCAGTGAGCTGAGATCGTGCCACTGCACTCCAGCCTGGGCAACAGAAGCAGACTGTCTCAAAAAAAAAAAAAAAAAAAAAATAGATTTAGGGAGTACACTAGGTGCAGGTTTGTTACATGGGTATACTATATCATGCTGAGGTTTGGGCTTCTAATGAACCCATTACCCACGTAATGAACATAGTACCCAGTGGTAGTTTTTCAACCCTTGTCTCCCACCCTCCCCACATTTGGAGTCTCCAGTGTCTATTATTTCCATCTTTATGTCCATGTGTACCCCTCCATTGTTTAGCTCTCATTTATAAGTGAGAACATGCGATATTTGATTTTCAGTTTCTCAGTTATTTCACAAGATAATGGCCTCTAGCTCCATTCATCTTGCTGCAAAGGTGTGTGTGTATGTGTGTGCACTGGGTAATTTATAAGAAAAGAGGTTTAATTGGCATGGGGTTCTGCAAGCTGTACACGAAGCATAGTGGGATCTGTTTCTGGGGAGGCCTCAGGAGGCTCCCCATCGTGGTAGGAAGGCAAAGGGGGAACAGGCATGTCACATGGTGAAGCAGGAGCAAGAGAGAGAGTGTGTAGAGTGGGGAGATGCCACACACTTTTAAATGACCAAATCTTGGTCGGGCGCGGTGGCTTATGCCTGTAATCCCAGCACTTTGGGAGGCCGAGGCGGGCGGATCACGAGGTCAGGAGATCAAGACCATCCTGGCCAACATGGTGAAACCCCATCTCTACTAAAATACAAAAAAAAAAAAAAATTAGCTGGGCCTAGTGGTGCATGCCTGTAGTCTCAGCTACTCAGGAGCCTGAGGCATGGGAATTGCTCGAATCTGGGAGGCAGAGGTTGCAGTGAGCCAAGGTCACACCACTGCACTCCAGCCTGGCAACAGAGCAAGACTCAGTCTCAAAAAAGACCAAATCTCAGGAGAACTCACTGTCTCAAAGACAGCACCAAACCATGAGGGGTCCGTCCCCATGATCCAAACACCTCCCACCAGGCCCCACCTCCAGCATTGGGGATTACAATTCAACTGAGATTTGGGTGGAGACAGATACCAGACTATATCATGCTGCTACAACAGAATACTGCAAACTGAGTAATTTATAAAGAACAGAACTTGGCCAGGCATGGTGGCTCATGCCTGTAATCCCAGCACTTTGGGAGACCAAGTTGGGCAGATCATGAGGTCAGGAGTTCAAGACCAGCCTGACCAACATGGTGAAACCCTGTCTCTATTAAAAGTACAAAAATTAGCCAGGCATGGTGGCAAGTGCCTGTAATCCCAGCTACTCAGGAGGATGAGGCAGGAGAATCACTTGAACCCAGGAGGTGGAGGTTGCAGTGAGCCAAGATCACGCCACTGCACTCCAGCCTGGGTGACAGAGTGAGACTGTGTCTCAAAAAAAAAAAGAAAAGAATTTTATGTGGTTCATGGTTCTGGAGGCTGGGAAGTCTAAGAGCATGGCACCAGCATCTAGTGAGTGTCATCCTATAGCAGAAGGCATCACACAGTGAGATAGCATGCACAAGACAGAGAAAATGAGGCCAAATTTATTCTTTTATCAGGGGCCCACCCTTCAGAATCTAAACCATCCCATGTTAACAGCATTAATGATAGCCAAGACCTCATGGTCTAAATGCCTCTTAAAGGTGTCTTACCTCTTAATACTGTTGCAATGCAGTTAAATTTCAACATGAGTTTAAGAGGGCATATTCAAACGGTAGCATGGTGTGAAGTAAGTGTCAGCTTTATTTTGCATGTGGCTATCCTTTTGTCCCAGCACCATTTGTTGAAAAGACTGTTCTTTCCCCCTACCCCTTTCAATGATCTTGATAGCCTTGTCAAAAATCAGTCTGCTTCTGGGCTCTCAGTTCTATTCCATTTATGTTTATGTCTATCCTTCTGCCAGTAGCACACTATCTCTTGATTGCTGTTGCTTTGTACTAAGTACTGAAATTGGGAGGTGGTTTTTGTTTTCAAGATTGTTTGGCTACTCTAGGTCCCTTGCAATTCCATGTGATTTTTAGAATTAACTCATCCATTTCTACAATGAAGTTAGTTGGGACTCTGATAGGGATTGGGTTGGATCTTTAGATCTTGGGGATTTTTACCATGTGAATGTTAAGTCTTCTGATCCATGAACATGGGATACTTTCATATTTATTTAGATATTCCTTAATTCTTTCAACATTGTTTTGGAGTTTCCAGAGTATTAGTTTTGAACTACTTTTGTTAAATTTATTCCTGAGTATGTTATTTTTTTAATGCCAGTTTGAATGGAATTGTTTGCTTATTTTTTTATTTTTAGAAACAGGGCCTTGCTGTGTTGGCCAGGGTGGCCTCAAACTCCTGGGCTCAAGCAATCCTTCTGCCTCAGCCACCCAAGTAGCTGGGATACAGGTGTGCACCATCATGCCTGGCTCCTGGAATTTTCATAATCTCAATGTTGGATTTTCATTGCAAGTTTACAGAAAAACAATTGATTTTTATATATGGATTTTGAATCCTGCAACCTTGCTGAACTATTATAATGTGTCTGATTATAATGTGTCTGTGGGTCTATTTTCTTTTTCTTTTTTTGAGATGGAGTCTTGCTGTGTCACCCAGGCTGGAGTGCAGTTGCCTGATCTTGGCTCACTGCAACCTCTGCCACCTGGGTTCAAGCAATTCTCCCTGCCTCAGCCTCCTGAGTAGATGGGATTACAGGCACCCACCACCACGCTTGGCTAATTTTTGTATTTTTTAGTAGAGATGGGGTTTTGCCGTGTTGGCCAGGCTGGTCTTGAACTCCTGACCTCAGGTGATCCACCCACCTCAGCTTCCCAAAATGCTGGGATTACAGGCATGTGGGTCTATTTTCATATATTCTTTTTTAGTTCATTGAACTTTGTGGCTGTGTAGATTATTGTTCTTCAGTAAATTTGAGAAGTTTTCAGTCATTACTATTTCATATATTTTTCTTTCTCCTTTTTCTTTTCTCTCCTTTTGGTATTCCCATTATGTGTATGTGGGTGTGCTTAATAGTGTTCACATTCTCTGGAGTTTCTGTTCATTTTTCCTTTTTTTTCTGTTATTCAGTTTGTATAATCTCCATCAATCTCTAATCTCTATCAAGTTCACTAATTCTTTCTTCGCCCACTGAAATCTACTGTTCAGCCCTCTTGTGAATTTTTTCTTTCAGATATTTTACTTTTCAACTCCATAATTTGCATTTTTAAAAAATTTATATCCAGCCTGGGCAACATGGTGAGACCTCGTCTCTACAAAAAAATTTTAAAATTAGCTGGGTGTGGTGGCACATACCTCAACTATTCAGGAGGCTGAAGTGGGAAGATCACCTGAGCCCCAGAGGTGGAGGCTGCAATGAGCCATGATCACACCACCGCACTCCGGCTGGGGCAACAGAGTGACAGCCTGTCTCAAAAAAAATTTTTTTTTAATTAAAAAAATAATTTCTATCTCTTTGCTGATATTCTCTATTTGATGGAATATCATCATATACCTTCCATTACTTCTTTAATCATACTTTCCCTTATTCTACGAACATATTCGTAGTGGTTATTTTGAAATATTTTTCTGTTAAAATCTTGTTGCTTACACAGGCAGGTTCTGTTCCTGCCTTTTTTATTTTTCTGGTATACAAGTCATACTTTCATTTCTTTGCCAATTTTTTGTTGGAAAGTGGACATTTTAATAACATTAAATAAATAATTGAACAGTAACCCAATAGCAACTCTGGGTACAGGTCCAAACCCCCTCCCTTCTGGAGCTTGTATTGCTGTTTGCTTGTTTATTTGCTTAGTGACTAGCTGGATTATTTTTGGTGAGGTCTTTCGCGCTCCCCTACAATGTTCCGCCTCTGATGGTCCTCTTCAGGGAGGTGCAGCTATGTGTATGCCCACAGTCACCCTGGAATGAGAGTGGTTCTGGTAAGGCTCTCCTACTCTCTTTTCCTAACCATGCCCAGCTGTTAAACTCCACTAATTGCCACTCCTAAACTCCACTGATTGCTCTATTGTTTTCGACAATACTCTGGGCAGAAATTCCTCTGCAAACTCATCCAAATTGTGGCCTCTTAGCTAGAATAGTTTCAGAGGCCAGTGTTTAACATTTTCTTTAATCCCAGTAGGGCTCCACCCAGGTGTCTTATTACCCCATTTTCTCCTGCAAACTAGCCAACCTCCAGCCTAGGCTGTATCTTCATTAGATCCATGAATCTCCTTCCAGTTGCCTTTCACCATAACCTCTACTGCTGTTGAGAATACCCTTGGGTTTAAACTTCCTATGTTGCCTTGCAAGTAAGGTCATTTCCTCTGGGAAGAGATCATGGGCTATCTGTTTTACAACCTGCCTCTCCCCTCCAGGCAAAATCTCTTAGCTCAGTGGCAAACTTCTGAGTCACACTCCCACTCTAGGAGCTGAGCAGTCAGTGGAAGGGAGGCAGCAGCCTCTCCTGGCATGGAACTCTCACCTCATAAGCGGTGAGAAGGGCTGTCAGGACCCCAGTATTCTCAGCATGCCACACCCGAAGTAGAGTCCACTTTCCACAAGTGGGGGCTAAGTGGAAGAAGGGAGCCCCACCTCAACCAGACTCACCCAGGACTTACTTCCACAACAGGCAGCTGGGAGCAGGATGAGATATGCTGAAGTACTCCGTCCTCCCAGTAAGAAAGCCCTCTGACCGGGAGATGGAAGAAAAGAAGCCTGTGTTCTTGGCAACACCAGTCTGGTGTGGAGTCCACCTCCCTTTGCTGGAGTGAGTTGTCTCGATTCAAATACCACAGACTCTCGCCTTTCTTACTAAATTCTCATAGATTTTCTTGAATAGATGTTTCTTTCTTTTTTTTTTTTGAAACAGAGTCTCACTCCATCACCCAGGCTGGAGTGCAGTGGCAGGATCTCGGCTCACTGCAACGAACCTCCGCCTCCAGGGTTCAAGCAATTCTCCTGCCTCAGCCTCCCTAGTAGGTAGGATTACAGGTGTGCATCACCATACCCAACTAATTTTTGTATTTTTTTTAAGTAGAGATGGATTTTCACCATGTTAGCCAGGCTGGTCTCGAACTCCTGATCTCAAGTGATCCGCCCACCTTGGCCTCCCAAAATGCTGGGATTACAGGCGTGAGCCACCACATCCAGCCTTGAACAGATGTTTCTTCATTTGCTGTTTGCCCTTCAGACCATTTCCAGAAGCTTTAATTTGTTCTCTCTTTCACTTTTATTTTGTTGGGCCCTTTCTTTTTTTTTTTTTTTCCCAAGACGGAGTCTCACTCTGTCACCAGGCTGGAGTGCAGTGGCACGATCTCAGCTCACTGCAACCTATGCCTCTCAGGTTCAAGCAATTATCCTGCCTCAGCCTCCCGAGTAGCTGGGACTACAGGCATGCACCATCACGCCCGGCTAATTTTTGTATTTTTAGTAGAGACAGGGTTTCACCATGTTGGCCAGGAAGGTCTTGATTTCTTGACCTCATGATCTGCCCACCTCAGCCTCCTGAAGTGCTGGGATTACAGGCATGAGCCACCACGCCTGGCTTGCTGACCTTTCAACTCAGTTTGTTTTTTTTTTTTTTTAATAATTTTTACCAGGCTGGGTGTGGTGGCTCACACCTGTAATTCCAACACTTTGGGAGGCCAAGGTGGGTGGATCACGAGGTCAGGAGTTCAAGACCAGCCTGGCCAACAGGGTGAAACCCCGTCTCTACTAAAAATACAAAAATTAGCCAGGCATGGTGGGACCTGTAGTCCCAGCTGCTCGGGAGGCTGAGACAGTAGGATCGCTTGAACCCGGAAGACAGAGGTTGCAGTGAGCCGAGATCATGCCACTGCACTACAGACTGGTCAAAAGAGCAAGACTCCATCTCAAATTAAAAAATTAAAATTAATAATAATAATTTTTACCAGTTTCACTGGGGAGCTGCTCAGCAGAACTCCCCATGCTTTCATTCTGGAAGTCAATCTGCCTTTTATTTCTTCTTGCTTTATTGCAAGGTTTAGAAATTCCAATAATATGTTGAAAAGAGTGGTGAGTGCGGACACCCTTGCCTTGTTCCCAATCTTAAAAAGCATTCAGTCTTTCACCATTAAGTATGATGTTAGCTGTATAAGTTTTTTATATAAGATCTTTATCAAGTTTATTTTTAACTTGCTGAAAGTGTTTTTTTTTAAATCATGAATGATGTTGGTTATGTCAAACACATTTTCTGTGTCAACTGATACCAAAATTTTTCTTCTTTAGCCTGTTGGTGTTCTGGAGTATTGTTGATTGATTTTCAACTGTCAAACCAGCCTTGCATACGTGGAATAAATTCCACTTGGTCATGGTGTATTTTTTTTATACATCATTATATTTGATTTGCCAATATTGAGAATTTTTGTGCCTGAATTCATGAGAGATGCTGGTCTGCAGTTTTCGTTTTGGGGGTCTTGGGGTGTATTGACACTTTGTTAGTTTTTTTTTTTTTTTTTTTTTTTTTGAGACGGAGTCTCGCTCTGTCGCCCAGGCTGGAGTGCAGTGGTGCGATCTCGGCTCACTGCAACCTCCGCTTCCCGGGTTAACGCCATTCTCCTGCCTCAGCCTCCTGAGTAGCTGGGACTACAGGAGCCCGCTACCACTCCCGGCTCATTTTCTGTATTTTTAGTAGAGACGGGGTTTCACCACGTTAGCCAGAATGGCCTCGATCTCCTGACCTCGTGATCCGCCAGCCTCGGCCTCCCAAAGTGCTGGGATTACAGGCGTGAGCCTCCGCGCCTGGCGACACATTGTTAGTTTTGACATCAGGATATTTCTTGCCTTATAAAATGAGTTAGGAAGTGTCCCCTTCTCTTTTGTTTTCTGGAAGAGATTGTTTGAAGTTGATGTTAATTCTAATGGTGTGGTGTGTCTGACTCCTGGGGTACAGCGGGGAGAGATGCCCAGCAGGCAGCCAGGTGTGTAGCACTGAGCCTTGAGGCAGGTCTGGGGGAGTCAGAGGGCAGCCCCTGGCTTCATGAGCTCAAAGTTAGAACCCACAGAAGACTGAGGATGTTGAAACCTCCCTCCCTGCCTGTGACAATGGCTACTCTGATTCCCCCCACCCCAGTCAGGGGTGATGACAATGTCTCATTCATCTGTCTCCCTGGTGCCTGGCACGGGGGAGGAGGGGTGCTCAGTGAATCTGGGTGGCGCAGTAGCCTGTGTGAAAGCAAGAGGCATTTCAGGAAATTCACGGGGCGGGCTTCCTCCTGGGAGGTGTGGCAGAGGGTGCTGCCAGGAATAGAGGGAAACACTTTCTTCCTTTTCCTTCTACTGCCTAGTGTGGGGGTGGAGGGGAGATGATAGGACAGATCACCGAGTTGCCTAGAGACCTGGAGACCGACCCATCCGGGTCGCCTTCCCTGGTGCGCTCTCGTCGGCTCCATCCCTGGTTGCCATGGAGACAGGAGGCGGTTGCCACGGAGACCGACGACTGCCAGGACCAGCCAATCACTCCAGAGCTGCAGCTCCAGCTCACCTTTTGCATGGAGGCATCGGGCTGGGCGGGGCCCCCTCCCTCCCCAGGCCCTGCACCCTCTGCTTGGTCAGCGGGGAAGGAGGCTGCGCCGCCAACTCCACCCAAAGCGCTCCGAGCATCCCAGAATCCCAACCACCTCCCCAGCCTCCCACAACCAGGGTTCTAGGGGCGTCCCCGCCTCTTCCTGGCCACGGGCGAATGCCACCCTGAGGCAACCCAGCTTCCAATTGGCCCTGAAACCCTCCCTCGTAAATGCTGTGGAAAGGGTGGGACCGGGCGCAGGCGCCCACCCCCGCTCCCCCACGAAACCGCCCACAGCGAGAGGGAGGCCACAGCCGGGTGGGGTGGGGGCGGGGAGGGAGCCCCCCCTACGCCCTCCGCAGTGCCTGGCGAGCCCGCGCACGCTCACTCGCTGGGACAGGCGGGCGGGGCGGCCTGACGTCACCCACTGCCCCCACCGCCCGGCCGAGGGGCGGTGGCCGCGCAGGCTCGGCGGGGCGGCGGCACGGACTGACGGAGGGTCGGAAGGACTGAGGGACGGGCGGGCGCACGGCCAGGCCATGCCTGGGGAGGCTGCCCGCGCCGAGCTGCTGCTGCCCGAGGCGGACCGACCCGGGCCCCGCACAGGTGAGGCCGTGGCCACTCTTTCCCTGCCTTCAGCCTCTCCCCTCTCCAGCCCGGGTTCTCTTTCCATCGCTCACCTTTCACCCCTCTCCCCCATCCCCCTG